>NC_000012.12:106854067-107157097 GCF_000001405.40 Homo sapiens | reverse complement strand
GGAAAAGACATTTCACGTCTTCTCAACTTTGAAAATAGGGTATACTTTGCATGCAAACAAGTCTAGGTGAGTAGAGTGATTTTGAATAAATCACCAAGAAACAAGATTTCAGTAAACTGTGAGAAATACATTTCCAGGATAATTTCAAAAGCAGAAAATAAAATTAGGTGCAAGGATTTACCAGGACTAGTGGACCAAGTGTTAGTAGGCTGCACGTTAGGTTGAGCTCTGCTCATAATTAACAGTGTGACCTTATGGAACACCATTAATATTTGGAGCCTTTGGTTCTGTCACCGTAAGAGGAGAGGGTTGTATCAGGTGATCTCCAACCACCCCCCACCAGCACCCCACCATCCATGTCTAGATTCCGTCATTCTATTTCTTATGCACTGAGACCAAGAGAGTTAATTTGTGGAATTACGTGACGGCCTAATCCTGAAAAGGGCACACTAACCTTTTACCAGTGATACCCTTGGTTTTAAGGCTGATAATTTCTAAAATTTACCATAGAATTATTATTATTTTGGCATATTACTAGTTGTTTGCAATTAACAGACTTGTAATCATTGGAAACATGCTGTTTTGAATTCCATTCTTTTCACTTAATATTTCATTATAAATATTTGCCCATATTTCCACAGTCTTCATAATTTTGGTTTTGATGGTGCCATATTATTTTTCCATTTGGTTGACATGCCACAAATTTGGAGTCATTGTTCCCTTCCTTTCATACTCTGCATCCAATACCTTGGAAAATTCTGTCAGCTTTACCTACAAGTTATATGCAGAATATAACATCTCACCCTCTCCATTACAACCCTTCTTGTCCAAACCACGATTCTCTGTTGCCTGGATTATTTTCATGGTCTTCCAGCTGGCACCTGTACCTCTGCACTTCCCCACTGCAGAGTATATTTCACATACTGCATTGAGAGAGGTCCTCTCAAAACATGATCATATCTTGTTCCTCTTCTCAAAGCTTTCCAATAATTTTTTGTCTTAGAGCACTTTAAGTCCTTCCTATGGCCTTAAGAGTCGACATGATCTGATTTCTCTTCTAATTCTTTGATCTCATCTTCAACCACTTTTCCCCTGGCTCACTCTACCCCAGCCATATGGGCCCCCCTGTTGCTCTTGCCAGGGTCACTCCTGTCACAGAGCTTTGCAATCACTGCAGCCTCTAAGAATGCCATCCCCCCACATATCCTCATGGCTCCCCCTCTTACTACTTTCAGGTCTCTGTTCAAAAGTCACCTCATTAGAGAGGTCTTCCCTGACCACCTTAGCTAAGATAGCAACCTCCCCGCAGCATTCTCTGTGCCTCTTTATATTTGTTTATGGCACTTATCACCACCTGATATATTATTTATTTGTTTATAGCCTTCTACCATCACTGCCAAGACCCACCAAAATGGAAAATCCATGAAGGCAGGGACTTTGTTTTCTTCACTGCTATAGAACCTATGTCCAGAACAGTAAGTGTTCCGTAAACACTTGTTTAATAAATTGATTAAACCATTGATAATTGTACAATGTAAGGTTATAAGTTTTGTGGTAGAACATTCAGGAGATAATGTTGGGAGATAAGACAAGACAAGCAAAGGGATCATCTCATGAAGATCCTTGTGTGCTGTGCTAAAGCTTTGAATTGCATCATTGCCTAACATGGAGCCATAGAAAGGCTTTAATCAGGGAAATGACAAAAGCACGTTTGCCTTTAAAAAAAATAAACTCTACCTAGAGTGGGAGAATGCATTTGTCATGAAGAAGATAGAAGACAGTGAGGGGACAGTTGCAAAGGTCCACGAGAGGTAAATAATTAAAAACAGAATTATCATGTGATCCAGCAATTCCAATTCCACTGTTGAGTCTATAATCAAAAAATTAGAAGCAGAGACACAAAGAGATATTTGTAAACCCACCTTCATAGCAGCAGCATTCACAATAGCTGAAAGGTGGAGGTCACCCATTCAATCAATGGATGAACAGAGAAACAAAAGGTGGTATATATGTAAAATGGAATATTATTCAGTCTTTAAAAGGAAGGAAATTCTGGGCCGGGCGCGGTGGCTCACGCCTGTAATCCCAGCACTTTGGGAGGCCGAGGCGGGCGGATCACGAGGTCAGGAGATCGAGACCACGGTGAAACCCCGTCTCTACTAAAAATACAAAAAATTAGCCGGGCGCAGTGGCGGGCGCCTGTAGTCCCAGCTACTCGGGAGGCTGAGGCAGGAGAATGACGTGAACCCGGAAGGCGGAGCTTGCAGTGAGCGGAGATCGCGCCACAGCACTCCCGCCTGGGCGACAGAACGAGACTCCGTCTCAAAGAAAAAAAAAAAAAAAAAAAAAAAAAGGGAGGAAATTCTGACACATGCTACAATGAGGATGAACCTTGAAAATATTGTGCCAAGTATTTCAGTCATTCTAATGACTATATGCTAAGGATGCCAAGTCTTATTTCCAGCTCAAATGAAATAAGCCGGCAACAAAAATACAAATTGTGTATAATCTCACTAATGTAAGGTGTCTAGAGTAGTAAAATTTATAGAGACAGTAAGTAGAATGGTGGTTTCCAGGGTCTGGTATAGAGGGTGGAGGGAGGGAGAGTTATCATTTAATGGGTATAGAGTTTCAGCTTTGCAAGATCAAAAAAGTTCTGTGGATAGATGATGGTGATGGTTGCACAACAATGGGACTCTACCTAATGTCACTGTACCAAATGCTTAAAAATGGTTAAAATGGTAACTTTTATATATTTTTTTTACCATAATTTTTTAAAGTCTATTAGAAAGCCAGTGCAAGCCAGAGCCTGTGTAATGCAAGGGAAAATAGTCAGGAGGGGACAGATTCAGGAGATATAAAGGGAATTTGAAGCAGCAGGATTCTGAGATCAATTGAATGTGGAGAATGAGGATGGTTTCCAAGTTTCTAGCTGGGTATCTAGAGGGGAAAGGGGGGCCTAAACAGAAAAAGGAGGAAGAGGAATGTATCTGGGGAGAAGGATAGTGAGCTAACTTTTGAACTTAAGTTAGAGTTATCTATAGGTCTTCCAAATGAAGATACCCAGGAAACCTTTAAATGTATAATGCAGGATCTCAAGAGAGACACTTGAGCTGCAAATGCAGACTGGGCATCCTTAGCATACAGTCATTGGAATGACTGACATCTCTCAGGAAGAATGTTGGAGAAAGAAGTGAAGAGGGTTTGGGGGTAGAACCCTGGGGTCAGAAAAGGAAGACACGTCTACACAGAGAGACAATGAAGAAAGAATTGAAAAAGAGCTAGGACTTACAGGAAGTGGATGGTTTTGGAATCCGTGGAGTGGTCACTGGCATCAACAGCCATGGTGTGTTTAAGAAAGATAAGTACTGAAGTGGGTATCTTGAATCTAGCCATCAGGAAGGTCATTGAAGACGTTCATAGGAGCAACTTGAGAAGAGTGGTAGGTTTAAAATCCAAATGCAGTGAAACTACCAAGAAGGACTTACCAGTTAAAGGCATGCAAAGAAATTTGAGGAGAAAATTACAATGTCTTTAAAAAAAAATCTCCTGTAATTCAGACCTTTAATCTGGCTGGAAAAAAAAAACTAATCAGCTGGGAGGGATACCATTTATTTTTTGGTGATGACTTAAGTCAGCCAAGTGAGTTGGCATATGTCCACCTACTCAGCCCTAAAAACAAAGCAAAACAGAGAACATAGCTGGCTTAAAAGAAATAGTATCTATGGTAGAGATAACAGTTTTTCCACCCATTATCCTTTTTCACCTTCTCTATTAGCACAACAGAATTCTGATTCATTTCAGGTCAGCAATGTGTTCAGCTAAAAGTCTACCTTCCCAGCTTCCCTTGCAGCTAGGGAGATGTAAATAGAAATCTTTGGATAGGGCTTTCAGGAGAGCTCCATAAAGAAGACTAACTCAGGCCAGGTGCAGTGGCTTACACCTGTAATCCTAGCACTTTGGAAGGCCAAAGGGGGCAGATCACTTGAGCCCAGGAGTTCAAGACCAGTCTGGGCAACATGGCGAAACCCTATCTCTACAAAAAAGATACAAAAATTAACCGGTTGTGGTGGCACATGCCTGTAGTCCCAACTACTCGGAAGGCAAAGATGGGAGGATTGCCTGAGCCCAGGGAGGCTGAAGCTGCAGTGAGGCGTTATCATGCCACTGCACTCCAGCCTGGGCCACAGTGTGAGACAAAAAAAGGACTAAGAAGACTAACTCAGCATGATGGTGCCTCCCTTTTGTTTCATGCTGTTTCCTTTCTTCCTTTCTGGAGAGAGGATGTTATGGCTGGACCTCCAGGAACCATATTGGGTCCATGGGGCTACTTTGAAGATGGAAGTTATATGCTGAGGATGGCAGAGCAGAAAACACACCTAGGTCCCTAATACTATCACAGATACGATACCCCTCTGAAGTTTTTACCTGCGGGCTTCTTCTATGTGAGAGAATAAACTCCTACTTGGTTGTAGTTGGGCCTCTGCCATTAGCAGCTGAACAGAATTATTAACTGATATGTCATCTTATACATCTGACTTTGAATTACTATTCTGTTCAGGTCCAGCATTCTCCAAGATCCACCACTAAAATACTGCAATATTAAGGGCACTGATAATGCTGGCTGCTTGATAAAAAGTCTTTCCTGGTTGCTGATGCCTAAAATTCCTGGGAGAGTGGCCAGAGCTTTGTTTTACCACTCAAGATAAGATTTAAGTTGCAAATATCCTTCAGAAAGATGTCTCGTGGACTAAAATTAATTCTCAGAGTCTACCCTGGGTTTTGATCAGGGTCAGGGAAGGAACATGATATGGATGAACACCTGGGGAAGAGGGGTTATTAAAGGAGCTCATGATAGAGCCAGGCAGTCGGGCACTGGGGCCCAGATGATATATTCACCAGCTTTGAGACGGAGCAGGGACCTGTCTTAGGGGCCTGTAGGCCACCCCAAGCAAGGAAATATAGAAAAATCTCGAGTTCCTTCAAGGGAAATTCCAG
Source organism: Homo sapiens (assembly GCF_000001405.40). Classification (NCBI taxonomy): domain Eukaryota; kingdom Metazoa; phylum Chordata; class Mammalia; order Primates; family Hominidae; genus Homo; species Homo sapiens. Next base: position 107,152,099 of record NC_000012.12, on the reverse strand, counting down.
GCACCTAGCTAGCCTTGAAAAGTAAATGAGCAGCTTGATAAGCAAGAAGGTAATAGTAACTTAATACCCAAAGAAGTTAAAGTCACAATATTGTTTGGTTCCCTACAGAAACTAAAGATAACAGGCCTGCTATGATGGCTCACACCTGTACCTGGCAAATTGGGAAGCCAAGGCAGGAGGATCCCTTGAAGCCAGGATTTCAAGACCAGCCTGGACAACACAACAAGACCTCATCTCTACAAAAAATTTAAAAATTAGCTTGCCGTGGTGGTATGCACCTGCAGTCCTAGCTAAGGTCAGAGGAGCACTTGAGCCCAGGAGTTCGAGGCTGTATTGAGCTATGATCTCACCCCTGTACTCCAGCCTGGATGACAAAACAAGAACCTATTTATTAAAAATAAAGGTTAAAAAATTTAAAGAAACCAAATATAGTGTCTTAACCTATGTCCCTGAGTTGTTTTCCAGAAACCCAAACCCCCACCAAATGGATCCGCTGGCACATAGGTTTCACATAAGGAGGAATTAAGAACTGAACTCTGGCCACTGTTCTGTGTTCTTAATTTCTTCCTGAGGGGCCTGGAGGAGGTCACACCCACAAGCCAGAGCTAACATTCTTTTCTGCTGATCACAAATTTTTAAACAAAGCTTTGCCTCTTTAACCCATTGCAAATCAGAAAGTCTTTGAATCCACCTATGACCTGTGGCCTCCCTGCTTCAAGATGTTCTGTCTTTTTAGGTCAAACCAATGTATGACCTCCACGTATTGATCTGTGACTTCTCCTGTAATCTTCACCTCCCTGCCTTTACAAACCTTTACCCCATCTTAATTTAAAAATAAAAAATAAATTTTTTAAAAGACACATTGCAGTACATCTTAGTTCTTCAATGCTCTGTTACCTATTAGAAGCAAGCACTGTATAAATCTACTCATAAGAGCATTAATGACACCCAAGAGATAGTGATACCCATTATTCTCCTCATTTTACAAATTTGGAGGCACAGAGGTCACATGACTTGCCCAAATGGAATAGAGGAATCAGGATCATGGCCCCAGAAAAAAAGCAGACCCAACCGCTTTGCTCTGGTGGGGTGTCATGGTAAGATGAAGGATGGAGCTCCTCCACACAATTTAAGAAGAAGTTTTAAAGATGAAACTCTCTCCTCCTCCTTTTCCCCTTTTGGAATAAAGGGTCATTTTTCTCTCCTAAGGAATTCAATCATCTCAGCAGCTAGCCTGGGAACAATGTCCAGGTGTTAGGGACTCAGGAGCCATTGCTAGAGGTGCCTGGAATGGAAGGTGACACCACAGATCACACTGACACCTAAACCAGCATCTGGGAGGGAGGAGATGGGCTGAGCATGGTTTCCACCATCAGCTGCTACTCTCTGGCCCCAGGCATGTTCTCTTGCAGCTGACAGTCAAGCCATTGTGGTGCATGGAGGACACAAAAGAAATCCAAATCTGAGGCTGAGATTTTCTTTCCAGTGCACCAGGACAGGCTTCCCAAGAGTGTCCTTGGTGTCTCCTTTTGGCTGAGAATCTGAGGCAAAGGAATTCAATCTTTCTTCTTCTGCTCTCCAACAATTCAAGCTGGAAGGTTCTAAGAAAAAGTCTAGGCTCTGAGGCTGTGTGCTTGTTTTTTTGTTTTTTTGGTTTTTTTTTTTTTTTGCTTTGATATTGTTTATTTATACCTGTTTAGAACTGTACACTGTTGTCAAATTATATAAAGTCCAAGAAGAGCTGTGATTGCAGTTCAGAATCCAATGGACTGATGGTTCTGATGGCAGATATCTTTAGAAATAGTACCTGTGATTTATTTTGCATTTCAAAGCCTTGTGGTGGTAAAATATTTCACGTGGAAGCAATGGCTTCTTGACATTCATCATCCAGTGTATTTCTTGATCGTTAGAAACCACGTGACTGTTATATAGATTCTGATGTGCCACAGTCACTGTTTTTGTAAAATATAATACATTACAGTATAGGGTTAAAAAATAAGTTATTACAAGTATATTTTACCTCTACTCCATTGCTAGATGAAGCTGGAAACCATCATTCTCAGCAAACTATCGCAAGGACAAAAAACCAAACACCACATGTTCTCACTCATAGGTGGGAATTGAACAATGAGAACACTTGGACACAGGAAGGGAAGCATCACACACTGGGGCCTGTTGAGGGGTCGGGGGAGAGGGGAGGGATAGCATTAGGAGATATACCTAATGTAAATGACTAGTTAATGTGTGCAGCACACCAACATGACACATGTATACATATGTAACAAACCTGCATGTTGTGCACATGTACCCTAGAACTTAAAGTATAATAATAATAATAATAATAATAATAATAATAATAAAAGGTTACTGAGGCTGTGTTTTGAAACATCCGTTCCTGCTGTTGTAAGGGGACATATCTGCCTATCAGGCCTCTGGTGGCTTGAAGGCCAGAACCTTTTAGTTCCACCATGTTAAATACCCCAATGAGTGGACTATTAATGCATATGTTGGTTACTGCCAATTTTTACCTGGATTCAGGCTTACTGGTTTTTTAAAAAATAAAACAACAATGAGAAACCATTTTCCACTTTTCAAATACTTCATTTTTTTAAAAAATAGTAGTAAATGCTGAGATGGAGAAGGGACATGGAATGATTTTCTAATACTCAGCAGGTGAGAATAAAGATTGGCAAAAAGCTTGGTAAAAGCTGTCAAAATATTAATATTATTTGACCCAGTGATTTCACATGGGAATTTATGCTAAGAAATAATTAGAAATGCAATGATTGATATATGAGAGTGTTGCAGTAAATGCTTTTTGAATTCTATCCAGAACAACTCCCATGCACACTCACCTTTGTAGAAACTCCCATCTCATCATGGTTCAAATGATATCATCTCACCCATCCCAGGCCCCCTGGCCACCACTGATTGGCTGGACACCTGACCCAAACTGGATCCATGAGAGTTTCCACTCCCTTGATCAATCATCATTTATTGGTCCAGGGATGGCTAGTTATTTTTCAAGCTGGATTTGTCATTTGCATTTGAAATAGTGCAGATGTTTATCACAGCATTATTTATAATAGGAAAAGTCTGAGACATAAAATGTCTTCTAATGCAGGATCGGCTAAATAAACTATGATATACCTACAAATGGAATAGTGATATGATTGTCATTATCAGCATCAAACTTGCTATTTAATATCTTCCTTTGTTTGTTTGTTTGTTTGAGACAAAGTTTCACTCTTGTTGCCCAGGCTGGAGTGCAATGGGGCGATCTCAGCTCACTGCAACCTCTGCCTCCCAGGTTCAAGCGATTCTCCTGCCTCAGCCTCCCAAGTAGCTGGGATTACAGACACCCACTACCATGCCCAGCTAATTTTTGTATTTTTAGTAGAGACGGGGTATCACCATGCTGGCCAGGCTGGTCTGAAACTCCTGACTTCAGGTGATCCACCCACCTTGGCCTCCTAAAGTGCTGGAATTACAGGCATGAGCCTCCGCATCCGTCCACTATCTTCCATTTTAAAAATCCTCCCTCCGCCTGCCATGTCCTCCTCCATTCCACACTGCATCTCTCCCCTCCCTTTCTGCAAAACTCCTAGAAAGACTTATCTAGACTCAATGTCTCCACTGTGTCTCCTCCCCTTCTTTCCAAAATCCCTTCTAATCAATTTCTGTTCCACAAAATTGCTCTTGTCAAAGTCACCGATGACTTTCATGTTGCCAAGTCTATTGGCTAATTCTCAGTCCTCATCTTTCTAGACCTTATCAGCAGCATTTGACATGATTGATGGCTTACATCTTCTTGAATTTCTTCCTTCACTTGGCTTCTGAAACTTGACTCTTTCCTGTTCTCCTACCTCCCTGTTCAATCTCTTAGTCTTTTCTTTTGCTGGTTCTTCCTCATCCTCCCCACTTCTAGACATTGTAGTGCCCCAGAACTCAGTCCTCAGGCGTCTACTGTTTTTTTACTTCCTCAGTGATCTCATCCTGTCCATGAATTTAAATTCCATCTATATGCCAGTGACTTTCAAGTTCTATCTCTGACCTCGGTTTCTCTTTTGAATTCCAGACTCCTTGTTACTCTACTTTTGCATTTGGATGTCTAATAAATATCTCAAAACTGTCCAAAACTGAATTCTTAGTTTCCCTTACATCTTAATGCCCATCCCTGAAACATGCTCTTCTCCCAATCTTCCAATGTCAGTAAATGGCACTACCATTCACTTCATTGCCCAGGCCCATATACTAATAGGGACTGTCCATGGATAGTAGAAATATAGGTGATTTCTGTTTTTCTTTACACTATTGAATGAGCAACACTGATCAGAGAAAGAATTAATGATATTACAGAAGGAAAAGGATTCAGGAATAAAGAATAGATACAGACTCTGTGAATTTAAGGCAATAAGTACAAGCCACAAAGATCTTGTGAATAAACAGGTAAAACAAGGAAGTGGAAACTGGAAACTGCATAATGTTTGCATCCTTGTGACCAAGAAGGTGAGGTAGCCAAGAGCAGCGAGAGTTTGACCAGATGGAAGAGCAGGTCTCTATGTAAGAGTGACAGTCACGGCACTTGGCCTTCCTGCATGTGCTTAGCCAGACCATATAGCTGGATCTGGGCTCTGGACTAGGTGAGAATGGCACCTGAGACTCAAAATTGCTTCTCTTTAGGAGAGCTCCCAAAGTAGACATGGGTACAGGAGGACAGACTTTGTTCTTCATTCCTCCCTTATCTCAGAGAGGTGCACCTACATTTAGCTCACTCTGAATAAAATGTCTGCCAGGTCAGAGGAGTAAATCATTGCAAGCTCAATGGCTTCTATCACCTTCCAGCCATGGCAGCAGCTAGAAACAAATAATATTACCATAGAAGGCAGTAATTCTGCTTCTCAGCCAGTCAGGTCATCTAAGCTTAAGGTCCTAGGTTCAAGCCTTGAAATTCTGCACCAAGGTAATCTTCCATTATCAGCACCTGCACTTCAAGGCCAGAAGTTTCCTGTTTCTGTCTTCCTAGGGGCTTTCTGTGGGCAAGACTAGCTGTGGAAATCTGTATTAGTCAGGGTTCTCCAGAGGAAAAGAACCAACAGGATGTGTATATCTATATATATAGAAAAGCGAGATTTATTTTAAGGAATTGGCTCATGTGATTGTGGAGGCTTGGTGAGTCCAAAATCTGATAGGGTAGGCCGGCAGCTGGAGACTAAGGAAAGAGTTGCAGTTTAAGTGCAGTTTGAGGCACTCTGCTAGCAGAATTCCTTCTTGCTCAGGGAGGTCAGGCTTTGTTCTATGAAGGCCTTTGACTGATTGAATGGGTCCCATTCACATTGTGGAGGGCAATTTGCTTTACTCTAAATCCTCCGATTTATATGTCATCCAAAAAAGAATACCTTCACAGAAACATTCAGAATAATATTTGACTGAATATCTGGGGACTGTGGCTCAGCCAGTTTGATGCATAAAATGAACCCTCCCAACAACCTCACTTCAGTTATGGGACCTCTACTTCATAATGAGGAAACTCCATGCAAATGAAGTTCAAAGAGCCACGCATGCTCTAACTGGCTCCATGTGGAAGAAGGTCAGAGAAAGGCCTGGGAAGGCTGTGTGTCGTAGAGGGAACACATGGGAGTTATGCATAACTGGTTTAAGTTGAGCCTGTGCACAAGTTCTGGGTTCCAAATGACTTTCCCATTTCCCCTACTGACTTCAGATAGAGTCCATGCAGATAATAAAATATAATGCAGCATATCTGTGACGTTCACCTGCTCTTCCTATTGGCATCACTGCCTAAAAGGAAACTTGGAGCAGAGAATGTCAGGAGCTCATTCATCTGTTGACATCTGAACATTAACCTGAGATCACAGCAACTGCAGCTACCTGCTGATTAGATTACTATAGCCCAGGAAGGCCAAACATACCAGAATATGTTCATGGGCAAAGAAAACAATGCACACTTTGTTATTTTATAAATTTCCTGTGAAAATGTATCTTTCTATAACAGATATAACAAAAAATCTTTTAAATGGCAAATATGGAAAAAATACCTGGAGAAGAGGTGGAAGGTGGAGGGGGTCAATAAACAAGAGAGCACAAACAGCAGAACTCATGTCAACCAAAATTAAGGCTTTAGAGGCAGAAATAATTTGATAAAGGTTTACAGTAAGCCAATTTGAGGATCAACCCAGGAAGATACTCCAACAAAGTTGAGCAGGTTCTGAAGTCTGTTGCAAGTTAAAATGCTTTTATAAGAAAGTTTAGGAGAAGGGAAGGGGACTCCTCATATTGGAGTTGTCCTTTTTTGTTGGAGAGTACAATACCGATGTTACAATCCTTGGCTACAGATGACAACATGCAGGATAAAATGTTTTACCTGCAAGACGATAAGTAAAACTTCATGATTCAGAAACAAATCAGCAAAACTTCATGATTCAGAAACAAAGCAGTGTCCTTTTCAGTGTCAGTAGGTTACGTATTAATCAGTATGACAGCGGTTTGAGGAACTCAGGAGAAGATTAGAGGGATTCATGGTAAGATTCTTTACTGAAGGACAGGATGTAAGCCATGAATCATAAGACCTTCCCCAGGCAGTTAATTTGGAAGCCCATCAAATGCGATCTGTGGGTTATCACTAGGAAAGACACAAAAACAAATTTCACCCCTAATTACCCGGTTTGATCATTACACATTGTATGCATGTATCCAAATATCACATGTGTCCCATAAATATGTACAATTATCATATATAAATTTTTTAAAACGTTTGGGAAAATTCACCAATTAAGAAGAATTTTTTTTCTAAGAAGCTGTTTCCCCATGCCTCACCCAAGTCCACTGGTAGGGCTTAACCCCTTTGTTCTTGAATTCCTGCCATTAAGCTAATCTTGAGTCTGGTATTCCTGCTGTTCCCTGTTATTTGATCCTTCCCATCTATTTTTCTGAACTCGACCTATAAGACTGAAGTGATTAGTTTTATAATATATGTTTGTAGGGAAGGTCTGAGACTTTTCCCCTGATAGATGAGTGAGGTTGTCTATGTAATATTGATTTTTTAAGTTATTTTGTCATTTCTTGCTTATAAAATCATAAATTACAGGGCCAGATGATATCTTAGGGTACATTGAGTTCAACTCTCAACTCTCTGGGGTTAGGAAATGGAGGTCCAAAGGGGGTCAAAGACTTCTCAAGACCAGCATCTTGCACAGAGATGAGCCTAGGCCCCAGCTCACCAATTTCTAAGGCTCTCTCCACTGCATCACAGGGAGAAAAAGCAAGCCGTGTCAAAGGGAAGAAACAGAATCCCCTCCTGCCGACGAGGAGGCATGTGACTCCTTCCACATATTGCATGTTTGTTACTCTGGGAATTAATGGCTCAATCTGGTATTAAACAAAATGGGTCTCGTGGCTGATCTGGCCCAAGTGAAGGATCAGCAAAATGGAGACGTGAGCTTCCCTGCATGATAATTAGAAGTAGTCCCTGAATGGGTAAGACAAACACATTAAGCCTTTCTGCAAAGCCAATTTTGGGCAATGGTCTGATTGCTGGATAAATCACACCAAGAAGTTGAAATGAGTGGTGAGGATGGCACAAGCAGGGTACATTAGAGGGTAGCAAACGGTTTTCTTTACCTTCGAGAAATCACTCTATCAGAAGTAGAGAGGAATTGTGCAGAATGTCCAGGGAAATAAGGATAGACAAGGAAGAAGAAAAAAGCATATATGAAATACATAAATCAAAAGGATAAATCGATGTTAGAGGTGGTATAGAATTAAAAGAAAGTAAGAAACTGATAGCTAAAGACAGGGCTGAAAGGGGAGAGACGACTGCAAGGGAAACAAAATACCCAAAAATATACTTCCCTCTCAATGGTTCCTTGACTTGGTGATTTATTCATAGTGTATTTTTTTATGCCAGGTTAGACTGACATGGCCACAAAGCACAGTACTCCTGTTCTCTCCCTTTGCTAGCCTATATTCAGAGGATGCAAATTAGTGTAATGCTAAGTAAAGCATGGACAGGAGACTAAATTTATTACAGTCTTAGCTATCAATCATTTATTGACTTACTCATGTACTCAAAACGTATTTATTGGGCATCTAATATGTACCAGGCACTGTGTTGAGATACAGTAATATACAAAGTTGTTGTAGACCCTGTCCTTGTTGAGCTAACACTCTAACAGGAGAAGAAAAATGATGTAGTACAAAGCCACATAAAAGTAATTCAAGATATTAGCTACTCTATGGCTCACGCCTGTAATCCCAGCACTTTGGGAGGCCGAGGCGGGTGGATCACGAGGTCAGGAGATCGAGACCATCCTGGCTAACACGGTGAAACCCCGTCTCTACTAAAAATACAAAAAATTAGCCAGGTGTTGTGGGGGTGCCTGTGATCCCAGCTATTCAGGAGGCTGAGGCAGGAGAATGGCGTGAACCCGGGAGACGGAGCTGGCAGTGAGCCAAGATTGCGCCACTGCACTCTAGCCTGGGCAACAGAGCGAGACTCCGTCTCAAAAAAAAAAAAAAGATATTAGCTACTCTACAGCTTGGGTATCAGGACTGTACTTGCAACATACAACAGAAAACCTAAATAATAGTGGCTTAAACAAATAGAGGTTTATTTTTTACATTTAATAAGAAATACAAGCAAACAGAGATTTATTTTTCATACATAGAAATACAAATACAGTCCAGAGAACGTGCAACTCCTCAAAAATGACACCAGGACCCAGACTGGGTGGCACAATGGTTAAGTGCAAGGACAGTAGCACCAGGCTGTGTGGACTGCTGCTACTTACTAGCTCTTATTGAATCTTACTCAACCTTGGCTCTGCTACTTATTAGCTGTGTGACACTGGGAAAGTTACTTAACCTCTCCCTAGTCCTCCAGTTTTCTTATCTGTAAAATGGAGATGAAAATAATAGCCTCACCCCCTAGGCCTATTGAAAGGATTAATAGTTTGATACATGCAAACTACTGGCACAGTGCAGTAGGCAGTATGTAAGTGTTCCTGCAGATATGGATATTAGATGTACATATTAGATGCTCAATAAACATGTTTTAAATAAATACATAAGTCAATAATTGCCCTGACTTTACAAGTTGGATTTTGTTCTCATGTTTGGCTCCTCATAATCTGTTTCAAGAAAGCTGCTGCATCCTGAGGCATCACATAGTATTCTGGACACGAAAAAGGAAAATGAAATAAAAATGACATGGCAGCTCAATCCAACCCTTTAAAAATCAGGAATACAAAAGCTTTTCTAAAAGTCCCCTGCAGCAGACTTTGCTTTCATCTCATTGGACAGAACTGTGTCACATGACCACACCTGGCTGGAAGGTGAAGAACTCAGGTTGTAGATGAGTTAAGGAGACCGTGGATGGGGGTTGGAATCGGGGCATGGGATCAGCCACCGATGTCTGCTGTGGCTTCCATTTAGAGACAGCCACTTGACATATTTCCATTTTGATGTGCACTTTTCCCCTCAATTACATGACTCAAGCTGGGTGAAGTGAATAGTCCCAGCTTCCCATCTACCTGTTACCCACCTGGGTCCCATTTCCTCCACACAAGATAAGTCACCCCAAGTTATTCATTTCCAACCATTCCAGCCAACTCAACTATTTACTACATTCCCAGTATGTATGCAAAACTTGCCATGTGCTGCAAGAGGACCTGAAAATTTAGAAATGATGCCTGGTCTCATAGATCATACAATCTCTTCTGGCAAGAGGTGGCCCAAATTAAGGAATTTATGAACATTATGGAAAGAAATCTGGCCTTAAGAATCGATAGCCTTAGAAATGTTCTTACCTTTAACCCAGCAATTTCATTCCAGGGCAACTCTCAACACACAGCTGGGAGGCCAGATAAAAATTATATGCACAAAGATGTTGACCACATGCTGTTTTCAATAGCCAAAAAGGCCATACAACTGAACGTTAAACAATCACAAAAATTACGCTTATAAGGAGCTTTTAATGTTATGGGAAACATTATGGAGAGTTTTTGTTAGGTTTTTATGTTTATGTTTTTAATGTCATGAGACATAATGTTATGAGAAAATGCTCATGATATGTTATTAAGTTGGGAGACAGTTTACAAATGTGCTTAACTCTATGCAGTATAGTGGTTAAGTATATAAACTTTGGAGTTAGATAGCCTAATTCCACATTTCTTCTCTGCAGCTCACCAGTTTCTTATTTGGGTATCGGGACTGTACTTTGCAACATACAGCAGAAAACCTGAATAATAGTGGCTTAATCAAACAGAGGTTTATTGCTTAACCATGGACCACCAAGTTACCATGTGACATGAGCCGCCCATCATGGACTGGGAATTATCTGACCCTTAGAAGACCTAACATCTCTAAGTCTCTAAATCCAGCATGGAAAGATATAGGCAGGAAGGGAAAAATTGTAAGAGGAAAGAAATGCCTTAGCAAGACACCATAATGGGAATGGGGTGGAGAACGTCAACAAGACCAGCCCGGGTAAAATAGTTTTCATCCACTGTGATCTCCTCTTCCTTACAACAGAATTTCTGCTCAACCCATCTCCAGTTTGTATACCCACCCACCCCAGAACACAGATCAGAATATACTTGCGTTAAGGTCACCAAGGACTTCCATGTTACTGAATCTAATGTTGCTCTCAACCTCGCTGAGGTGCCAGTGTTATCAGCACCTCTCATCTCTTGAACCCTCTTCTTTCTTTTCTTTTCCTGACTCCCTCCTGAGTTTTCTCATTGGCCTCATCACTCACTTCTTCCCCATTTCCACTCCCAGCTTCTACTCATCTGCTCCATCCCTAAACATTGGGGCATTCCAGATCCCAGCCCTGAGCCTTCCACTCCTATCTGAATGCTACATTTTTTTTTTTTTTTTGAGATGGAGTCTCGCTCTGTTGCCCAGGCTGGAGTGCAGTGGTGCGATCTCAGCTCACTGCAATCTCCGCCTCCTGGGTTCATGCCATTCTCCTGCCTCAGCCTCCCGAGTAGCTGGGACTACAGGCACCCGCCACCACGCCTGGCTAATTTTTTGTATTTTTATTAGAGACCAGGTTTCACCGTGTTAGCCAGGATGGTCTCGATCTCCTGACCTCGTGATCCACCCACCTGGGCCTCCCAAAGTGCTGAGATTACAGGCATGAGCCACCGCACCCGGCCCTGAATGCTACCTTTTATGATGACTCATCAACTTTCATCTCTAGCCCTGACATCTCCAGTTAAACTCCAAAATCCTTACCCAACATCTCCGACATAGCAAGTCCAAAAGAGAACTCTTGATTTTCCCGCTGAAAAATCTGCTGCTTTCCTAGTCTTGCCTGTTTTAGTAAATGATATGTTCAGCCAACGAGGTACTCAAGTCCCAAACCTAGAATTCTTCTGTTCCTCAAACTACTTCCTGCCCTCACTACATTTAATGGACCAGCAATCCCTGCTAGCTACAACTGCAAAATATATCACTTCTGACTCTCTGCATGACTCCAGCCTGCTCTACACCATCATAGTCTCTTGCCTAGGTCAGTTACCAAACTGTCTCCTTAACCGTTTCCTGTTTCAATGCTTACCTCCTAGATTAGTTTCCTAGGGATGCTGTAATACCATTTATTACAGCATCCCTAGAAAACTAATGGTATTCTAAGCCACAAACTCGGTGTTTTAGGACAATATAAATCCATTCTCTTACAGTTCTGGAGGCCAGGAATCCAAAATCAAAGTGTCAGCAGGACTGTACTCTTTCTGAAGGTGCTAGGGGAGAATTTGTGATGGTTAAGTTTATGTGTCAACTTGACTGGGCCACAGGGTGCCAAAATATTTGGTCAAATATTATTCTGAGTGTTTTGGCGGGGGTGTTTTTGGTTGAGTTTAACATTTAAATCAATAGGCTGGATAAAGCTGATTGCCCTCTCTAATGTGGATGGGCCCCATCACACAACACATTCCTCATTTCAGTGTGTTACTCCTACCCATTTACTGAGTGACCCAAAAAGCTGTGAGTTTTGAGTGGGGCCTAGAACAAAAGAAGGCTCTGCAACAGGTCCATGCTGCTGTGCAAGCTGCTCTGCCACTGGGCAACATAATTAAGAAGATCTAATCGTGCTTAAAGCATCACTGCTGATAGGGATACTGTTTGTAGCCTTTGGCAGGTCTCTATAGGGGAACTGCAATGTACATCCTTAGGATGTTGGAGCAAAGCTCTGCCATCCTCTGCAGGTAACTACAGCTGCTGTTTCTCCTTTTGAGAAAAAGCTCTTGGCCTGCTACTGGGCTTTAGTAGAGACTGAATGCTTAACCCTGGGCCACTAAGTTACCATGTAACCTGAGCTGCCCATCATGAACTGGGAATTATCTGACCCACCAAGCCATAAATTGGATGTGCACAGCAACACTCCATCATCAGATGAAAGTGGTACCTCCATGATGGGGCTCAACTAGGCCCTGGTGGCATAGGCAAGTTACATGAACAATCAGCCTAGCCAGGCGCGGTGGCTCACACCTGCAATCCCAGCACTTCGGGAGGCCCAGGTGGGCGGATTGCTTGAGGTCAGGAGTTAGAGACCAGACTAGCCAACATAGCAAAACCCCATCTCTACCAAAAATACAAAAATTAGCAGGGCATACTGGCACTTGCCTGTAATGCCAGCTACTCAGGAGACTAAGGCAGGAGAATCGCTTGAACCTGGCAGGCAGAGGTTGCAGTAAACTGAGATCGTGCCACTCCACTCTAGCCTGGGCGACAGAGTGAAACTCCATCTCAAAAAAAAAAAAAAAATCAGCCCAAATATCCATGGTTCCCACTTCTGCTACACTGTGTTCTCTCTCTGAGTTCCATCTACAGCATTATGGGGAGTTTCCTACAATTAGTTGACAGAGGAAGAGAAAACTCAGGCCTGGTTTACAGATGGTTCTGCATGATATGCAGGCACCACCGGAAAGGGGACAGCTGCAGCACTACAGCCCCTTTCTGGGATATCCCTGAAAGACAGTGGTGAAGGAAAATCCTCCCAGTGGGCAGAACTTTGAGCCATGCACCTGGTTGTTCACTTTGCTTAGAAGGAGAAATGGCCAGACATGCAATTATATACCAGTTCATGGGCTGTGGCCAGTGGCATGGCTGGATGGTCAGGAACTTGAAAGTGAAACAATTGAGAAAATGGTGACCAGAAATTTGAAGAAAAGGTATGTGTAGAACTCTTGGAATGGGCAAAAATGTGAAGATGGCTGGGAGCAGTGGCTCACGCCTGTAATCCCAGCACTTTGGGAGGCCAAGGCGGGTGGATTGCCTGAGGTCAGGAGTTCGAGACCAGCCTGGCTAACATGGTGAAACCCCATCTTTACTAAAAATACATTTAAAAAAATTAGTGGGCCTGGTGGCAGGCGCCTGTAATCCCAGCTACTCAGGAGGCTGAGGCAGGAGAATAGCTTGAACCCTGGAGGTGGAGTTGCAGTGAGCCGAGATCCTGCCACTGCCCTCCAGCCTGGTGCAAGACTCTGTCTCCAAATATATATATATATATTTGGGTCCTATGTGAATGCTCAGCAAAGAGTGATTTCAGCAGAAGAGGATTCTAATAATCAGGTGGATGGGATGACCTTTTCTGTGCATATTAGTCAAGCCTCTTTCCCCAACCTCCACTGCCACTGCGCAGTGAGCTTGTGAACAAGGTTGCCATGGTGGCAGGGATGGAAGTTATGCATGGAATAAGCAACATGGACTTCCACCCACCAAGTCTTACCTGTCTACAACTGTTCCATGTTCAATCTGCCAGCAGCAGAGAACAACACTGAGCCTCCAATATGCCACCATTTCCTGGGGTGATCAGCCAACTACCTGGTGGCAGGTTGATTACATTAGATCACCTCTGTCACAGAAGGGGCAGCATTTTGTTCTTACTGGAATAGAAACTTTATCTGGATGCAGATTTGACTTCCCTGCCTGCAGTGCTTCTGCCAAAACTACCATATGTGGACTTTCAGAATGCCTTACCTTTCAGAACGCCTGTGTGGTATTCCACACAGCATTGCTTCCAATCAAGGAACTCACTTCATGGCAAATGAAATACAGCAATAGGTCCATGCTCATGGAATTTCATGGTCTTCATCTTACCATGTTTCCCAACATCCTGAAGCACCTGGCTTGACAGGTTGATGGAATGGCCTTTTGAAGACTCAGTTATAGCACCAGGTAGGTGACAATACCTTGAAGGACTGGAGCAAGGTTCTCCAAAGGCTGTGGATGCTCTGAATCAGTGTCCAATATATGACACAGTTTCTCCCATATTCCATATTCAGAGTTCATGAGGCCAGAAGCCAACAGGTGAAAATGGGAGTGGCATCACTCACTATTACCCCTAGCAACCCACTAGCAAAATTTTTGCTTTCTGTTCCCACAACTTTATCCTCTTCTGGCCTAGATGTCATAGACATCTTTTTCCTGAGAGGGAAGAATGCTTCCACCAAGAGACACAAAAATTATTTCACTTAACTGGAACTTAAGACTGCTGATTGGCTACTTTGAGCTCCTCATGACTCTAGTTGGGGTGACTGATCCTGACTACCAAGAGAAATTGGACGAGTACTTCACAGTGGAGGTGAGGAAGAACATGGCTGGAATATAGGAGATCCCTTATGATATCTCTTAGTATTACCATGCCCTGTGATTAAGGCCAAATGAAAACTACAGCAACCTAATCCAGGCAGGACTACTAACGGCCCAGACTCTCCAGGAATGAAGTTTTGGGTTACCCACCAGGTAAAGAACCACAACCAGCTGACGTGCTTGTTGAAGGCAAAGGGGATACAGAATAAGTAATGGGAGAAGGTAGTTATAAAGACCAGGTATGACCACCTGGCCAGTTACAGAAACAAAGACTATAATTGCCAAGAGTATTTTCTCTTTATTTTGTTATAAATATGTTTATGTGTATGTCAAATATCTTTGTTTTCTTCCCTCTTCTATTCCCTTATCATCCAACATAGATGTATTAACTTTGTGTCATAGTATTTAAGTATTATTAATTTTACATCATAGTATTAAGTTATGGGATATCAAGGAGAAGAGTAAATATCACTCAAGGACTTCTCTTCTAGAGAAGGAGTTCGTGCCTTTTTGGCTGTATGAAGATTAGTTGGCAGAACTGGTAGAATTATAACCTTGATATTGTCTTCATTTGGAGATTAAGTATGGTTTAAGAAGATGATGACAAGGGGTAGATTGTGATGGTTAATTTTCTATGTCAACTTGACTGTGCCATGGGGTGCCCAGATATTTGGTTGTATTAATCCATTTTCACACTGCTGTAAAGGACTACTTGAGACTGGGTAATTTATAAAGGAAAGAGTGAGTGGAGATCCAGCCTGGGTGACAGAAAGAGACACTGTCTCAGAAAAAGAAAAAAAAATGGAATCACTTGGTTTACATCGTTTACATAGTTGCTTACTTTTTTATAGTCCATATTTCAGGACTGCAGAGACTTGATCTCGCTTGTTCACTGCTGTATTTCCCAGTGCCTAAAACAGTGTCTGGCCACAGCAGGAACTTGAAAAAGATGTACGAAATAAATAAAACAGCACACTACTAGTAGTAATAATGAAACAAGTAATACTAAGACTAATGCCTTTCTTTGTATAATGTTGTGTTGTTTCAAAGCACTTTCAAATATGGAGCTATATATAGAGTAGGATTTTTTGGGCCATTCTATAGGCTGAGGTTCAAAGCTGAAGACAAATGACACTAGATAGCCCCATATTCCAAGCTCAAGGAGCTTTCTAGAAGCCATTAGCCATTGAAATCATCTGCCTTCCTGCAGAGTTTGCTGAAAAGACACCAGAACTGGTACAAATACTTCCATCTACTACCAGTCACCCCTCACATAGGACTCAATGGCCAAAAGAGTCCATTGACTCTTATGAAGCTGAGGCGATCCTCCCACTTCAGCCTCCCAGGTAGCTAGAAATATAGGTCTGTGCCACTATGCCTGGCTAATTTTTGTATTTTTTATAGAGACAGAGTTTTGGCATGTTGCCCAGGCTGGTCTCTAACTCCTGAGCTCAAGTGATCCACCTGCCTTGGCCTCCCAAAGTGCTGAGATTACTGGCATGAGCCACCGCACCTGGCCCCAGCATTTTTTCTAAATAATATGAAGGAACTAGAGAAAGTGCCGAGGTAGGGAGAGGCAGGGAGAGAAAAACATCACTGGCCTTAAAGAAAGTGCAGTGTTTGTGGAGAGAGAACATTCTCTCCTCTAAGCCAGGAATACCTCTTGTGATGTTAGGTGTTATTGACTGAATTATGTTCTCCCAAAATTCACATGTTGAAGCCCTAACCCCAACACACTGGTATTTGGAGATAGACCCTTTGGGAGATAACTCAGTTCAGATGAGATCATGAGGGTGGGGCCCTCATGATGGGATTAGTACCCTTGTAAGAAGAGGAAAAGGCACCAGAGAGCT
The DNA here is from genome assembly GCF_000001405.40 of Homo sapiens. Lineage (NCBI taxonomy): Eukaryota > Metazoa > Chordata > Mammalia > Primates > Hominidae > Homo > Homo sapiens. The sequence goes on along the minus strand of NC_000012.12, from coordinate 107,135,633 downwards.
TGCTCTTTGCCATGTGAGGACACAGTAAGAACACAACCATCTGCAGGCCAGAACAAGGCCCTCACTAGAACCCGACCATGCTGGCACCCTGATCTCAGACTGCCAGCCCCCAGAACTGTGAGAAGTAAATTTCTGTTGTTGAAGCCACCCTGTGTATGCTACTTTTTGTTATGGTAGCCTGAGCAGATTAAGACATTAGGGGAGCTTGCAAGACAAAGAGCTTCCCATTTCCTGGTGGGTTGTTTGCTGATCTCTGGTACCTGCTGGGCCAGTCATCAAGCTGTCCCCAAGCATTCTCTAGTGAGAGAGAGCTCTTGGAGAATGTTTTAAAAACCCAGGAATAGCCCATAAACCTTCTCATTTCTCTCCTTACTATGGGAAAAAAGAGTAGGTGCCCGAAATGTGCAGTCTTGTATTTGGGGGACTTTGGAAACAGACTGGTGCTTACTTAACTTCTTACTGAAGTTGGATATCTTGGTGGGATAGCCCATACCCACAGGGCTGGAAATATCCATGGTGCAGTGTGGTGTGGCTGGAAAGAAGACAGTGAAGGCCCACTCCATACCTGTTCTCTGTGGCCTTTAGAGGGTGCAGAAGAGGAATTTGGAAATTTCTGTGTCTCCACTGGGTAAAGCAATACCAAGGCAAGAAGAGCAGGAATCTTTGAGCAGCCCTGATGACCCCTGGACCAAATGATGGAATGTCAACCAGGGAAAGTGGTCCCCAGTGGCAGAGGAGACCCAATACCACTCCAAAGAAAAACATGCACACCACCTGTGAGGAGACCACCACTCCAACAGAGGGCGCTAGCATCAGATAGACCCAAATAGAACTGGAGGGAAGCCAGAGGCACAACTTTTGCCTACCCCTGGTGGCCTTGTGGGCAATCACAGAAGAATACCTCTGCTTCCTGTAACCTTCCTCCTTGCCCTCAATTACACAAGAACTGGGGGGAGGAGGGGGGAATGGGGGCAGGGCAATGACCTCAGAGCCATCTCTGGTCTTTGGTCTTCCACTCCAGGCTCCCAGGGCTGCAAAAGAGAATGATCTACCTGGGGCCAGGAACAGAACTTTTAATCAAGCTTGATATTGGGGTCATGAAAATAAACTGCGCTGTGTCTTAAACTCTGAGACAAGATTGCCCACACCACAAGGTGACTAGGAAGTTATTAAATCTGTCCAAGCTATCACCAAGGGAGCACTATCCCCAGGAAAAGAGCAATACAACATAGCACAGTTGGAAGCAATGATTGGGGAAAATAAAACTACTTCATGGCATTATACCCAAAGGGATTGAGACCCTTCAGATAATTGATTGCATACACACTGTTAGAAATTTGAGCCTCAAAATTGTTCTTTGAAGTTAGTTATTATTATCCCATTTTACAGATGAGAAAAGAGAGACCCAAGAATCCTGTTAAATTACTTGTCCAAGGTCACAAAGCTAATAAGTAGCAGAACCAACAGCTCAGCTATAAGTCCAATGGTCTTTTCAGTGACAACCAAGTCACCATTACCTTTTATTAAGTGGTTACAATGGAAGCCAACCCTGAACTAAGGACTTTCATTCCAGTGTCTCATGTAATCCTTACAACTCTCCAGAGGCAGATTTTCCTACTTTCATTTTGCAAAGGAGGAAGCTGCCTCTCTCACTGTAGGTGCCCAACACAGTAATCTGCAAAGCACTATCTGCATAGGTGGGTGAGACGTTTCAGCTTTCTGTGGCTCACAACAGTGTCATGTCAACACACAGCTGAGTCAAAGATAAGTAACCAATCGAAGGGAGGACTATTAAATAGCAAATGAAAGACATAATCTATTACGTTATAGGACTCAAAGTAGGGAATGAGCATGTGGAGATGGGCTTCTTGCCCACGCCTAAGAAAGATGGCATTTTTACTGGGTCTTAAAAGATTGTCCAGGTTTGGAAAGCTAAGCCTGAAAATAGTGACATGGGACCCCAAGAGGTAGAGTAGGGAAATAATCACCAAGGCCACAAATGTGGATTCCAAGGACAGTTTAAGTCCTCTAGTCTGGCATAAGATGACTCTTCAGGAACAGTAGGCCTTTACCACATACTAGAACTTTCTCCTTATCCCTCTTCTCTTCACCCTCCCAACTCCCTGCACCTGGCTTACTCCTCCTCATCTGTTCAGTTTCGGCTTGGACCTTGCCTAAAGAGATCACAACAGGGACAAATAGGGGATCAGGAGGACACATTGAGAAAGAAAAAACAAATCTGCACTTGGTAAGAATTTAGAAATAGTCTATTGGTCTCCTTTCTGTTCCTAAGATTCAAAGCCTGCTCCTGACTCAGGGACTTTCTCAGTAAGGCCTTCTCTGACCCAATTTCTATTCCATCCCTAACACTTTACATCCCTCTTTCCACTCTGGATTTTCCCCCCCTCCTTAGCACTCATCACTAATATACTAATTAATTTACTTATTTATTCTATTTATTTTCTGTTTTCTTTATAAGAGCAAGGATTTTATCTATTTTGTTCGATTCTGTACCCTGCAGCCTAGAATGTTTCCAAGCACACAGGGAATCCATACTAAAGGGACTAGACAACAGGGACTCTAAGTTATAAATCTGAGTGTTGGGGGAAATGGTGGTTTGGTTGGCAGAAATAAGGGAAAGTTAGCTTGAAGAGTGTATTAATCCATTTTCACGCTGCTGATAAAGACATACCTGACCCTGGGTAATTTATAAAGAAAAAGAGATTTAATGGATTCACAGTTCCACTTGGCTAGGGAGGCCTCACAATTATGGTGGAAGGCAAAAGGCATGGTGTTATGTGACGGCAGGCAAGAGAGAATGAGAGCCAAGCAAACAGCAAAACCCCTTATAAAACCATCAGACCTCATGGGACTCATTCACCACCATGAGAACAGTATGGGGGAAACCACCCCATGATTCAAGTACCTTTCACCAGTTCCCTCCCACAACACGTGGGAATTATGGGAGCTACAATTCAAGATGAGATCTGGGTGGGGCACAGCCAAACCATATCAAAGAGAAAGACTCGGCACCTGACATTTGTCGTAAGTCCTGCAAGGGTGGCAATCGTTGACTATAGGGAATAGAGGGAGAAAATCCTTAATGTTTAATGTTGTCCACCCACAGTCAGTGAGCTCTGCCTGAACCCAGGCCAGGCAGGGCCACTGTCTCCCCACACACCACTTATCATTTCCCTCTCACACTGCCCTGCAGTGTTCCCCAATAACTGGGAAACACTGGATGTCAAGCAAGCCCACTAAGGCTCTTGTCCTGCCTGAGCTATGAACTACCTAGGTGATTTTGAGTCCTTCATTTCAGTCTCAACTTCCTCATGGAAAACATGAGTGTTGGAGATGATTTCTAAGGTTCCTCTAACCTTTACAGATCCTGTGATTCCAGGATGAAAAGACTGCAAGCTAAGCCATTACATAAGAGGTCCTTCCTAGCCTTCACATTCTGGGATTCTAAGAAGGGTACAATGTGGGCATCCCTCTGCTCAAACAGCAATTCAGAGCGGGACAGCTCGGGGTAAGCAAAGAGGAATCCTATGAAGGTGCAGAGCGAAGCTGTTTCCTTCAGGAAGATGTCCAAGAAAGGGCGGAATTTTGCTTTCTATCCTGAATGTGTTGGCCCCTGCGTATGGTAATCTCATTCTTATAGCGCCACCTACTGATAAAGAGCTTTTCAGCAGCAGATAAAATGTGCTCACAAAAGGGTTTGGTATCTCTACCTAATCTTGACCTTTTAATAAGCGTGTTTCAGGAAAGAATGTCAAGTGAAATTTAAAAACAAAACCTCTCCCATAGAGGGGCTTCTCTAACAGCTTTCACATTTAGAAAGAAAAAGGAAATAGAGCTTTGCAGACCTTATTCCATATTTGTAAAAAAGAACCAAACCTTTCATTTGTTCTTCTTTACAAGGAATGGATTCCTTGCTCAATAAAGCAAGCATTTTCCTGAAAGGTCATGAGTGTTAACCAAATTTGAATTGAGAGATTTACATTTTAATGGCAATAAGAGAGATCACTGCTCTGAAGAGTCCCAAGGGTAATCCTTTTCTAAAGCAGAATAATCACTCCACAATATTTGCTTTGGTAAGTTCAGCCTCTCATTTATTTTGTTTTAAACTGGGCCCACCTGTTCTTGTGACATGGGTTCTGGGCAATTTTAAATGACAGCCTTTAGCTCACACCCTCTTTAAAAACAAGCCAAATGCACTCAAAACCCATTTTGAGCTGGCAGTGAGGCATGTGTAAGAGGTTATTTACGATGTGCTGCGCCTGCCTGGATCTGGTGGGCGAGCCAGATGGGCGCCCTCCTCTTGTCCTTCCCAGTGGCCTCTGCCCAGGATCTCTGGCTTGTCAAATGTTGTCCTTAGCAACTACCACTCTAGGGTGCTTGAAATCATTGTTTAGGCTCTATTGTGGTTTTGCTACTAGCTCATACCCCAAAGAGCAGAATTTAGTGCAAAATAGACTTCATTGGGGGTTAGTTACTATAAGACAAAAGGCTCCTATTTTTAAAGGATTATATTCGAACTGTGTGGGCCAGGATGAGAGAAAGCATTATAATGCGTTTGGGCTGTCTGATAACAATCTGCTCATATCAAGTAGGATAACTTAAGCTTTCTAGGCCAGCAGGCTTTAAAAGATAGTTTCATATCTTTTGCCAAGAGGATAAGGTTCTGGGACCCAAGGATGGTACTAAATAGTTAAACACTTGTTTTCTGAGGTCAGAAAGAAGTAGATTTAAATTTCAGTCCTCCCTTTCACTCACTGTCATTTAAAATGCCAGATAAATTACTTATTCTGTGACTCAATTTTCTCAGCTGTAAAATGGGATAATAAGCATACTTACCCCATCAGGCTGTTGTCAGAATTGAGTGTGATACCCAGCATCAGGCACTTAATAAGAGCTAAATAAATGGTAGTAATCATTATTAATAATAATGATATCAAATGTCATAGCCCCTTGGCCAAAAGTGATAAGGGGATTAGAAGTCCAGAATGAGAGAAGGGAAAGGGCATAGGGTTGGAAGTCAGAAGACCAAAGGTTTGTTTTTTGTTTTTTGGGTTTTTTTTTGAGACAGAGTCTCACTCTGTCACCCAGGCTGGAGTGCAGTGGTGCCATCTCAGCTTGCTGCAACCTCCGCCTCCCGGGTTCAAGCAATTCTCCCACCTCAGCCTCCCAAGTAGCTGGGACTACAGGCATGTACCACCATGCCCGGCTAATTGTTGTATTTTTTGGTAGAGACAGGGTTTCACCACATTGACCAGCCTGGTCTCGAACTCCTGGCCTCAAGTGACCCACCCACCTTGGCCTCTCAAAGTGCTGGGATTACAGGCATGAGCCACCATGCCCAGCCAGACCGAAGGTTTTCATCCCAGCTCTGTGTAGAACTACCCATACGACTTTGGGCTAGTCCCATTGGTTCCCTTTGGGCCTCAGTTTCTTCATTTACTAGATAAAATCGCTAGTGTACTTGATCCGTTTCCACTCTGATATTAAATCAATGAGATCTGTTGCTGTAAATGTGGTTTTGAAGTTCTGAGTAATGGAAATATATGGTTATTATAAAATGATTATTCTGAAGCTAAGAGAAACATTTCAATCAAATATTTAGGTTAAGTATTTTCCCCCATGTTAGAGCCATCATAAATATGAGAACATTTTGGAGCACAAAGGCTTCCTTGTAGATTGTTATTAAAGGTTTGATGTGAAATGAGGTCAGGGGAAAGCCGAGAGCGAGCACTGATGACAGGACGGCATGGAGCCCCATGCAGACTCTGCAGGGCCTCTCTCGATGGGGTTGGGACAACTCCAAGGATTTAGCACATCAGCTTCCCTGAGGAGCAACTGCCCATTGGGCTTAATTATGGCAAATGGAGGAGCTGCTTGTAAAGTGAGCAAATATCCCCCAAGGATCATATTTTAACCAACACATTGTACTTTTCAAACTGCTGAGTACAACGTGTGGGAAAATGACCTTGTAATCAAATCAGACTGCCAATGTGAGGTCGGCCTGGAATGGAAGTGATTTTGGATATAGAAATCAAATTTATGACTTGTCTTAGTCCACCAGCTTTTATTGATTTTTTGGCTAGGTTGGCAATAAGTAGAGTTAATGTCGCCCATCTAAAGGCAGTTAGCCTGCTGAGCAGTGGAATTCTCTTTTCCAGAAAATTTAACTCCATCTCAATAATGAATCAATCCAAAGGCAAGACCCTTAAGAAGCCTATAAAGCCAAGTTGTAGATATTGTATGTTAACCTTTGACAAGCAAAGCATACTGGAACTGAGGAATTTTCCAATAAAATTTAATACTTCCTTTACTAGCTAATTTATTTGATTGGCTTTTTTTTGTTTTAAAAATAAGTGAATTTTATTCAAATGGAATTACCTAGGTCTGCGAACTATTTTCTAGGTCCACACAGAAAACCAACACCACACACTCACATTTTGTTATTAAACTAAAATTATATATAGGAAAACTATAACAACCAAAACAAGGCTCCCCTTAATCCCAGAACCCAAAGAGAACCATGAGTAATGTCTTATAGTATTTTTTCTGCATGTCTATATGTAGATGCAAATAAAATTGGGATTGAATCTGTGACTTTTAAAAATAGATATAAAAAAAGTTCTGACATCATTTGAAAATCAAAAAGATTGCTGAGAAGTGAATAACAGGAAAATTAGAAACCTAAAATTTAACAATACTCGAAACTCAGGTGGGCATTTGACTGATATTCTGGAGTAGAGTACAATTTCAGAAAACAAACATAATTTGTAATTTAAAAGATATGCTCTTCTTTTCAGAGGGTTTTTTCTATCAAGTATATTTGTAGACTTTGCAATTATCATTATTTTGTTTATTTATTTATTTATTTATTTATTTATTTATTTTTGAGATGGAGTTTCGCTCTTCTTGCCCAGGCTGGAGTGCAATGGCGCGATCTTGGCTCACTGCAACCTCCGCCTTCCAGGTTCAAGCAATTCTCCTGCCTCAGCCTCTCAAGTAGCTGAGATTTCAGGCATGCACCACCATGCCTGGCTAATTTTGTATTTTTAGGAGAGGCAGGATTTCTCCATGTTGGTCAGGCTGGTCTCCAACTCCTGACCTCAAGCGATCCACCCACCTTGGCCTCCCAAAATGCTGGGATTACAGGCGTCAGCCACCACGACCGGCCTTTTATTTTATTTTATTTTATTTATTTATTTATTTATTTGCTTCTAATCTCAACAACAGCATGAGACCATATAATTATGTCCTGTACGTCTTTTTCAGTGTTCCTGTTATTGGAAAGAGACTGAAAGCACTCCCCCAAATGCAACCATGAAGATCTTCATTAAACAGTCAGGAAAGCTAAGTGATTGAATATGCTGTGCAGCCCTGAGAATGAAGGGATTATATTGTCAAGTGAGACTAAAAGCTTGTAATTAAAGCTGACTGAATTCAAAAAGACACTACAGAGACCTTCTGTGTACCAATAACTTTGAAATGAGTCTGTGATTTGCTATTTTAAGGTTCAAGGACTTTGTCTCTATCCACGTGGCCATGATATCTATGGGATCTCCTGTGGGATTAAGATAATATATTTTATTATATGGCTTATAACTATATCATGTGGCTTGGAGCTGAACACTTCATGTTGTCGTGTGAAACTTGGCCAAGTTCCCTGTACCATCTACACAAGACACAGGCACAACAATCAAAACCCAAAGGTGGCTTTGCTTCAGAAATGAAATTTGGCAGACTGGAGTTCATTGTGTTAGCATAGTTCTGATTCACAGGTAGAGAATTTTTTAATCTGAGAAAGAATTGAGATGCAATGGGTTTTGCTGAATATTCCAACAAAGAAAAATAAGGGCCAACAGGAATCGATTGCTTATTCTATGTCAGACACCTGCATGGATTAACTCATTTAATCCTGACAGTAATCCTGTGAGGCAAGTACTGTCACACTCCCCATTGTACAAACGAGAAAACTGAAGCAGAGCTAATAAATGGCAGAGTGAGGAATAGGCCCCCAGGAAGGCTAGCCCAGAGCCTATGTGTTTAATGGGACACTCGGGACACCCTCCCTTCACTCTTTTAATTAAAATAACAAAGATTCAGCTCTCCTCCTGGTTCTTGGTCTGCTTAACTCAGTCGTCTTTCAGAATTCCCTAGAAACCTTGCTTCCCTGGAGGACTTCCGTGATTTCTTAGGCTATATTTGGCTATTTTTTTAACTTGTCCTCCTAGTACCATGCTTCAACTAACAAAACCCAAATTATAATTTTTGGAAGTTACTCATTGAATTAACTGTCCTCCCCAGTAGAATTCTTCAAGAGGGCAGGGGCTGTATCTGTTTCGCTCACCATTGTAGTCTCAATACCAGGCACAGAATAGACACATGATAAATCTTTATTGCATGGATAAATAAATAAGCACATCATATCTGTGTGCTTATGGGAGATGGTAAAGAAAATGTGTCCTGTGTAATAGGAAGCATGACACAATATGGAAAAACATTGTGTTATGGAAACAATTAACTGAAAATCAGGCAGCAGGCCCAACAACAGAGATCAGATATGACATCTGCTGGTGGTTCTGTGTATGGAGGAGAGGCTGATTCTCAAATAAAAAACTCATGACATGGCCCCATCTTTTGCTGCTAGCACCTATTCATTCATCCAGACCGTCAGCCTGGATTTATTGGTTTCCCCTCAGAAGGGTATGACATAAGATAAAAACAATCATTATCAGCCTGGCATGTTCCCGCTACAACCCCTTAAAAGAGGAAGTGGAGGAAGAGTTCAGTTACACTGACATAAAAGCTAGCTTCAATCTGTCCAGGATTTTTGTTCTTCATCTCACTTTACAAAAAGAAGCAAGACAATCTCCAAAGACTGTTAATTTAGTATAAACAGTATCTCTTTTTTATTATGGACTTCTAGTGAGTATAGCTTATCTTTACTAATTTGATCTTGTTCATTCAATTTGGAACGCTGGACTTGTATTCTAATTGTAGTTCAGTTTTATTATTCACTTAACACATTTTTTTTTAAATCACAGCCTTATTATGTGCAACTGTGCTAATAGCTGGGACACAGGAGTGAACAAAAATGCAACCCCACCTCACAGTGTAGTCTAGTAGACAATACAGATGTGTGAATAGACAATTGCAAAAATGGTAGGGACCTATGGCTCCTGCATGAAATTCAGGGAGTTTAAAAAAAAATCCTTAACTGGCAAACAAAACTGGGTATGTATGTTTATGTGCATTTTTCACTATTTTAGCAGATATTTAATCATCTTCAATCAAATGGTTCAGGTGAGACAAAACTACATGTAAAAGTCACAAGCACATATAACCAAAGCGTACACAAATCATCCAGCCCAGCTATTTTGAGCTAGATGTACCATGTAATTGGGGCCAGGCAGGGGCAGCTCTGAACCAGTTACTGAAAGATCTAGTTTAGAAATTCTGTGTACATACTATTCAGAGAACAAAAAGGCAGGTGTTGTAGACTGCATTTTTGTTCTCTATCATTCTCTTCTCCCCGCCTGTGATATGATAATAACGCCACACCTCCCTGACATCAGGGTTGGCCATGTGCATAGAAGTGTTGTATGCCTCATACAGGAAGAAGCTTTCAGAGCCTTTCAGTAGTTCTTCATTATTCTTTGCCTTCTGACACAAAGCAGACCTGCCTCAGGTATGGGCTACTCCTCTAGCGTAGGTTCCAGAATGAAGAAAACAGAGCAGAGTTGGCCAGAGAATAACATGTAATATGCACAAGTAATAAATCTTCATGGTTGTAAGCCATTGAGATTTGGGGGTTGTTTATTATTACATATAACCTAGCAAAGGTAAAGTAGATCAGTAGGTTTCAGAGTCACCAAATGAGATTCAGAGAGGCTTCAGGGGAGGTGCAGTATACACATGGAATAAACACAAGTTCCTATAGCAAGCCAATAAATTAAACAAGGGAAGTTTATGGTCAAGTGAACAAAGAAGTCAGTGAGATTTGAAATATGATTTAAATAACCATGAACAAGCTGGATGTAATCTCTATTTATAGTGCATTAAACCCAAGAACAGAAAAATATGCATTGTTTTCTTTTTCTTTTTATATATATTTTTTCATAGATGGAGTCTCACTATGTTGACCAGCTGGCCTTGAACTACTGGACTCAAGCAGTCCTCTCACTTCAGCCTCCTGAGTAGCTGCAACTTCTGGTGCATGCCGCCACGCCTGGCTCATTCTTTTCAATTTCCATGGAATAATTTATGAAAAATGACTAACCATGGTACTAACCATGAAAGAGTCTCAGCAAAAAAATTGATAACCACGATCTCTGCCTATAATGCAATTAATTTAGAAATCCATTTTTAAAACAGAAATAATCATACATTTAGAAATATAAGAACACATCTAAATAGCTCATAAAACAAAGAAATCATAATAAGAACTAGCAAGTATTTAGAAGTGAACAACACTACTACTTGTCAGAATTAGTGAGATACAGCTATGGGAGTATTTGGAGGGACATTTATGGTATCTTAAATGCATATACTATAAAAGAATAAAGGCTAAAAATTAATTAGCTAGGAATCCAGCTTTAGAAGTTAGAAAAAGAACAAAATAAACCCAAAGAGAGAAAAAATATAAGAGCAGAAAATCATAGAGAACAAATACACCACGGAGAGACCCGACAAAACTAAAACATTCTGGGTTTCTTTCCTGTGAATTCTAGGGTGACCTAGTTGGGTTTTTTTGAAGGACCGATAAAATTGGCAAATCTCTGGGAAGACCCATTTTTTTAAAAAAAAGGACAAATAAATACTATTAGGATCAGATTTCCTAGGCAGATTTCCTAAAACCTCTTGTACATAAGTATCAGAAGACAAAATGTTTACAGCAGCAATATTTGTAATAATTTTCTTAAAAAATGAAATTTATCCAAATCCATTGATAAAAGAATGAATACATAGATCATGGCTTGTTCTTTTTAAAAATTCTATTTATTTATTTATTTTGATATTGACAAATTATAATTGTATATATTTATGGGTTGCAAAGTGATGCTATGGTATATGTATATAATATGGGGTGAGTGAACCAAGCTAATTAGCATATCTACCATCTCAAATACTTATCTTGTTTTTTTTTTTTTTTTTTTTTTGAGACAGACTCTATCTCATCTCACTGATACCTCCACCTCCCAGGTTGAAGTGCTCCTGCCTCAGCCTCCAGAGTAGCTAGGGTTACAGGCGCGCACCACCACACCCTGCTAATTTTTGAATCTTTAGTAGAGATGGGGTTTCGCCATGTTGGCCAGGCTGGTCTTGAACCCCTGACTCAGGTGATCTGCCTGCCTCGGTCTCCCAAAGTGCTGGGATTATAGGCATGAGCCACCATGCCCGGCCTCAAATACTTATCATTTATTCCTTCTGTCTAACTGAAACATTGTACCCTTTGACCAACATCTCTCTATTACCCCTCTCCCCAGCCTCTGGTAACCACCATTCTGCTCTCTACTTCTTTGCATTCAATTTCTTGTAGCTTCCACAAAAAAATGAGAACATGCAGTGTATTAGTCAGGGTTCTCTAGAGGGACAGAACTAATAGCATATATATATATATAAAGTTTATTAAGTATTAACTCATATGACCACAGGGTCCCAAAATAGGCCATCTGCAAGTTGAGGAGCAAGGAGAGCCTGTCCAAGTTCCAAAACTGAAGAACTTGGAGTCTGATGTTCAAGGGCAGGAAGCATCCAGCATGGGAGAAGGATGTAGGCTGGGAGGCTAGGTCAGCCTAGTCTTTTCACATTTTTCTGCCTGCTTTATATCTAGCTGCACTGGCAGCTGATTAGATTGTGCCCACCCAGATTAAGGTAGGTCTGCCTTTCCCAGCCCACTGACTCAAATGTTAATCTCCTTTGGCAACACCCTCACAGTAATACTTTGCATCCTTCAAGCCAATCAAGTTGACACTCAGTATTAATCATAGCATGCAGCATTCATCTTTCTGTGTGTGGCTTGTTTCTTAAAAGGAATACTATGCAACAGTGAAAATTAATGAACTTGGCTGAATTTCAAAAGCGTAATGTGAGCAACAAAACCAAGCTACAGAAGACTAGATTCAGTATAATTCAATTTACATAAAGTTCAAAAATACAGAAAACTAAGCAGCATATTATTAGAGATTGCTTTTCTTCAAAATCTTAAAGAAAAATATAGGAATGAAATATATATTTCAGGATAGTGGTTACCTCTGGGAAGGAGGGAGAGGGAAGGAACCAAGGAGGTACACAGAGTTGGCTTCGAAGTTATGGTAATAATAGCCTATGCTTAAACTAGATATTGAATATATAGGTATCATGGTATTGTTATTTAAGTTTTACAGGTGTTTTATAGTTATCACATTGTAGATATTCAATATCCAATTAAAAAAATTAGATCTTTAAAGAATGCATGAAATATAGTGAATTGTGAATGTGCAATAACAGAAATAATAAAATTTTAAAACAGAGATTTCATTCCCTCTTCCTTGTTTCCCAAAACACTAGACAAAAGAGCAATTTGGATTTACTTTTTCAAACTTCAGGTTTTCACCAGTAATTCTTCCTCCTCATCTTCAGCAGGGACCTGAAGAAAATGAGAAAACCAGTTATGTGGCAATCTGGGAGAAGCTTCTGGAACCAAGAGTAGAATACAGAGGGAACAATAAATTGATCTTTGTCCCGCAATATCAAAAGTTAATCAGACCTATCAAGAAGGCTGTAGTAAATCACCTCCAGCAGCTTGCAGCCGGTCTGTGAATGATATTCACCCCACCCCCACCACTGCCTCTCAACCCCAACTCTCCCCTTACTGTGATATTATGATGAAGATCCTGGGTTGCATTACAAAGCCCTCATCCATTAACTCGGCACCAGAAGGCTCCATGTCTAATCACTACTTCCTAATTTCCATCATCTTCACCTTGACTCTGAAGGGCTGTGTTTGTTGAGAGATTAGGGGGTGGGGGTGGATTGTGATAACCACATTCCTGTTACTTTTTCAAATTTGCTCCCCTCTCTTTATCTTCACACCTACCTACTTTATTATTTCTTGCCTACTAGGGTGGTCTCCCTGCCTGTACCAGCCCACTCTACTCAATCTTCCAGGCTTCTGCCAGAGAGGTCTCTTCTTTTAAGATATAAATCAGATTAGTCCCTTGTTTTAAAGCCTCACTGACTCCTTTTGGACTCCAGAACTGTCCACAGTCCTTACTGTGGTATACAGGATGCTTTCTGAACTAGCTTTACCCAACCTCCTTCCTCTTCTTCTCGTGCTCCTTATGTTCCAGTCTCAGTCAACTAATACTTCTCATTTCCCATATTGTTAAAGAAAAATTATTGAATTGCACTTATTACAGCACAGTAAGGTGGATTTATTCAATACTGTTGCAATAGGTATGGGGGCCACTGCAATGGAATTTTGCAATGAGGGAGAGAGATTGGGCTCAGCTTCGAATACAGCATGAGCAGGTTGGAATTTATAGCAGGGCAGTGGTCAGTGGATGGGAAATTATTAAAAGCAAACATCAGGGAAAAGGGGAATTCTGGCTAACCTGATCTAACAGGATTTTTCCTGAAGACAGGTCAGGGTCATCAGACATCACCTGGGGGAGGGTAGAGGATGAGGAATCTGATCAGATATCGAGAATGGGGGAGTCCTTGCTACACTGGCTTAGCAGAGTTCTTGTTAAAACTGGATTTTACAAGGTGCCCAGGAGAAGCTTCATATGCCTGGCCAAAGTTTAGTGAAGCAAAGAATCTTTGTCACTCTATACTATGCCCCTGTGCCTTTGCACATGCTATTCCCTCTGAGTCGAATCTTCTTCCTGCACTGTTACTGAAGCACCTGATCCCCTGCAGATTATTCAAGTGCTAGCACAAAGTCAGCAAGCGCCTTCCAAGATGTCTCTGGTCGGAATCACTGCCCGATCAGAGTACTTCCCGTATTTCACAGGTCCCAGAAAAGTTAGGAAGCATGGGACAAGCTTATTATTTATTTGTTTATTTTTAAATTTTATTTATTTATTTATATGAGATGGAGTCTCGCTCTGTCACCAGGCTGGAGTGCAGTGGCATGATCTCGGCTCACTGCAACCTCCGCCTCCCGGGTTCAAGCAATTTTCCTGCCTCAGCCTCCCGAGTAGCTGGGACTACAGGCACATGCCACCACGTCCAGCTAATTTTTGTATTTTTAGTAGAGATGGGGTTTCACCATGTTGACCAGGGAGGTCTCGATCTCTTGACCTCATGATCCGCCCGCCTCAGCCTCCCAAAGTGCTGGGATTACAGGCGTGAGCCATTGCGCCTGGCTGGGACAAACTTATTTTTAAATAGAGCGCTGGTTATATTTTCAAATGATCTACTTAGTAAGTTTTTATTTAATCTCCAGACAACTTTTCAGGTGATTCCTCAGCACTGCTAAATTTAAAGCAAGGGCTTTGGTGTTTAATCTAAAAAAAGAATACAATAAATACACTACCAACTATCCCAAAGCCTGAAAACATAGGGAAAATATGTATTGTTTTCTGTCTGCATGTTTTTCTCCCTTCACCAGGCCATGTGCTCCTGAAGGAAATACATTTTATGATTTCTTCTACTGCTAGCTCCTAACACAAGTCTCAACACACAACTAGCAGAAAATATATGCTTGAGAAATAATTTTTTAAATGAGGTCAGAAAATAAAACAGTTGAACAAATAAAATATTCTCTTTATAAATATTTAAGACATTCTTCTGCTATGGATTGGAAATAAGAGTGTGTAATATTATATCTAACAGCTAATATGATTTTACTTCATAAAAATGTCCTAAATTATTGATGCTGTGTTTTGGAACTTACAGTGTAATCAGTGTTTGACAGTGAGTTTCTTTTAATTTGTACATCATGACCATATGTATTATGTAATACTCAGGTGAGAGGGCTTTCTGAATTTTGGTAAATATTCATCTGTTTCTCCACTTGAAATTTCTCCTACAGGCCAGGTGCAGGTGGCTCACGCCTGTAATCCCAGCACTTTGGGAGGCCAAGGCAGCTGGATCACCTGAGGTCAGGAGTTCGAGACCAGCCTGACCAATATGGTAAAACTCCGTCTCTACTGAAAATACAAAAATCAGCCCGGTGTGGTGGCATGCATCTGTAATCCCAGCTACTCAGGAGGCTGAGAAAGGAGAATCGCTTGAACCCGGGAGGAGGAGGTTGCAGTGAGCCAAGATTGTACCGCTGCACTCCAGCCTGGGCAACACAGTGAGAATCTGTCTAAAAAAAATAAATAAATAAAAAGAAAAAAAAGAAATGTATCCTAAAAACTACCAATGTGGATCAAGCCATACCTCATATTCAAATATTTTTCTTCTGCTCATAAATTCATTTATATTTTTAAATGAATTAAGGAATGCATAATAGGCATTCAACAAAATATGTTCAGTTGATCTGAACATAGGTAAGCAATTCAAGATATACCGAGTGAATAAAATCAAACTTTGTCCAAGAGAAGTTAAACTTAACTAGTATCAAGTATGTCTACTAGTTCTCTGTATTTGGGATTCATGGCCATCACCTCAGTCTTACTAAGCTTAAATCCTCCTGTCTGGTTCTCACAAAATTCTAGGTCGATGTTAGTATTAATCCACTTCTAAGAGTGAGGAACCACGCAGTTTTGCAAACCATACTTCCTGGGTGCTAAACCTGGCTTCTCCCGCTTACTGTGAGATCTTGAGAAAGTTGCTTAGACTCTTTGTACCTTGGTTTCCTCACCTCTAAATGGAGGAAACGATACAAACCTGAAAGAGTTAATTCAGGATAAAAGATGATATACATATTGCAGGCCCTTTTGGGTTGATATTCCAACACTCTCCCCAAAAGACTCTGCCTCAGAATCACATTGCTGGGCCTGTGAAACATACAAGTCCCTCAGCTTTGCTCCAGACTGTCAAACCTAGAATCTCAGAGAAGAGGGGAGATGACTGAGAACCCGTATATTTTGGTCCTGATCAAAAGGATAATTCTAATATGCCTATGTGGTAGGTAGAATTCTAAGAATGATCCCCAATGACCCTCACTCTTATACAATGCCCTCCCCTTTGAGTTCAGGTGGAATCTGTGATTATGGTGAGATATCCCTCCTCAAAAAGGAGATGGTCTGAGTGTGCCTCATCTCATCACACAAGCCCTTTAAAAGCCAAAAGTTTTCTCCAGCCATTAGCAGAAGAAAAAAGAAACCCTAAGGAGAGATCCCAGTAGAGCCAGCCTGCACTTCTGACCTACAGAACTTCTGACCTATAAAACTGCGAGATAATAAAATGGGTGTCATTGTAAGCCAGGAAGCTTGTAGTGATTTGTTATGCAAAAAAAAGAAAAGAAAAGAAAAAAAAACTAGTACAACAACCAAACCTGGGAAAGATGAGAGACGGCGTATTCTTCCTATCCCCCTAACCTGTACACAGGCTAGTTTTGATTTATCTCTGTTCACATATGGAGGTGGGCTTTTTTGGTGTTTTTTGACTGTTTTTTTAACTGGAAAAGGAGAGATGTTTTCATGAGGGGAAGGGCTGAGTAGGAAAAGGGGAAAAAACCCAGAAAGGTGATGAAATAGTGTCTTATTTTCAGCCCTCAAGGAGAGGGAAGTGTGGAGGCAGATGGGGCTACTCAAGAGGATTTGAGGGGCTCTGAGCATAAGAAAAGCTGCTTTAGAAGCAATCTTGAAGGAAACCATGTTCGCCTGGCTACTCCACCACGCTGCCCAAACCCTTGGCAAACAAACCCTTGGCAAACACTGTTCAGGCACCTCAGGGGTTGAAATCTGAAAGTACCCAAAGGCAAATCTTCAGTACAGTTCTTGGCAGGGTCCTGGGCACTCCCATGCAAGGTGGCAGCAATGCGGGGTGGGGAGCCTTCTCCAAGCAGCTGCATAGACAATGTCGGTAGACATATGATACCAAGCAACAGAAGAAAGGTTTGAATCACACTTTGGGTGTCTTCTGGAAATAACTGTGATCACTGATGGTGCTGGGAGGCAGGTTGAGGTGGAACTACTAATTAGCAGAGCCTATCAACCTAGCAGACATCTGGGCTGTACATACAAAGAACTTAGCATTAATATGACATTTAGCAGACTTTCCTAAAGGGTAGATCTAATCTAAGTGTCCCTGAACTCACAAGAAAGTTCTCTATCCTTGATCACCAAATCCTATTTCTGGCCTAACTCTATATTCCTTGCTAATTTGAGCAATAAATCATGTCTGCTTATTATAGCTGGCCTTTTTTTATTTTATTTTTTATTTTTCTTGGTGTTGTGGTTATAGTTGCCCTTTTCTTCCTGCCTAAATGCCTGGACTTCCTTTCAATCACTGTTTCCTGGGAATGAGGGTTGTACTAAAGTTTGGCTTCAGCCACAATATTTGGCCAAAATGTGTTTAGGTATTGGCTTTGACCGTTGGAAGGCTGAGTAACAGAATGCCAACTTTAATGTCATTTCTGGGCTCCCTGAATGTGCATTTGATCAATGAGCAAGTGAATGCATAGTTACCATCAAATTTAATCAGCACAATAATACAATAAGACATGCTATTCAGAGTCATTATTAATATCTGAACGTGTACTTTCAAACATAGGTAAGTATTTTAGATGTAACTGAGAGTAAAAAGAAATTATTTGTGTGCTTTGGACTTTGAACTCCTATCACTCAGTTGAAGTATAAATGTATATTTTTAATTTGCCAGAGTAAAATGCTGGAATAGTTCATGATGATTATGAAAGTTCTCCATGTTATGAAAAAAAATTTCAAGAAATTTCTAACATGTAAATAGAGATAGCATTAACTAGAAAACTTTAGGCAGAATATAATATCCTTTTTGAATCAAAAAGCTTTATAAAAATTTAAATGGCATTAGGCAGAATATAGAGATTAGATTATTTCATAATTCTAATTTTTATATAATTATTTGTTTTAGCCCTCTTAACATTAAATAAAATAATCTCCAAAGCTATATTTAGCTTTTAGTAATTTAATTCTGTTTAGGCCATGAATCTTCAGTTGTGTTTTCAGAAAGTAATTAGCATGCAGCCTAATGAAGCAGAATGACTGACTGTAAACAGGAAGATAAGAGGCCACTTTCATCATTTTTCTTCAGCGAAAGACAAACCTCAAGGCAGACAAGGAATTTTGGAATTGACTTGTCATGTACTTATACAAGATGTTCAAACAAGATGAAATAGCAGCTATTACATTTTTAAAAGGCTGCTCGAACAAAACAGAGCCTTTAATTCAGCACTTTGCAGATTAAAATGCCCATATAGCAGGGCTTGCTAACCACCAGAGACTTCCTGCAGAGAAAGTGGTCCCTACACCAAAATCTACTGAATAGCCAGAGCAATGGTCCTTAAGAGAGCAAGCATTTCTTATCGATAAAGATGCACCTATCATGCTTTGTCAGGGAAGATGCGAAAATTTGCATACTACAAAGGCCACGTTGAAGAAGGAAATACAGAGAACTGTATTACCTTGGAAGCCAATTAAAGTGGGTCCATTACCACATTTCTGGACCCAAGATTTAAGAACACACTTTTCTAAAGTGGAGGTGTGAGGCAGCAAGTACATGCAAACATCAGGAATTTTAAGAAATGGAATTGATGACAATGCTTCAGAAAGTAGAGTATATCTTCTTCAGATAGTACGCAGAGCTCTTATTTGTGGAATCTCCTCCAAAAATTGTATCCTCACCATTAGACATATCTTTAAGTCCAGGAGTCAAAAGTCTTCTGTGAGTTACTACCAGGAAGAAAGAAAAGCTAAATAACTCAGTGGTAATGCTGTCATCGGCTGTACCATAAGATGGTAAGGCTAGTTGGTAAGGCTAGCTGGGTCAGCTGGGATAACTGACTCCTTTCTCCATGTGGTTTCTCATCATGCAGCAGGCTAGGCTGGGCTTGGTCACAAGGCAGTAGTCACAGGGATTCAAAAGCAATGAGAGAGCAAGCCGACAATTCCCCTAAAATTGCTCCTATCAAGATTTCCTTGGACCTTAGATTGCTTTTGATACCTGTGACCACTCTGTAGATCTCAAAACCATCATCTCCCTGTGGCTCCTAGCTCTCTTTTAAATCTTTCTTCATTGTCTCTCTGTGCAGACACTTCTTGCTTTTCTGGCCCCAGGGTTCTGCCTCCAAGCCCTTTTCTCTTTTGCCAACACTCTTCCTGAGGGATGTCAGTCATTCCAACGACTATATGCTAAGGATGCCAAATCTGTATTTCCAGCTCAAATATCTCTCTTGAGATCCTGCATTATATATTTAAAGGCTTTCTGGGCATCCCCACTCGGAAGACCCACAGATAACTCTAACATAAGTACAAAACTGAGCCTAGATTAGCTGGGTGTGGGGGCGCACACCTGTAGTCCCAGCTGCTCGGGAAGCTGAGGTGGGAGGATGGCTTGAGCCCAGGAGGTCAGACTGCAGTGAGCCTGAGCCGTAATCGTGCCACTGCACTCCAGCCTGGATGACAGAGTGAAACCCTGCACGCCCCCAAAAAAACCCTGAGCCCAGAATCTGAACCCGAGTGGAAGGGCATTCCCGTTACATACCAAGGGGGGCATGAATACAGGGAGGAGTATAATTAAAGTCATTCTTAAAAATAACCTACCACATTTGCATAAACCAGAAATTCATTCTGTGGTGACAATAATTAGTTTTTGGCATGATTATAACACTCAGCCCTTGGGTATTTGGCCAAAAGTTATATTTGGTGCACCTCTACCAACGGGCACAGTAAGTATCTTATAAGCTGTATCTTTTAGCTAAGCCAGAAGGCTATGGCTCAGACAAGTTTCTTAGGCCACAAAACTCAGGTGTTAGAAACAAGCAAACAAACAAAAAACCAGGAAGATATCAAGCATATTTCTCAATGATCAAACTTTGTTTCTACCTGAGCTCCCAGTCTGTATGAGGGCAGAAAACTTATGATGTTTTTAGGTTTTCTCAGCCGGTTCAGGATGTTCTCAGCCACCTTGGGTTTAAACTCAGTTGATTTCGAATTTTCCCCTCTGCCTTCTTCATTCTGTCTTCCTGAAGACTGATCTAAGTTCAGCTTGGATCAAGACAAGCTGAAGACAAGCTAAGACAGCTTGGAAGCAAGATTGGAAACTGATATGCAGCTGTCTTCCATTCTACACCATCATTGGTTAAAAGGGTAAAATCTCAGCTGAACTTGGGGTATGGGCATTCTTCCATGCTGGCTTCTATTGAGGCACCCATGTCCCAGGGGACATGATCAACTTTCTGCTTTCTACTTCTGCTTTCCGCAGCAACCCCTCACTGAAACTGACAATTCTTTGTAGGGTCGCTCTCTCTCAGCTCATTTCTAGGCATTTTGTGGGGCCTCTGGAAATTGTGCTTGTTTTACTCCTTGCAAACTGACCTAAGCTAACTTATCTGTCTTATAATTGTCAGGTTCTTTTGGTAAGGATCAGGTGTGTCCCATGCTTAGAGGGACTGATGTGTCTTCTCTGTGCAGTATCACTACCAGATGGTATCATATAAAGCAAGCAGCATGTACAAATATTTATTGGCAAGCCGGCACACACAAAAAAATCATACAACCTGTTCCTATAATTTCAGTGACATCCCTACTCTCTGCCCTTTTAGAGCCTGACAAGCATCTGGTGTGAAAGGTTCATGCAAACATAAAATGCAACAATATTCTGACACACTGGAAGCTTCTAAGGCAAAGCTTTCCAATAAAAATGTCATGTGTCAGATACACAGTTTAAATTTTCTAGTAGCCATGTTTTTTAAAAAGGTAAAAAAAAGAACAGGTGAAGTTTGTCTTTTCATTTGTGTTTAACTTTTTGTATGTAAGAAAAATAAATGCTGGAAACCTCACAGAACAAATGTATAGCTTCATAAGGTGAACACCTATGTACCTACTACCCAGGGCATGAAATAAGACTTCACTGACCACCTCCCAAGCCTCTTCCCTTGTCCCGGCCCAATCTCAACCTACTCCTGCCCTCTGCATGTTACCAGGATGTTGACTTTTTTTTTTTTTTCAATTAATAGACTTAACTCTTTAGAATAGTTTTAGATTTCCATGGGGGAAATGAGCAGATAGTATAAAGAGTTCTCATATACCTCCACAGACCCACCCAGTTTCCCTTATTATTAACATCTTAGGCCAGGCACAGTGGCTCATGCCTATAATCCCAGCACTTTGGGAGGCCAAGATGGGTGGATCATCTGAGCCCAGGAGTTGGAGACCACCCTGGGAAACATAGGGAGACCCTGTCTCTACAATAATAATAATAACAAAAATTAGCTGGGTGTGGTGGCATGTGCCTATAGTCCCAGCTACACAGGAGGCTGAGGTGGGAGGATCACCTCACCTGATCCCAAGGAGTTTGGGGCTGCAGTAAGCTGTGACTGAATCACTGCCCTCTAGCCTGGGTGATGGAGTGAAACCCTGTCTCAATAACAACAGTGACAACAACAACAACAAAAATAATCTTGAAACATAAGTATGGTACATTTGGTATAATTAATGAGCCGATGCTGATACATTATTAGCAACTAAAATCCACAGCTTTTTCACATTTCCTTAGTTTTTACCTAATGTGCCTTTCTGTTCCAGGAATCCATCTAGGTTGCAACATTACATTTAGTTGCCATATCTCCTTGGGCTCCTCTTGACTGTGACTGTTTTGTAGATATTCCTTGTGTTTGATGACTTTGACAGTCTTGAGGATTATTTGTCAGGTATCGTGTTAGTCTATTCTTATGCTGCTAATAGAGCATACCCGAGACTGGGTAATTTATGAAGAAAAAGAGGTGCAATGAACTCACAGTTCCACATGGCTGGGGAGGCCTCACAATCATGGTGGAAGGTGAAAGAGGAGTAAAGGATGTCTCACCTGGTGGCAGGCAAGAGAGCATGTGCAGAGGAACTGCCCTTTGTAAATCCATCAGATCTCATGAGACTCATTCAGTATCATGAGAACAGCATGGGAAAAACCAGTCCCATGATTCAATTACCTCCCACTGGGTCCCTCCCATGACACATGGTGATTATGGGAGCTACAATTCAAGATGAGATTTGGATGGGGACACAGCCAAACCATATAGGGTATATTGTAGGACATCCTTCTACTGGAATTTTTCTGATATTTTCCTCGTGATTAGATTGGGGTTATGGGTATTTGGGAGAAAGATGGCAGAGGTAAACGCCATTATCATCACATAATATCCAGGTTATATACTATCAACATAATTTACGACTGTTGCTGTTGACCTTGATCACCTGGCCAAGAGTAAAATTAATTTTAGTAATACATTTTGTTTGCTGCAATAATAGCTAAAATGTTATCATCTCAACATGAAATCACTATAAAATTATTAACGAGATATTTTACTTTCTTTTTTTAATACTAAGACTTCAAAATCAGGTGTGTTCTATACTTGTAACACATCACAATTTGGATTAGACACATGGCCAGGGTCCAATAGCTACAAGTGGTAGTGGCTACCATGCTAAACAGGGCAGTTCCAAGAGGCTCCTACCTCCCAGGGTTCCAGCAGAAAATGGAGCGCAAGCTCTTTCCCTTTGAGTTCCCCAAACATATGTAAGGATTAAACTCAGTTAATTTTGAATTTTCCCCTCTGCCTTCTTCATTCCCTCTTCCCAAGGGCTGATCCAAGTTCTCCCCCACCTGGTTTTAGCTAATCTCAGAGATCCTACCAGAATGTAACACTCTGGTTTCTTGTCCAGCTTCTTCTTCTGTTGGTGGTCCCCCTTCTATCCCTCTGCTCATGGAATAATTTTGCATAACTGGAAGACACGTATCACAGTAGCTCAACAGTAATTATCCAAGTCTTTTACCCTCACACCTGGAAACGTGTTCAGGCTTTTTGTTTGCTTGTTTCTTGTCTGTTTTGCTTCTGCCTAAGAACCAAGAATTTCAAGACTGTGCTTCATTGATCTTGATGTGCCTACTTCCTTCTGAGGCAATTGAAGTGGTGCAGTCTATTCGAGGGGCTATACCTCATGGTAAGCATGAAAATATTCAAAGGATTTTTTGAAGGAGGTGAGAAAAAATGTTAGTTAATACTTCCCAATATCACCTTGCCACACTCATTAATGCCCCTTAAAATTAGTTATGGTCCTTTAAAGCTGCAATGAAAGCAGCAAGATAAACATATCTTCACTATCATACTCTGTAAAGTGGGCTCTATACAAAACTATGCATTGTTATCTTTCAGGGAAAGGGAAAGTCATTTGTAGCTAATTCCCAATACTTACCCTGGATATTCTTGCATTTTTCTCTCATTTGTGAAAGTCAACATTTAGCATCAAACTTTCAAATGTTGACCCTTAAAAGTTCAAAAATGCTGTAGAATTTTGTTCCAATCTGAACAGTTTTGTCAATGGTTAGTTTCCAGGCTAGTTCCCCAAAACTACTTAATTCATATTGTAGCTGAATTAAATTACATTTGAACTGAATAACAATACTGTTACATTATTTAAGGGAGCCCTCACCATTCAGTTACAACAAATGTGTGTCCATATACATAAATGGCCCCTTAGGCAAAACTAAATTGGCTTCATGGTCTTAAGTATTCTCTTTCCTTCTCCACTCTCCTAATTTTTTTCTCCTGCACTATTGAATTTCATCAAGGCCAGGAACCTTCTTTTCCCCCTTCTTACCAATCTTGCTAGTAGTAAAAGCTCGTAGAAAATATTAAAAGACTGTTCTTTTAGCGTGGTATCCATGGAGGAGGGTGGAAGAGGTGAAAGTTTGGTGTGATGTACGAAAAATATTATTTTTAAGCTAATATTTAACTTATTAAAATAATAAAATTTAAAGCCTAGTTTCCCTTAAGCCTCTTAAGTTCAGTAAGTCTTATTATTCTATTAGTAAGTCTAGCACATTGTAATAAGGGGGCTTTGATTAATAGTCTCAAGTTGAACAAACTAAACTCCCTTCAACTAGCTCTGTTTACAAGCTTAGTTTAATTAAATTTCCCTTAAAACATTGTAAACTGCATTCATAAATTCAACATTTTCAATTTTCTTTTTTTAAGCACATTAATCACCTACCCTGACAAGCAAAACATTCCCAAGCACTTACAGACTAAATTAAATTTATAAATACAGTATAATGAATCTCAAACATTTCAATACCATACTGTTTGCAAACCATAAAATCCTCTTACACCTTTCAGCAATAAACTGCAAATCTAAAGTCAATTACTTCACTACATATTTCAAGTTGGAATTAGAAGCTTAGTCTCTCAGATATTCTCACACACCCAATTATTTTAAACATTATAAATACTGTAAATGTGAAATATACACAGATTGTTTCTAAATTTAATACATAAGTATTAATATTGTGAATTTGGTCTCTTGATTTTTCAATATTTAATTCTACATCTTCCCAAAACTAAAATTCATGTATACACTATAACTAAGGGAATAATTATATCATCTCAAAATGAGTTGCACCTCCTATCCCAAGCAAGTTGAATTTATTTCTTGTCAGAGATATTTGGCCCAAGGCAGCATGTGAATTCCAGGGTGATTTTTTCAGCATCAAAAATGGATGCATTTGGCCTTTTGAAAAATTAGTCACTTACTTTAACTGGAGACTTCAAGTACAAACCTTTCCAGTAAAAATGGTGGGTTTTGTGAACCCACCTTCTGGGCTTAAGCTACATCATTATCTAATTCTTTGTTTCTATTTGAGTCTGCAACCCACCCCGTCCCCCATACTGCTTCACCACTTTAATTGGATTCAGTTAATCTTTTTACTGCTTGGATGAATGGAGCATATCCTCATATTTTTGTCTTTGTTTGCTATCTGTACAATCTTAAAGTCTTACTGATGACATGGGTTTGCTTCAAGGAAGGGCTGAAGTCCAAGGAACTCTGTGAGACTTCATTCTGTTTAAAGCAGGAATTGGAAAGTATTCCCCAGGTACAAGGGGAAGATGGTGTTCATCTGTGTGTAATGAGAGAGGAAAGGAGCTGGCAGTGTATTGAGTTTATGCTTAGGAGCAGAGACATGATTGTGTTACTGGAAAGGTATCCCAATCCAGATCCCAAGAGAGGGTTCTTGGCTCTTGCACGAGAAAGAATTCAGTGCAAGTCCACAGAGTAAAGTGAAAGCAACTTTATTAAGAAAGTAAAGAAACAAAAGAGTAGCTACTCCATAGACAGAGCAGCGGCATTGGCTGCCCAGCTGCTTATACTTACTGTTAATTCTTGATTATACACGAAACAAGGGTGGATTATTCATGAGTTTTCTGGGAAATGGGTGGACAATTCCCAGAACTGAGGGTTCCTCCCCCTTTTAGACCATGTACGGTAACTTCATGACGTTGCCATGGCATTTGTAAACTGTCATGGCGATGGTGGGAGTCTTTTAGCATGCTGATGCATTATAATTAGCGTATAATGAGCAGTGAGGACGACCAGAGGTCACTTTCATCAACATCTTGGTTTTGGTGGGATTTGGCCGTCTTCTTTACTGAAACCTGTTTTATCAGCAAGGTCTTTATGACCTGTATCTTGTGTCGACCTCCTGTCTCATCTTGTGACTAAGAATGTCTTAACCTCCTGGGAATGCAGCCCAGTAGGTCTCAGCCTTATTTTACCCAGCCCCTATTTAAGACGGAGTCATTCTGGTTCAAACACCTCTGACAATAGTAATCATAACCCAAACGTGGATTCCCTGCTCCATAAGCCCTTGCCTCCCCCTGTATCCTCAATTTGCTGTCACCTCTGCCCCTAGTGTAGTGGTGGTGGTGGTGGTAAGGGATTTTGGTAGGATCTCATCTCACTGCTACATTAAAAACAAAAAAATATATATATTTCTACTTGGGAGGCTGAGGCAGTAGAGTGGCATGAACCTGGGAGGTGGAGCTTGCAGTGAGCCAAGATCGCGCCACTGCACTCCAGCCTGGGCGACAGAGCAAGACTCCATCTCAAAAAAAAAAAAAAAAAAAGTATTTCTGACACCCTGATGTCCCCAGGAGAATCCCTGAATGTAGATTTCATTTCCTAGTACTTCTCTGCAGGCAGGCCTGAGAGCCATTGGTAACCAATGATAGTGTTTTTCTACTGGAAAATTTATTTCTGAATCACAGCCTGTGTGGGCCTGCTTTATCTGACTGCTGTGCCACGAGCCTTCCCTTCTACCATCTCCCACTTTGCTCCCTACTCCTCAATGGCCTTTCACTTCCTGCTCTCTCTGCTTGCTGGATTTTACCCTTGTTTCTTGTGCCAGTCCCCCCTCCCCTTACCTTTAACCTTCAAGTCTTAGTTTCAGTTCCGCTTAGGCTTGGACTAACTCCTTTTTTTATAACCTCCTGTATTCCTATGATCTTTCTTCTGGGTAGGACCTACATCCAGGTTACAATTCGCTTTCAGTGTTGTCTTCCCCACTGGGCTCCATCCACTAGGGCGTGGGCTATGTTTGTGTTTACTGTTAGAGTCCGAACTCCTAGCACGTGTCTGTCACGTAACTGATCTACAAAAACTGTAACGTAGAATTGAATTGAAATCAGAACTCTAATCTTCAAAATTAAAAAAAGAAATAGTGTATCTTGAAAGTCAGTGTTTGAGAAAACCAAGTTTAATGAAGAGTTAAATGAAGATTTCTGAAGCTTTCAAAATTGACACATATGAACAGTAAACTCTTTATTGAAATCTAACATATGGAAAAGTGTCCAAATCCTAAATGCACAGTTTGATGAATGTTCACAATGTGAGCACTCCCATGTAACCACCCCCAGGTCAGAAGACTCCAGCACCCGAGAAGTCCCCTTTGTGTCCCCTGACAGTGAATACTATGTTTTTTCAACTTTAATTTAAAAAAAATAATTTCTAGGCTGAGTGTGGTGGCTCATACCTATAATTCCAGCACTTTGGGAGGCTGAGGTGGGAGGATCACTTGAGCCCAGTAGCTCGAGACCAGCCTGGGCAACATAGTGAGATCCCATGTCTAAAAAATAAATTAGCCAGGTGTGGTGGCACACAGCTGTGATCCCAGCTACTTGGGAGGCTGATGTGGGAGGATCACTTGAGCCCAGGAGGTTGAGGCTGCAGTGAGCTATGATTGTGCTACTGCATTTCAGCTTGGGCAACAGAGCAAGACCCCACCCCCACCAAAATAATAATAAATAATACTAATTTATAATGGTACTTCATTGTTTGTAGATGTGAGTAGCACTGAATATAAACGTGGGATCTTAGATAGGTTAATCTCTCTGTGCCTTAGCTGCCTCATCTGGAAAATGGAGATGCTAATAGTAGCTTTCTAATAGGATTGATCCTAGAATACACAATAAATGTTAGTGATTGAATCAATCACGGTCAAGCTAGGAAATAGGAACCTTGTTAAGTCTTTCAAACAAAGGAAAAATAACAAAGAAAACTAGTGTTGGAAGAACAAAGAAGCCCAGCAGTTTAGTGAGACAACCCAGAGATCATCAACAGCAGAAAGTGGCTCCCATCCTTAGGCCTGGAGGAACAAAAGAACGAAATGGTCTTGTCACAGCCAATTGTCTTGACTAGGCAGGAACTGGTACCCCTGAGAGAGGGGCTGTCCAGCAGGTAATAGAACTGTGAACCTAAAAAACCTGAGACAGGTCTCAGATAATTTAGAAAGTTTATTTTGCCAAGGTTGAGGACACACGCCTGTGACACAGCCTCTGGAGGTCCTGACATGTGCCCAAGGTGGTAGGGGCACAGCTTGGTTTTATACATTTTAGGGAGACATGAGACATCAAGCAATATGTGTAAGATATACATTGGTTCAGTCTGGAAAAGTGGGGCAACTCGAAGAGGGGAGGGGGCTTCCAGGTCATAGGCAGATAAGAGACAAATGGTTGCATTCTTTTGAGTTTCTGATCAACCTCTCCAAATGAGGCAATCAGATATGCATTTATCTCAGTGAGCAGACGAATGACTTTGAATAGAATGGGAGGCAGGTTTGCCCTAAACAGTTCCCAGCTTGACCTTTCCCTTTTAGTTTAGTGATTTGGAGACCCCAAAATTTATCTTTCTTCCTCAGAACCATAGAGGAATCACAGCCGCTGCCAGAAATGATGTCACTGAAATAGCTGTGGCACTGAGGGCAGTGGGTGGAGGTAAACCCTGATTTCTCTCCTCCTGCCTTCCAGTCTAATGCCAGTGCCTCCCGGGGGCCAAACCTATGTGGAAGCCAGAGGGTGAGGAACCTGCGGAAGGTTGTTCAATGTGATTTAGAGCAGGGGAAATACTCTTGTTGTTATTATTATCTAATTTCAAAGTATATACCTTTCCTTATTCTTGATAAAAAGTGTTTCATTAGCATTAATCTTATATTTATTGATAAATACTAGGATTTCTTTTGGGCTCATGTGGGAAACCAAAATATGCCACCCTAAAATATGCATCTTTGGCATATTCAAGATGGCTGTTCAGCAGGGCTGCAGAGGCAAGAATGGCTCTGGAAAGCTGTCCTTTGTAGGGGAGATTTGCATCTGTGGAGGATATCTACCTTAGTGATGAAAACAGCAATGTAGAGGTGTTCTCTGAAGTCCCCTTATCTGGATCCAGGAAAGATTAACACTCAGGAAACGGAGGCTAAAAGTCTGACCCTTTTAGAGGTCTGACACTTTTACAGAAACTTTCCACAGGGTGCCATCTATTCTTTCTTAGGGCTGCGACCTGGGAGGCTTTACCTGCATCCCAGGACAGCTTTTGCTCACCATGCCTTTCCTCCCCTCACCCTTCCATAACCTGTCACCATGTTCCAAGCCCCTCTTTCCTTCTGTCTGGTATAAAAACTGCAGTCATATGGCCTTCTTGGAGTCTTATAATTGCAGGACTCCCATGTCCATGTGCATATTGATAAGTTTGTATGTCTTTCCTCCTATTAATCTGACTATTGTCAGTTTATTTCTCGGACTCAAACATCAAACTTCCCAAAAGAACAGGGAAAATTCCATTGTCCCTATACTCACAGGTGGTGTTCACATAACATTGCTGTGTAACAAGCTACTCCAAAATTGCGTGGCTTAAAACAGCAACAATCACTGATTTGCTCATAAATATGCAATTTGGGCAGGGCTTGGAAGAGGCAGCTTGTCTCTGCACCATATGGTAATTTGACTGGGGGCCAGAGAATCCACCTGCACACCACTGTATCCCCAGTGCCCAGAACATGGCCTGGAACATAGGAATATATTGCTATAAAAAAATTTGACTGGCCAAATCAATCGCAGCCTGAAACAAGCCCCACTTCTAGATTTGCAGTCATTTGAGCCAATATACTTTCTTTTAAGTCAGTTTGAGATGCATTTTCTGTAGCTTACAACCCAAAGATTGTTAACTGATAGGAAGGAGGTGAGGAAGTGAAGGCAGAAGTAAAGAGTAAAGTGTCTCAGAGATGCAAGAAGTGGTATCCAGATTACCAGAGATTAAGGAGAGCTGTCCCCAGCAATGGAGGAGGAGTAGGAGTCCCAGACATCTCTTGGTGGCAGTGTCCCAAAGAAATGGCAAGGCTCAGAGAGGCAGGGGGTGGACTAGGGAGGCAGCAACATGGCCAGGTGAGGGAGAGATCCCAGCAGCAAGAACAAAATGAACCATGATTCTGTAACTAACACACAAAATCAGCAGATAGCCACCCAGATCTGAAATGACCATATAGGAGAGTGGCCATCTGTGCAGAGGCCAGTAGGAACAGACGGAGGGCCCCCAAAATGTGGGTACTGCATGGGGCCGCATAGTCTGATGACTCCCAGGAAGTAAAAGGGAAACTCAAAAAAATGACTGAGGTCAGTTTCTTACCAGCCTGGCAGACTAGGGGCATGGCATGAAAAATTAAGTTGATTTTTAGAAAATAAATTTTCTCAACATCAGGATTTGGAGACTGAGATTCACATCAGTTAAACAGGAGTGATCATGAGCTTGTTTAAGTTGCAAAGACTGGAGGAAATGGTGTGGGGGGGCGGGCAGGTGAAGGGACTGGTGGGGGTTGGATGCTGAATGCTCAGGAGGTCAGGATCCTCTTGAGCCCTGTGGAGGGAAAGTGACTTACAGGCTCTTCTACTACAAAAGATATTTATGTTATGCAAATTAGCTTATAGATTATTGGTTAATACAGAAATGATGTCAGTGAAAGGCAAAAGCTTTGATGATTCATATGCAATTTTACCCAGTACATTAATGTTTTATTCCACTAAGAAACAACAGTGAATGGCAAAGTAGATCCGCAGAGATGAACACAGCAAGCCACGGAGGAAAACCATACTGTGCCGGATACTCATGACTCATCCCATGTTTGTCTCCTGTCTTGATTTGGCCATAGGTGGAGTCATGCTCAACTTTTGTTTATTACATTCTTATCTCCATAAATCAATAGGCTCAACTTGTTCTTATACGCTTTGCATCAAGCTAGCAACACTTTTAAAAAGTAAAGCTTTATGTTTCTTTAATGAGAACTTGTCTTTTTAATTGTGCTGTCATTTTACTAAGATTGTTATTTTTGTGAGTACTGTGGTTAAGTTGTGTACATTTTAAGTGGTTCGTTCCAACCAAATGTTTCCATCAGCGTTATTGTTTTAATTGTGCATCTTTGCTGAAGTATTGTATAGATTTTTCTGGAATTTCTTGTACTTCTTGCACTAGCCTCCAGGTGGCATCACCAGCACCAGACAACTTCTTGGCTGTCACCAGACAACTTCTTGGCTGTCGTGGGACTCTGAGAGGTGTGGGCCAGGGAAGTAGTGGACTGGGCAGTGCCTGTTCTCGCTATCAGCATTTATGTGTACCTTGCCTTCTCTAAATTTGCCTATTGGTCTTGTCCACTAACTATTCTTACACAAAAATCTAGCTTTGAGGACAGAGGGTTTTTCTTTCTTCAAAGAGCTCCTACCAGTTTGTGTGTGTGTGTGTGTGTGTGTGTGTGTGTGTGTGTGTGTGTGTGTGGCTTTGGTTGATACACGAAGCAACTACTAAATCCACTTCTCTACCCTGACCCCTCTTCCAAGTATTACCATCTCAATACAACAACCCCAAGAGTGGCTGGTTTTGTCCCCACTAAATGCCCAAGTACCACGGAGCTAAGCACCATAGAAGCACTTTGATAGCTCTGAGTAATGCACAGCACGATTCAGTGCCATCTCTCTGTTCTTTCTTTCCATTTCTTCCCTGCTTCCTACCAGCAGGCTCTGTTGATATTGCAGTTATAAAAAATACCCCTCCAGGTAACTGTCATTGTTCATTAGATCTTCTATTTATACTTGACAACCTTTTTCTTACATATATCGACTTCACCACATGAACATTTTTAATAAATATATTGCCGTAAGTTGCACAACCATCTACTCCTTTGGAATCCTTTCTTTTTTGTTCCTTTTTTTTAAACAAAAAAAAATATGTTTTAAATTTGCCTAGTATAAGTGCTACTTTCTACAGAAGGCCTTCCCAGGTTTGTCTTAACCAGAATTATTCTGCCTTCCCCCATGCTCTGATAGCCCTTGGTTTGCACCTATATAAAAGCACCTAAATACCAGTGCAATGGAGGCAGTAGAGTATGCTGGGCAACCCACAGCCTCTGGAGTTGGGAGAGCCTGGCTTTGTATCCTGCCTCTTTTAGCTTCAAAGACAAGTTATGAGAACTTAACCACTCTGGACCTCAGTTTTCTCATCATAAGATGGCAGTAGTAATATCTATCTCATAGGGGCTGTTGTAAAAATTAAGTAATGTTATCTAAGGTACTTAGCAAAGTACCTAATAGAGTAGTTCTGTGTCTGGCATATAGTAAGGATTCAATTTATCTTGGAGATTATTTAGAGAATTTTGGACATTTAACCATTCACTTAATAAATAAATATTTATTAACAATAATTAATTAATAATAAATAAATAATATAATAAATATTGTGAATAACAATTCATTCACTTAATAAATATTCACTTACATAAATATCAACAAATATAAATACTCCAGTGGGGAGAGACACATGTAACCAAACAAATATATAACATAATATCAAATACTGGTGAGTGCTGTAAAGAAAAATCAAGGGGATAAAGGGAATAGAGAAGGATGAGGGGTGTAGATGCAGTGGACAGGTAAGAAGACCACCCTAAGGAGGTGATACTGGGGCAGACACCTGAGGGCAATGAGGGAGGGAGGCATGAGAATGTCTTGGGAAAGAACATTCCAGGCAGAGGAAGTAGCAAGGCCAGAGGGAGCATTGCTGGCCTGCTTGAGGAAGAGCAAGGAGTGAGTAAGAAGAGAGTGGGAAGAGTAGAAGCCAGAGAGATGGATGGGCCGCGAAGAGGATGCAGAGGCAGGCCAGATCGCAGTGCCAGATAGCTTGTGCAGGTCTTTGGAGTTTCTACAACATTTGGCTGGATTTAGTAGCAACTACTATATTTTTCAGTCTGTAAATCAGATGCCTTCACTTTTTTTTTTTTTTTTAAGATGGAGTCTCATTCTGTCACCCAGGTTGGAGTGCAGTGGCATGATCTCAGCCACTGCAATCTCCACTTCCTGGATTCAAGCGATTCTCCTGCCTCAGCCTCCCGTGTAGTTGGGACCACCTGCACGCACCACCATACCTGGCTAATTTTTGTATTTTTAATAGAGATGGGGTTTTGCCATGTTGGCCAAGCTGGTCTCGATCTCCTGACCTCCGGTGATCTGCCTGCCTCGGCCTCCCAAAGTGCTGAGATTACAGGTATGAGCCACCGTGCCCAGCCTGCCTTCATTTTTCTAGAGCTAAACTAGAGTTAAACTATTTTAAAGTCTCAGTCTGCTCACTGGTTGAAAACTGGGCTAGTCAATTCTAGATCATTTCACGTTGAAATTCAATCAATTCTGAAAAACATCTAAGGAGATGTCTCCTGCTTCTCTTCAGGATAGCATCTCTGTCCCCAGATGCTTAAGGAACATTACATCCTTACAAAGGAAGGGTATTGATCTGGCTGACATTCCTTACCTGTCTACACTGTCATTTGCTGAATGTATGATCCTGTCTGGTCTTCAAATGTTATCTCTCCAGGCTGGCATGTGTTGAGATGCCCATGTCCCCATCTGGTCTTTGGCCACAACCTCTTGTGACACCTTGTACCATGCTGTCCCCTTGGCATAACCCCTTAGTTATCTGGTTTTGTCTTTCAGGTAATTTTTGTGGCCCTCTAAAGATGAGGAAAAGTCTAGAAAAGTCCACCTGTTCTCTTAGCCTGCAGGCTTCTGAGGCCCAGTGGCATCCCATACAGGCTTACTGTGCTGAGCCATAGCAAAGTGGCATGGAATTTCCATGAGACTCAGCCTCCAGATTTCAGATGGGAAGCTGGCACAAATCTCCTCTACCCTCAGATCACCCTAAACTTATCTAGACATCTGGAGCTAATCCTAGATAAAGGCAGATGAGATATTTTGTTCTTACTTTAGTTAAGATAGATAATTTTAATCTTATTTTCCTTGCCCTCATATTCCACCCCAGCCTGGAGGATTTTTATACAGTGTTATGAGAAGGAGTGGGAAGCAGCAAATCTTTTCTGATTTACATCCGGACCAAGGCTCTTGAATTTAGAACAAAAAAATGCTGGACTACCTTTGTCCTCTAGTTCTGCCCCTCTGAGGTGAAAAGACTCCCATCCAATGACCTGCATGGGGATGGTCACAGGACAGAAAAAGATCTGTGGGGAAAAAACATTGGCTAATATTTCACAATATCATATTGCCACATTTGTAACTATTTACACTTTCTAAAAGTACCTGGTCAAGAAAAAGGGTAAGAACAAGAGAACTGTTCACAAGTACATTCTGGTGGACTAGGTCAGTTCATGGACTATATCAATCAGTGTCCAATCAGACACAGAAACCACACAGTAAATCAAACAGGAAATATTTAATAAATAGAATGATCAATTATAACAGATGATTGATTTAAAAAGTGTAGGGGGAATTCTAAAGAATATTCAAAAGTACTGAGGGAGAATACCCAACAAAGGACAAACTTGGAAGTGGGAGTGCAGGGAATCCTCTCTAAGGGTGGGACTCGGATCTCATTGGAGAATGTATTGCTGTAGCCACTGGATAATGAAGAAGTTGGCTGCGTTTCCCTGAGCTCAGGTGGGGTCTACATTCACCAGGTAGAGGCCAGAGGGCAGAAAACATGGATGGGAGTGGCCATAGGAAACACCTTCCCAGAATGCAGGTGGACTGAGGCTGGGTAGCCAACTGTGGGGATGCCCGCAAGACTCACTGGATCCACCAGCAGAGATGCCAGTGAAACCTGACAGAAGTGAGTGCTACCGCATGTCCCTCTCCAAGGCATCTTTGTCAGTGGCAAAATAAGTACAAGAAAAAGAAAACAGAAAGACCGGAACTAGGAAGAGAAGCCCCTTCCTCCTGTAGTTTCCCTCCAATGCTCTCTACTGAGAATGTTTAGCATCGTGCCAGTGGCAAAGATGAAATCCTTACAGGGCCTGGTTCCATTAACAGAGAGGAAGTAATGAAAGATGAATTTGGAGCTGAGAGGCAATAAATTGATAACTAATATATGGATGAAATGCAGTGTTAAATGTGATCAATTGGGTGTTAGCAGGGCCTCTAGAAGAACAATGGATTAAGAGTTGAGCACAAGGCATTGTAGCAAGTAGTAATGATATAACAAATACTCTGCCCTCCTGGAGTTTGCATTTGGGGTTGGAGCAGGCATAGGTTGACTGAGAATAAATAAGTAAACAA
Organism: Homo sapiens; assembly: GCF_000001405.40. NCBI lineage: Eukaryota > Metazoa > Chordata > Mammalia > Primates > Hominidae > Homo > Homo sapiens. Next base: position 107,100,835 of record NC_000012.12, on the reverse strand, counting down.
ACAAACAAAAACACAGATCATAATTGGTGCCACGACAAAAGTAAATAGAGAACTATGATAAAGAATAAGAAGGGACCCTTTTTAGCCAGGCACAGTGTTTCATGTCTGTAATCCCAGCACTTTGGGAGGTTGAGATGAGAGAATCACTTGAGTCCAGGAGCTGGAGACCAGCCTGGGCAATACAGGGAGACCTCATCTCTAAAAAAATGTTAAAAAATAGCTGGTGCATGGTGGTGGTCCCAGCTACTCAGAAGGCTGAGATAGGAGGATCACTTGAGCCTAGGAGGTCAAGGCTGCATTGACCCTGAGCTATGATCACCCGACTCCACTCCGTGGCCTGGATGACAGAGACCTTGTCTAAAAAAAAAACAAAAAAAAACAAAAAAAAACAAAAAAAAACAGAGAGAGAGAGAGACCCTTTTAAGAATAGGTAGACATGGAGGACCTCTCTGAAGAGTTAGCAAAAAATTCTGGATGATCTTGAAATAGTCGAAAAAGATTACTAGGTCTCTTGACCAGTGTACCCTTCAAGTTATTCTCTGCCTATCATTTTAGTTTTTTTTTTTTTTTGCTATATTTGAGCTATTTTATAACTCTGTAAATTGCAGATAATTGATAGCAATGCAAATGAATCCTGTCCTTGGACATGCAAATGAATGCTGTCCTGTGAAAGTACAATTGATCTCCATTCCCCTACCCCTCTGTGGAAGAAGTCAGTTTCACATATATTAAGCAAATTCATTTTAAATGCATGACGGCCTATCTGTGTAACTGCTCTTTGGATCCTCCGTTTAATCCATTGTAACATCATATGGGTTCCTTCATTAATTAGTGAGTTAAGTGAAATTTTTGACATGTTCATTTTATATTCATAAAAAAGTCATAACTTACCTTTAAAAAATAATTACAGTGAGCTATGACCATGCTACTGCACTCCAGCGTTGGCAACAGAATGAGACCCTGTCTTAAAAAAAAAATCACCCTTTAACACATTTAAATTCAATCCCCCAAAGACTCCAGTGTGAAGGATACTCAGCCAACATTCACATCATATCAGGATTGAACGAGCTGAACAGACTGTCTACTCCTTCATTATTTGTGTATTAACAGATGCCAAAAATCACCTCTGCAAGATGGGTTCAAGAGACAACACAGGCTTTTGATTTAGAGATCTGACTCACTTTTATCAAGAGTGTTCATGAAATCAAGGATACATTGATTTTTCTAACATTGTTGGCAGTTAAAAGAACCTTTAACAGGACTCATATATTTCTGAGCTCACAGCAGGGTCACGTTCATAGAATTTTAAAATAGCACAGAAAACTTAGAAATCATGTAGTTCAGTTCCCTCATTTTATAGATGAATTAGGCCAAGAAAACCTGGGTGACTTGTTCAAGATGATCAACTAATTTAATGGCAAGCTGAGATACAAACTGCTCTCTTCCTCTTAGTCCTGTACTCTCTTACCACCACAATGTTGGAGCCAACCAGAATTTCAAAAATGATTCCTAACAATGGCCTCCACCTCTTCTTTCCCCCTTTATACATAATATTCACTCTGAAAAGAATGGGAGTGTGTGTGTCAGTGAGGGATGGTATATTTTAAGGAAAGAGTTTTGGATCCAAAAACAGTATTAGTTTTTCAACGGGTTTGACTATGTATTTGTGTTTCTGAGTTTCTGTTTCTTCAACAGCAAACTGGGCACAGATTCTTATTAAATAATTATTAAATATTAATAAACTGCATAATTAAGATTACTAGGATTAATAATCTATACAAATAAGCTTGCACATAGTAGGTGCTCAAAAGCCATAGCTAGTATTAAATGGTAACCCTCCTCCCCTAAATCATTTATATGCCATAAAAACCCTTCAGTATTTGAGGAATGTGCAGTTGACACTACTGACACTTTTATAATAAATTAGCATTTTATGTTTAAATGAAAGTTATACACACACCCCCACACAGCTGTTTAAAAAAAAAAACCTGTTTTTATTGAATGAAAAATCCACAAACGTAAGTCAACTCTATACAAATCAATATTCTCTGCACCTCCCACTGTTTCATTTGGATGCTTGAAAACAATTCTTATGTCTTTAGACACAATCTGCTTACTTTCAAATTGCCTAAAAGGAAACACAAAACATTGTATTTTAAAAAGTACAATAATGGGCCCTGAAGAATGAAGCAATCCAAGTGAAGGCACAGCTCTGTATACCAGATCTGCTGCATAGGCGAGGGGAGGCTAAGTGTGGTGATGACCCAAGGCTTATCCTCATCAGTAAAAATGACCCATATTTGCTTAACACTTTACAGTGAACACAGGGTTTCCCTTCCCTTCCCTCCCCTCCTCTCCTCTTCCCCTCCCCTCCCCCTCTCCTCCCTAATCCCCCTCCCCTCCCCTCCCTTCCCTTCCCCTCTCCCCTTCTCTCTCTTTCTCTTTCTTTCCTTCCTTCCCCTCCCTCCCTCCCCCTTCTTTTTCTTTCTTTCTTTCTTCCCTTTTCTTTCCTTTCCTTTTCTTTTCTTTTCCCTCCCTCTTCCTTTCCTTTTCTTTTCTTTTCCCTCCCTCTTCCTTTCCTTTCCTTTCCTTTCCTTTCCTTTCCTTTCCTTTCCTTTCCTTTCCTTTCCTTTTCTTGACAGGGTCTCACTCTGTCACCCAGGCTGGAGTGCAGTGGCATGGTCTTGGCTCACTGCAGCCTCCATCTGCCAGCTACATCAATCCTTCTACCTCAGTCTCCCTAGTAGCTGGACCAGGCCTGGCTAATTTCTTTGTATCTTTTGTAGATATGGGGTGTTACCATGTTGCCCAGGCTGCTCTCTAACTCTTGGGCTCAGGGGATCCTCCCCAGGGTTTTCATTGTATTAGTATGTTCTCACACTGCTAATACAAATGTACCCGAGACTGGGTAATTTATAAAGGAAGGAGGTTTAACTGACTCACAGTTCAGCATGGCTTGTGGGGGGCCTCAGAAAACTGACCACCATGGTGGAAAAGGAAGCCAATACACCCTTCTTCACATGGAGGCACCAAGGAGAAGTACCGAGCAAAAGGGGGAAAAGCCCTTCATAAAACCATCAGATCTCAAGAGAACTCACTCACTATCATGAGAACAGAAAGGGGGTAACTGCCCCCATGATTAAATTACCTCCTGCTGGATCCTTCCCACAACACATGGGGATTATCAGAACTGCGGTTCAAGATGAGATTTGGGTGGGGACACACCCAAACCATATCATTCCAGCCCTGACCCTTCCCAAATCTCATGTCCTCACATTTTTAAACACAATCATACCCTTCCAACAGTCCCCCAAAGTCCTAACTCATTCAGGTATTAACCCAAAAGTCCAAGTCCAAAGTCTTACCTGAGACAAGGCAAGTCCCTTCCACCTATAAGCCTGTAAAATCAAAAGCAAGTTAGTTACTTCCCAGATACAGTGGAGGGAGTTACAGGCATTCAGTAAATATACCCATTCCAAATGGGAGAAATTGGCCAAAATGAAGGGGCTACAAGCCCCACATGAGTCTGAAATCCAATAGGGCAGTCATTAAACCTTAAAGTTCCAAAATGATCTCCTTTGACTTTATGTCTCACATCCAGGTCATGCTAATGCAAGAGGTGGGCTCCCACCTCTTTGGCAGCTATGCCCCTGTGGCTTTGCAGGACACAGCCCCCCTCCCAGCTTCCTTCACAGGCTGGTGTTGAGTGTCTGCAGCTTTTCCAGGTGCACGGTGAAAGCTGTCGGTGGATCTACCATTCTGGGGTCTGGAGGATGGTGGCCCTCTTCTCACAGCTCCACTAGGCAGTGCCCCAGTGGAAACTCTGTATGGGGCTCCAACCCTACATTTCTCTTCTGCACTGTCCTAGCAGAGGTTCTGCATGAGAGATCTGCCACCACAGAAAACTTCTGCCTGGACATCCAGGCATTTCTATACATGCTCTGAAATCTAGGCAGAGGTTCCCAAACTTGAATTCTTGACTTCTGTCAAGGCTGAACACCATGTGGAAGATGCCAAGGCTTGGAGCTTGCACCCTCAAGCCATGGCCTGAGCTGTACGTTGGCCCCCTTTAACCACAGCTGGAACACAGGGCGCCAAGTCCCAAGGCTGCACAAAGCAGCAAGGCCCTGGGCCTGGCCCACAGAACCATTTTTTCCTCCTAGGCCTCTGGGTCTGTGATGGGAGGGGCTGCTGTGAAGACCTCTGACATGCCCTGGAGACGTTTTCCCCATTGTCTTGGAGAATAACATTTGGCTCCAAATTACTTAGGCAAATTTCTGCAGCTGGTCTGAATTTCTCCTCAGAAAATAGGTTTTTCTTTCTTATCACATTGTCAGGCTGCAAATTTTCCAAACTTTTATGCTCTGCTTCCCTTTTAAACATAAGTTCCAATTCCAAGCCATATTATTTGTGAATATATAAAACTGAATACTTTTAACAGCACCCAAGACACCTCTTGAATGCTTTGCTGCTTTGAAATTTCTTCTGCCAGATACCCTAAATCATCTCTCTCAAGTTCAAAGTTTCACAGATCTCTTTGCTAAAACATAGCAAAAGTCACCTTTATTCTAGTTCCCAAAAAGATCATCTCCATCTGGGACCACCTCAGCCTGGACTTCATTGTCCATATCCCTATCAGTAATTTAGTCAAAGCCATTCAACAAGTCTCCAGGAAGTTCCAAACTTCCCCACATTTTCCTGTCTTCCTATGAGCCCTCCAAACCATTCCAACCTCTGCCTGTTACCCAGTTCCAAAGGTGCTTCCATATTTTTGGGTATCCTTATAGCAGCACCTCCCAGTAGCAATTTACTATATTAGTCTGTTCTCATGCTGCTAATAAAGACACACTCAAGACTGGGTAATTTATAAAGGAAAGAAGTTTAATTGACTCACTGTTCAGCATGGCTGGGGAGGCCTCAGAAAACTGATCATCATGCTAGAAGGGGAAGCCAACACAACCTTCTTCACATAGAGGCAGGAAGGAGAAGTGCTAAGCAAAAGGGGGAAAAGCCCCCTATAAAACCATCAGATCTTGTGAGAACTCACTCACTATCATGAGAACAGCATGAAGGTAACTGCCCCCATGATTAAATTACCTCCTACCGGGTCCCTCCTACAACACGTGTGGATTATGGGAACTACAATTGAAGATGAGATTTGTGTGGGGACACAGCCAAACCATATCATTCATATATATAATTTTAAAAGTATTCTTACAGAACCAAAGAAAGGCTGATATATACTTCTTGTGGCAACAGAAGCAGAAGTAGGGAAGACTATTCAGACAGATTGGCTCTCTAGAGTATTGAATTTACTTTATTGCTGCACTAGTTTGCTAGGGCTGCTGTAAAAAAGCACCACAAATTGGGAGGCTTAGAACAATAGGAACTAACTGTCTCGCAGTTCTAGAGGCCAGAAGTTCAAAATCAAGGTGTCAGCAGTGCGACAGTCCTGTGAAGGTGCTAAGAAAGGATCTGTTCCAGGTCTTTCTCCTAGCTTCCAGTAGTTCCTTGGCTTGTGGCAGCACAGTTCCAATCTTTACATGGTATTTTCCCTGTATGTATATGTATTTCTGTGTCTAAATTTCTCCACTATATGAGGCCACCAATCACACTGGATTAGGGTGCACCCTAATGACCTCATCTTAACTTGAGCATGTACAAAGACCTTATTTCCAAATAAGGCCACATTTATAGTCATTGAGAGTTATATGATTTTGGGGACACACAATTCAACCAATAAGAATTGCCATCTCCTTCTTTCTTTTAACTTTGCCAAACACACTGGTGGCCAACAGCACTCACTCACTCACTCATTCATTCATTAAATAAGCATTTGCCTATGTCAGGCTCTGTTCTGGTGTTGATGCAAAAAATAAAAACAAAAGAAAACTGAATACAGACCCAGTCCTTGAGAAATCACACTTCAGAGGGAATCAGAGGCACATTATTATGATAATAAGTACTATTACTGAGTTGGTATTGCTAGGAATGGGCACTTTTCAACTAATTTTCACGGTAGTGTGAAAAGTGATGTAACAGAAACATACTTGGAGAACCCAGGGAGGTCCTAAATTTGCCCTAGGGATCAGGAATACTTTCAGAAATTAGTTATTATTTCATCTGAGTCTAAAGGGATGCGTAGAAATATCCTAGGTAGCTCAAAGGTGGTAATATTGAGTACTGGATTCCAAAGAAGAGTATTTTATAGAGGAAAAAACAGCAAAGGTTAAGAGACAAATTGTAAACCCCAGGAGGGGTGGGGTTTTAGTCTGTTTTATTAAGTATCTCCTGTATCTCTAGTGCTTTGAACAGTGCCTAGTTCATTCAAAAAGTAATCATTGAATGAATTTAAGGGCATCATATATCTAAGGGATGCCATGGCCTGCAGTTCACTGTCGCTGGAAAAGTAGACAAACGTCCAGTTTCAAAGAGACCGGTAAACTACATTAAATGTAAGAGACGAGGGGTGAAAGGTTGATGATATATATCGCTAGTATTAAAAAAATTCCAGGAAGTCCAGGAATGCCTGGCATCCGTCCTGCCAATTACCCTTTTCCCCAGAGTATGTACAAGGGGGAGGAGGCACCCAAGGGCCAGGAGAGTGGAGGGGCACAGCTCCACAATCTCCAAAGTAGGGTTCTCTGGCCAAAGCAGGATTGAAGCACATGGTTTGGACTTGAAATGTACGTGGAGCCTCCCACTCTCCTCCTTCCACTCCATCCTCCCCTCACTCTCCGCCCGACTCCACCACTGGCTCCTGAAGGAAACCGGACAATTTCCAGGCCCTCCCCAAATCCCACGGGAGGAATCGCCGAGCGCGCTCCTGCCCGCCGGCCCCGCCCCCTTACCCTCTGGAACGCAGCGAGAGCGCACGCGCGCCTAACGGAGCAGCGCGCGCGCCCGCAAGCTCCCCGCATCCCCGTGCTCATCCGGGTCTCAGCGAGCCTCGGCCAATGGTGGCCGCTCATGGCCCTTGGGGGCGGGGCTAAGCCTTCCCTCACAAGGGGCCTGTGGTCAACGCGATTTGCTTCCAAGGGACGGCCACCAGTCGGCACAGGAAAGGGGCAGAGGCAGTGAGTTCAGCGTGTGGACGAGGGTCAACAAGTTTGGGATCAAGCGGCTGCCGCTCCTCCAAAAGCGACCGAAGCGCGAGCAGATTACCCCTCCGAGCCAGTGTAGTAAACACACTTCAGAAACGTGAGGTGCCGGTGGTCACGAGGGGAGCGCGCCCTCCAATGAGGAGCCGGGGGCGGGGCCGAGGCCGCTGACGCGGCGGCGGCGGCAGAGTCACCCGGGCAGCCTCGGGACCGGTCACCGGCCGGCAACCGTCCAGCGGCCTCGACCACCGCCTCTAGCCTCCGTTCCCGGTCCTTTCTCCCGGGCCGAGAGACAGCGTCGCCGACAGGGGCTCATTCCCCTCCGGTTCTCCTCGGTGACTCACCTCGGGCGGGCCGTTTTGTCTTTAGGGGCCGCCTTGGTGGGGCGAGGTTTCCGTGACGAATCTCCTGGGGCCGTCCGTGCCGGCTCGGGCCGTCGTGGCGGCTCGAGCTCCTGGAACTTGCTCAGGCTCCGGAGGTCCGAGGCCCTCGAAGTTATGCGTCGCCTCCAGGCGGTTGCGGCGGGCGCGGGCTCCTAAAGGGCGTCACACCCGGACTCCGCCGACTAGGCAACCTCCATTCATCTTTCCACTGCGCCTCCGGCGCCCCCGCCTTCTCCGGTCCCCTCCTCGGAGTCATTTTTTCCTGTTCCCCCTCTGCCGCCCTTTCCTCACGCCCCGGGTGAGGCAATTCTCTTGGAAGCGAAGGTGTCGGCTATGAGCCGGAGCCTCCTTCCTTGAATTTCTCCGTGGAGGACCCGCCGCGCCCCCCGGCATGGGGGTGAACGCCGTGCACTGGTTCCGAAAGGGGCTCCGGCTCCACGACAACCCCGCCCTGAAGGAGTGCATTCAGGGCGCCGACACCATCCGCTGCGTCTACATCCTGGACCCCTGGTTCGCCGGCTCCTCCAATGTGGGCATCAACAGGTGGCGGTGAGTCACAAGCCCGTGGGAAATGGATTTGGGTGTTTAATGAGTCTGATGTTAATGAATTCCATGCGATCCGCCAAATCTGTGAATTTAGACGTGGGACTGTCTTGCTTATACCGCTTACGAATTTTAGGTGCCCTAAGTATTAAATAGAATTGACTTAATACTTCTCTGGCCAAAGAGTACTGACGACCTGAAACACTCGGTCTTCATCAGTGAGTTATGTGTCTTTCTGTGCTAACTGGAGCTCCTCCCCTGAATTTGTGGAGAATTCTTAGTGCTGGAGTTAAAGAAACACCTTTCCTGTCCTTAGTGGCCATTGTATATGGATTCCCTTGGCCTTTTTGTGGCATTCGGAAGGATTGTGATGTTTCCTGTTTACGTTTGTGTCTAGGTAACTCATAGTATGGAGAAAAATCATTCATTCAGTACAGCAGGCTCCAGATCCAGTGTTCTTCCACCTTGAGGTTACTGTGGGAAAAGCAAGGGAAACAGCATTATCTGGTTTCTCTGCTCGGTTCTTTTTCTCAACTCCTCCTTGTGGTTGCCGAGACAAAGCACAGTTTTTCTTTCTAGGCAAGTTGTAGTCCTTCTAGGGATCAGAGCACTGAAAGAAATCTTAGAGATGCTTTATGATCTTTTCCTGAAACACCAGGCTACATGATTGTTAGGCCCCCTGGTGGAAATAAAAGCATAGCTCAACAGATAGACTCTTGATCACTTAGCATGTGCCAGGCACTGATTTAAATGCTAGGGATATAGCAGTGAGTGAAAGACAGAAAGTCATGTCTTCAAGCAGAAAGTAAAATATGTAGTATTTTAGGTGGTGATAAGTATTGTGGAAAAAAATAGAGCAGAGTAAAGGGATAAAGAATACAAGGGTAGGGATGGGGTTGCAATTTTAAGTATGATCGGGGGAAAAGTCACAGAGAAGGTGACACTTGAGCAGACCTGAAGGAGGTGGTGGGATGCAGATATCTAAGGGAAGACCATTCCAGGCAAAGGGAAGAGTAAGGGAAAAGGCAGAAATATGCTTGACCTTTGGAAGGAACAGCAGAAGAATCCAGTATGTCTGGAGCAGAATAAGTGAGGGAAAAATAGTAGACGATGAGGTCAGAGTTGACTTAGGGCCAGATTGAAGAGAGCCTTATAAGCAGTTTTCAAGATTTGGGTTTTTACTTAGTGAAATGGGAATAACTGCAGGATTATGAGCAGAGAAGTAATGTGATCTGACATAAGTTTGGAAAAGAATTTTTCTGCTTGTGGTTCTGAATTGGGGAGTGGAGGTGGACAAGAAGCAGGAAGTCCAATTAAGAAGCTGTTGGCATTCATCCAGGTGAGAGATGATAACGGCTTGAATCATAGTAATAATCGTGGACGTGGTGAGAAATAAACAGATGCTGGTTATATTCTGAAGGCAAAATACAGGGTATTTGTTGGCAGATTGGATATGTAGTGAGAGAGAAAGAAAAGGAGTTAGGCTGGGCGCGGTGGCTCATCCCTGTAATCCCAGCACTTTGGGAGGCTGAGGCCAGGAGTTCGAGACCAGCCTGGCCATCGTGGCAAAACCCTGTCTCTATTAATACTGAAAATATAAAAATTAGGTGAGCATGGTGGCGCATGCCTGTTATCTCAGCCACTCAGGAGGCTGAGGCACGAGAATCGCATGAACCTAGGAGACGGAGGTTGCAGTGAGCTGAGATCGTGCCACTGCACTCCAGCCTGAGTGACAGAGTACTCTGTCGCAAGAAAAAAAAAAAAGGACTTATAGTTTGGTGCTATATAAAAAGCACCAAAATTCAGTGCTTTTTATATAGTAGCAGTTTAGTTACTGTTTGAGAAAATTTTTGGCTTGAGAAACTGGAAGGATGGGGCTACACTTTGCTAAGAAAGTGAAGCCAGCTGGAGAAGCCATTGGGAGGGTGATTGGAGTTCTCTTTCATTAAGTCATTAAGTTTGAGATGTATTTTACACATTCAAATGGAGATAGCAAATAGGCAGTTGGATGTATCTGGAGCTCAAGACAGAGATCCAGGCAGGAAGTATAAATTGGAGAATTCATTAGTTTATAGATAATATATAAAGCCATTTATTCATCCAACCATTTATTGAACAAATATTTGTCAAGCACCTACTATATGCCAGGCACTGTTTTAGGTGCTAGAGATCCAGTATAAACAAAACAGCCCCCAATTCTCACCCTGTTGGAGCTACATTCTAGTGGAGCCGTGAGACTGACAGCATTAATAAAATGAGATAGACAAGAGATGCAAATGGTGCAAGGGCTGAACCTTGAATACTCTTAATGTTTATAAATTGTGGAGCTGTGAAAGAACCAGCATATGAGACTGCGAAGGAGCCACTAGTAATGTAAGAAGAAAACCCAGAAGAGTATGGTGTCTTAGAAGCCAAGTAAAGAAAGTATTTTGGTCAGGCATGTAATCCCAGCACTTTGGGAGGCTGAGGCAGGCAGATCACTTGAGGCCCGGAGTTTGAGACCAGCCTGGCCAATATGGCAAAACCCCGTCTCTAGTAAAAAACACAAAAAAATTAGATAGGCGTATGGCACATGCCTGTAATCCCAGCTACTCGAGGAGGCTGAGGCAGGAGAATCGATTGAACCCAGGAGGCAGAGGTTGCAGTGAGGCGAGATCGTGCCACTGCACTCCAGCCTGGGCAACAGAGCCAGACTCTGTCTCAAAAAAAAAAAGAAAAAGAAAAAAAAGAAAGAAGGAAAATATTTCAAGGAAGAGTGTTTTACTTACGTCAGATGCTACCGATAGGTCAAGAGGAGAACTGAAAAATAAAAATTGGATTTAGCAATTTTAGGTCATTTGGAATTTTATCTGGAGTGGTTTTGGTAGTGTCAGAGGCAAAAGTCTTTTTGGAATCACTCATAGTACCAAATTCAGTGCTTTTTATATAGTAGTAGCTCAATTATTGTTTGTTGAATATAGTGATATCTTGGAGTCAATAATTTTATATTTAAACAGCTTTATTAATTTACTTATTGACTATGGGATAATGCCCAAATTCCTTAGCCTGGCAAGATCTACCTTTTGGCTTATGTATTTCATTTTCTGCTGTTTACAATATGTGATTTCAACTCCAGGGGGAAAACCCTCTTAGTTTTCTTTAGAAGCTATCTTGTATTTTCTTCGGTCAACACTTTTTAGACTTTTGGATTTAACAGAAAAGCAAAATTTTAAATAGTATTCTACCTAATAAGCACATTAACAAAACCACTTTTTGATATTGCCATCCTTTCATTTAAAAAGGATGTTTTATATTTAAAAAAAAAAAGTTTGGCAGAGCTCAATGTCTCATGCCTGCAATCCCAGCTACTCAGGAGGCTGAGGCAGGAGAATCACTTGAGCCCAGGAGTTGGAAGCTGCAATGAGCTATGAATGGGCTACTGCACTCCAGCCTGGGTACACAGAGAGACCCTATCTCTTAAAAAACAAACAAACAAACAACAACAACAAAAAATTTGAAGGACATTGTCTCAGAATAACATGTTTTTGATTTGGGTAAATTTACAAGCTTTATGAAAATTTGCATCTCTTAGAAAAATTATCCTATACAAAAACTTATACACTAACATTCACAGAAGCATTATTCATAATAGCCAAAAGGTGGGAACAACCCAAATGGCCATCAGTTGATGAATGGGTAAACAAAATATGGTATATCCATATAATGGAATATTATTTGGCCATAAAAAGGAATGAAGTACTGATATACGCTACATGTATGAATGAACCTTAAAAACAAACTAAACGAAAGAAGCCAGTCACAAAATTCCATGTGTTATATGATTCTGTTTATATGGAATGTCCACAGTGGGCAAATGTATAGAGAGAGGAAGCAGACTAGTGGCTCCTTAGGACTGGGGAAGCTAGGGAGTTGGGAGGTGATAGCTAAGGGGCACAAGGTTTCTTTTTGAGATGATGAAACTGTTCTAGAAGGTGATGGATGATTGTACAACTCTGTGCTTGTCTGGGATGATTAGCAGTATTCTGAACTCTTGCACCACTTTTTGCTGTTGCTCCTCACATCACTCTTAGCATTTGCTGCCCTCATTTGTGAATGTTAGTATTGTTTTATTAATAGTTTGTTTGAGCTGCTATAACAAAATACCTTTAGACTAGGTAGTTTATAAACAACAGGAATTTATTTCTCACAGTTTTGGAAGATGTCCAGAATCAAGGCACCAGCAGATTCAGTGTCTCTGCTGAATAGACGATGCTTTCTCTGTCTCCTCACATGGCAGAAGGGGTAAACAAGTTCCTGCAGCCCTTTTTATAAGAGCACTCCCTTAGTCTGTTTGTGTTATTATAAAGGGATACCTGAGGGTGGGTAATTTATAAAGAAAAGAGGTTTACTTGGTTCATAGTTTTGCAGGCTTTACTAGAAGCATGGCTTCAGCCTCTGGTTCTGGTGAGGACCTCAGAAAGCTTTTAATCATGATGGAAGGGGAAGTGGAGCTGACATATCACATGGCGAGAGAGAGAGGGGAGGGATACCAGTCTCTTTTTAATAATTAATTGTTCTGTTAATTAATAGAGTGAGAAGTCACTCATTACGTGATAGCACCAAGCCATTCATGAGGGATCTTATCTCATGTTCCAAACACCTCTCACCTCCAACATTGGGGATAACATTTTAACATGAGATTTGAAAAGGACAAATATCTAAACTATATCACTCCACTTCTAGCCCCCCAAATATCTTGTCTTATTTATTTATTATTTTTATTTTTATTTTTGAGACGGGGTATCACTCTGTTGCCCAGGCTGGAGTGCAGAGGCGTGATCATGGCTCACTGTAGCCTCAACCACCTGGGCTCAAGCAGTTGTCCCACCTCAGCCTCCCAAGTAGCTGGGACCACAGGCATGCATTACCATGGCCAGGTAATTTTTTTTATTACTTGTAGAGGTGAGATCTCACTAAGCTGTCTCATACTCCCGGGCTAAAGCAATTCTCCTGCCTCAGCCTCTGAAAGTGCTGGGATTATAGGTGTAAGCCACCATGCCCACCCTCTTTTTTCTATTGTAAGATATAATCATCTCTTTCAAAGTCCCCAGAAATCTTAACTAGTTTCAACATCAACTCAAAGTCTAAAATCTTATCCGAGACTCAAGGCAGATTCCTTATAGCTATGAACCTGTAAGATCAAAAACAAGTTATCTACTTTTAAGATACAATGGTGGAACAGACATTGGGTAAATATTTTCATTTTAAAAGGGACAAATTGACCAACAAAAAGGGACCCACCCAAGTCTGAAACCTACAAGGGCAGACATTAAATCTTAAAGCTGTAAAATAATCTCGCTTGACTCTTGTCCCATAACTGAGCACACTGGTCCAAGAGGTGGGCTCTTGAAGCCTTGGGCAGCCCCATCTCTATGGCTTGGTTGGGCACAGACCACATGGCTTCTTTCATGGATTGGAGTCTAATGTCTGTCACTTCTCCAGGCTGAGGGTGTGTGCTGTTTTCATCCAAAGGATTCTTTTAATCTTTCCACTTCCTCACTTTCCACTCCCTCCCACATCCTGAGCACACTGGTCCAAGAGGTGAGCTCTCAAAACCTTGGGCAGCTGCATCTCTATGGCTTGGTTGGGCATAGCCCACATGGCTGCTCTCATGGATTGGAGTCTAATGTCTGTCACTTTTCCAGGCTGAGGGTGTATGCTGTTTACATCCAAAGGATACTTTTAATCTTTCCACTCCCTGACTTTTCTTTTCCTTTTCTTTTTTTCTTTTCTCTTTTCTTTTCCTTTCTTTCTTTTTCTTTCTTTCTTTGTTTCTTTCTTTTTCTTTTTCTTAACAGTATTTAACACATTTGACCACACCTTTCTCTTCTTCTCTTGGCTTTAGTTAGACTGCCACCACTGTGGGTCCTGGAGGGCAGTGCCCCTGTTCCCGCTGCTCTACAGTGAGTTCTCTGTGGGGACTGTAACCCCATATTTCCCCTTGGCACCAGCCTAGTAGAATCTCTCTGTAGGAGCTCTGCTGTGGCAGGCTTCTGCCTGGACAGCCAGACTTCTTGACATATCTTGTGAAATCTAGGTGGAAGCTGCCAAACCTCCATGGATCTTGTATTCTGTATACCTGCAGACTTAACACCACTTGGAAACCATCAAGGCCTATGGTTTGCACCCACTGGAGTGGCAGTCCAGACAGTACCTGGGGCCTTTTGAGCCCTGGCTGCAGCCAGAGCAGCCAGAACGTGGGGAGTAGCATCTCAAGACCGCACAAGGCAGCAACACCCTGGGCCTGGCCTCCCAAACCATTTTGCCCGAGGAGGCCTCTGAGCCTGTGATGGAAGGGGTAGCCTTGATTTCTGGAATGTCTTGGGGGCTTTTCCCCATTGTCTTGACTGTTAACAACTGGCTCTCTTTTATTCATGTTAATTGCTTTAACAACCTGTTCTGTCAGGGCCTGGTACCTGGGGCTAGGTAGTTTGGATTTCTCTCCTGAAAACTTCCCTCTACCACATGGTTAGGTTGTAAATTTTTCAAATTTGTATGCTCTGTTTTTCTCTTAATTATTAGCTTTAACTTTGTCTTTTTTTTGAACTCCCATATCTGATAGTAGGCTGTTAGAAGCAGCCATGTCACCTTTTGAACGCTTTGTTGTTTAGAAACTTTTTTTTGCCAGGTAGCTTAAGTCATTACTCTTAAGTTCAGCCTTTTACAAAGTCCTAGGCATGGATACAATGTAGCCAAGTTTTTTGTTAACAAGCATAACATATAATGTGGCCATTTTTTTGTTTTAGTTTTTAAAAATTTTATTTGAGATCTCATGAACGTGGCCTTTACTGTCTATATTTTAATCAGCATTTTTATCACAACCTCTTAACCAGTCTCTAAAAAGTTTTAAAGTTTTTCTTGTGTATGAGGTTTTTTGTTTTTGTTTTGTTTTGTTTTGAGTTCTCTAAGCTCTTGTAAGCAGCTTTAGTTTTTGCTTTTTTTTTAATACTTTAAGTTCTGGGATACATGTACAGAACCTGCAGGTTTGTTACGTAGGTATACATGTGCCATGGTGGTTTTGCTGCACCCATCAACCTGTCATCTAGGTTTTAAGCCCCACATGCATTAGGTATTTGTCCTAATGGTCTCCATCCCCTTGCCCCTCAACCCCTGGCAGGCCCCGGTATGTGCTGTTCCCCTCCCCGTGTCCATGTGTTCTCATTGTTCAACTCCTACTTATGGAGAACATGCGATGTTTGGTTTTCTGTTCCTATGTTAGTTTGCTGAGAATGATGCTTTCCAGCTTCATCCATGTCCCTGCAAAGGACATGAACTCATTCTTTTTTATGGCTGCTTCATATTCCACAGTGTATATGTGCCAGATTTTCTTTATCCAGTCTATCATTGATGGGCATTTGGGTTGGTTCCAAGTCTTTGCTATTGTGAACAGTGCCACAATAAACATACATGTGCCTGTGTCATTATAGTAGAATGATTTATAATCCTTTGGGTATATACCCAGTAATGGGATTGCTGGGTCAAATGATATTTCTGTTTGTAGATCCTTGAGGAATCACCACACTGTCTTCCATAATGGTTGACCTAATTTACACTCCCACCAACAGTGTAAAAGCGTTCCTATTTCTTCACATCCTCTCCAGCATCTGTTGTTTCCTGACTTTTAATAATCGCTGTTCTAACTGGCATGAAATGGTATCTCATTGTGGTTTTGATTTGCATTTCTCTAATGACCAGTGATGATGAGCTTTTTTTTCATGTTTTTTGGCCACATAAATGTCTTTTGAGAAGTGTCTGTTCATATCCTTCACCCACTTTTTGATGGGTTTTTTTTTTTTTGTAAATTTGTTTAAGTTCCTTGTAGATTTTAGATATTAGACCTTTGTCAGATGGATAGATTGCAAAAATTTTCTCCCATTCTATAGGTTGTCTGTTCACTCTGATGATGGTTTCTTTCACTGTGCAGAAACTCTTTAGTTTAATTAGATCCCATTTGTCAAGTTTGGCTTTTGTTGCCATTGCTTTTGGTGTTTTAGTCATGAAGTCTTTGCCCATGCCTATGTCCTGAATGGTATTGCCTAGGTTTTCTTCTAGGGTTTTTATGGTTTTAGGTTTTACATGTAAGTCTTTAATTCGTCTTGAGTGAATTTTTGTATACAGTGTAAGGAAGGGGTCCAGTTTCAGTTTTCTGCATATGGCTAGCCAGTTTTCCCAGCACCATTTATTAAATAGGGAATCCTTTCCCCATTTCTTGTTTTTGTCAAGATCAGATGGTTGTAGGTGTGTGGTGTTATTTCTGAGGCCTCTGTTCTGTTCCACTGGTCTATGTATCTGTTTTGGTACCAGTACCATGCTATTTTGGTTACTGTAGCCTTGTAGTATAGTTTGAAGTCAGGTAGCATGATGCTTCCAGCTTTGTTCTTTTTGCTTAGGATTGTCTTGGCTATACAGGCTCTTTTTTTGGTTCCATATGAAATTTAAAGTAGTTGTTTCTAGTTCTGTGAAGAAAGTCAATGGTAACTTGATGGGAATAGCATTGAATCTATTAATTACTTTGGGCAGTATGGCCATTTTCATGATGCTGATTCTTCCTATCCATGAGCATGGAATGTTTTTCCATTTGTTTGTGTCCTCTCTTATTTCTTTGAGCAGTGGTTTGTAGTTCTCCTTGAAGAGGTCCTTCACATCCCTTGTAAGTTGGATTCCTAGGTATTTTATTTTCTTTGTAGCAGTTGTGAATGGGAGTTCATTCGTGACTTGACTCTCTATTATTGGTGTATAGGAATGCTTGTGATTTTTGCTGATTGATTTTGTATCCCGAGACTTTGCTGAAGTTGCTTATCAGCTTAAGGAGTTTTGGGGCTGAGGCAATGGAATTTTCTAAATATACAATCATGTCATCTGCAAACAAAGACAATTTGACTTTCTTTCTATTTGAATACCCTTTATTTCTTTCTCTTGCCTGATTGCCCTGGCCAGAATTTCCAATACTATGTTGAATAGGAGTGGTGAGAGAGGGCATCCTTGTTTTGTGCCAGTTTTCAATGGGAATGCTTCCAGCTTTTGCCCATTCAGTATGATATTGGCTATGGGTTTGTCATAAATAGCTCTTATTATTCTGAGTAACGTTCCATCAATACCTAGTTTATTGAGAGTTTTTAGCATGAAGCGGTGTTGAATTTTGTCCAAGGCCTTTTCTGCATCTATTGAGATAATTGTGTGGTTTTTGTCATTGGTTCTGTTTATATGATGGATTACATTTATTGATTTGCATATGGTGAACCAGCCTTACATCCCAGGGATGAAGCTGCCTTGATCGTGTGGATAAGCTTTTTGATGTGCTGCTAGATTCGGTTTGCCAGTATTTTATTGAGTATTTTCATATTGATGTTCATTGGGGATATTGACCTGAAATTTTCTTTTTTTGTTGTGTCTGCCAGGTTTTGGTATCAGAATGATGTTGGCCTCATATAAAATGAGTTAGGGAGCAGTCCGTCTTTTTCTTTTGTTTGGAATAATTTCAGAAGGAATGGTACCAGCTCCTCTTTGTACCTCTGGTAGAATTTGGCTGTGAATCCATCTAGTCCTGGGCTTTTTTTGGTTGGTAGGCTACTAATTACTGCCTCAATTTCAGAACTTGTTATTGGTGTATTCAGGGATGTGACTTCTTCCTGGTTTAGTCTTGGGAGAGTGTATGTGTCCAGGAATTTATCCATTTCTTCTAGATTTTTTAGTTTATTTGCATAGAGGTGTTTATAGTATTCTCTGATAGTAGTTTGTACTTCTGAGGGATCAGTGGTGATATCCCTTTATCATTTTTTATTGTGTCTATCTGATTCTTCTCTCTTTTATTTATTAGTCTGTCTAGCAGTCTATCAATTTTGTTAATCTTTTCAAAAAACCAGCTCCTGGATTCATTGATTTTTTTGAAGGGTTTTTCGTGTCTCTGTCTCCTTCAGTTTTGCTCCGATCTTAGTTATTTCTTGTCTTCTGCTAGCTTTTGAATTTGTTTGCTTTTGCTTCTGTAGTTCTTTTAATTGTGATGTTAGGGTGTCGATTTTAGATCTTTCTTGCTTTCTGATATGGACATTTAGTGCTATAAATTTCCCTCTTAACACTGCTTTAGCTGTGTCCCAGAGATTCTGGTATGTTATCTCTTTGTTCTCATTGGTGTCAAAGAACTTACTTACTTCTGCCTTAATTTCTTTATTTACCCAGTAGTCACTCAGGAGCAGATTGTTCAGTTTCCATGTAGTTGTGTGGTTTTGAGTGAGTTTCTTAATCCTGAATTCGAATTTGATTGCACTGTGGTCTGAGAGACTGTTTGTTATGATTTCCGTTATTTGCATTTGCTGAGGAGTGTTTTACTTCCAATTATTGGTCAATTTTAGAATAAGTGCTATGTGGTGTGAGAAGAATGTATATTCTGTTGATTTGGGGTAGAGAGTTCTGTAGATGTCTACTAGGTCTGCTTGGTCCGGAGTTGAGTTCAAGTCCTGAATATCCTTCTTAATTTTCTGTCTCATTGATCTAATATTGACAGTGGGGTGTTAAAGTCTCCCACTATTATTGTGTGGGAGTCTAAGTCTCTTTGTAGGTCTCCGAGAACTTGCTTTATGAATCTGGGTGCTCTTGTTTTGGGTGCATATATATATTTAAGATAATTTGCTCTTCTTGTTACATTGATCCATTTACCATTGTGTAATGCCCTTCTTTGTCTTTTTTTATCTTTTTTGGTTTAAAGTCTGTTTTATCAGAGACTAGGATTGCAACCCCTAAGCAGCTTTAGTTTTAAAGCTGCTTTTATGTTTTTAGATATCTTTATAGCAACACCCCATTCCTGGTACCAGTTTTTTGTGTTTGTCTGTCCCCATGACTCAGATACCTCTTGCTAGGCTCCATCTGCAGTATTAGAGATCAAGTTTTAACATGGGATTTGAAGGGGACAAATATGTAAACTATATCAGGCACTAATCCCTCTCATGACAGTACAATGCATATGACCAAATAACTTCCTAAATGCCCCACCTCTTAATACTGTAGCATTGAGGATTAGGTTTTAACATGAATTTTGGGGGAACATAGACATTCAGACCATAGCAGGGATGTATTCTGTATATAATCTCTCTCTCACTTAACAGATAGTACCTTCCTGAAGAGAAGTTGCCTCTTAAATCAAAAGTTTATTTTGTGTCCCTATCCATTATAGGCAGTATTATTGATGCTGGGTATACAGTATTGAATAAAACAGAAAAAGTTGCTGCCCTATTCCAGTGGGGGGAAAACGGACAGTAAGACAAAAATAATGTATCAGGTGGTGGTAAATTCAATGGAGAGAAATAAAGCAGAATGTGAGAACAGGGACCTAAAGGAAGAGGAAACAGGCTATACATGTATCTGGGGAAAGAGCCTTTTTGTGTTCTCCACAGCATAGTGGCTTATACATAGTAGGCATTAAATATTGTTTTAATTTTTCTTATAAATCTAAGGTTGAGGGATAGGACAGCTACTTTATATAATTTATATGTTAATGTCTATCTTAAACTCATAACTTAAAAAAAATTCTCAATGAACAGATTTGTTTTAGAATTTAAACTTCAACATGTTCATTACACATTTGAAGCTATGACTTGTAAGCTCTCTTAATTTTCAGTAACCAAATCTATAAATGTGCCTACATCCTTACTAGTTCTTCCTTCTAGTATACAACTTCAGTGGAAGAGATACTGCTGTCTCTTTTCAAAACGAGTTTCTTCTTCTGTGCTCCATTTCAAAGACTTTGCTCATTTTTTATATTTATTCTTACCTTTTCTTCTACTTTTTCTTCTTTTTAGGTTGCCTCCAATCAACATTTAAACATGCTTAAGATCAAATTCTGTAAAACATACACAACCTGTAACAACAAAGGAACAGAACTTAGCATTAACTGTGTTCCACTCCTGCAACTATGTATCTCAGTTTCTTTGTAGCCAATTTCTTGAGCAAGATGTCTAATAGTGGCTGACTTCATTTCTTTATATTCTACTTACCCTTGAACCCAATCCAAACTAAGGCATGTCCGGCTTCACTCCCACCCACTCTACCAAAACTATTTTTATCCAAAGGATACTTTAAATCTGCCCATTCCCTGACTTTTTTCTTTTTTTCTTTTTTATTTTTTTTTAACAATGTTTGACACATTTGACCACACCTTCCTCTTCTTCCCTTGGCTTTATTAAAGGACTCTT
Source organism: Homo sapiens (assembly GCF_000001405.40). Lineage (NCBI taxonomy): Eukaryota > Metazoa > Chordata > Mammalia > Primates > Hominidae > Homo > Homo sapiens. Next base: position 107,080,585 of record NC_000012.12, on the reverse strand, counting down.
CTGTGCTTTCCTGCCAGCGCTATTAGTGTTCTTCCTTAGCTTCTCCTTTTCTGTTCAACCTTTAAATGCCCCTGAGGTCTGTGATCTCCACCCTCTTTTCATTTCACATATTTCTAGGCAATCTTATCTCCTCTCATAAAGTCCGTTACCATTTACTCGTCTATGCCCAGAATTCTCAAGTTAGTGTCTTCAGCGCAAATCTCTTTCCTGATCCCCGGACGTGTGTGTGTGTTTGTATGTATCATATATACCCATTTGCCTGCTTGAATATATGACATTACCTCAAACTCAGCTTGTCCAAAACAGAGTTCATCTTCATCCTTCTCTATTGCACAAAAACAAACAAACCCCAAACTGAGTTTTCCTGTGTTTTCTGTCTTCACAAATGATACTTCCATTTGCCCATTTGAGTCCTTACTGTGTGCCAATTACTTGCTAATTTCTGTGGATAGCATGATAGTCAACAGGTAATTTCTCTGCCCTCAGGGAGTTTATAGTACAGAGGAAGATTTATTCAGAAATAAAATAGTTACATAAATACATTCTTCCCTCTCCATTGTCTCTTTAGCCCATATCACCATTCTCTTTGCCTAGGTTGTTTGGGTAGCTTACAAATCATTGTCCCCCTTGCCCTTCTCTAATTCATTCGCTACACAGCAAGTAGAGTGATCTTTTTAAAATTGCAAATCTGGTCATGTCATTTATGCTTTAAAACCTTTTAATGACATTTCTTTACCCTTAGGTTAAAGTTCAAAAAGCCATAGCATGGTTTCAAATCCTTGTGTAATCTGGCCCTCTGCTTCTTTCTAGTCTCTGGTGATTATTTCACTGAGGCAGTTAAACTGAAACTTGAAGTGTAAAGTGGATCTTAATAAGCAAGGCATGGAGGGAAGGGAATTCCAAGCAGAGAGAAGCAAATTCCAGACTGAAAGAATAGCTTAAGGAAAGGCACAGTATTCTGATAGTGGTGAGGAGGCTGATGTAGCTGAGTCATGTGGTGCATGAAAAGATAGGAGATGTTGTTTAGTACTTTTTTGTTTGCTAGTTGGTTGCCTGAGTCAAACAGGCTTAAGCAAAAAGAAAGTTTATTGGTAGATGTAATTGAATAACCTAAGGGAAACTGGCTTTGGACATCGCTTGATACCAGGACTCAGAAGATGTTACCAGGATCACATTTCTCTTTGCATCTCTGAACTTCACTTATTCTGCCTTGACTTCTCAAATAGGCTGTCCTCTGGTGGCAAAATATAGCAATAACAATGGCATTTATCTCAGCAAAAAGCATACACCTTTGGCCCAGAAGTCTCAGCAAAAGTCTTATGGCACTTCATTGGCTCTTTTGGGCCAGTTTCTGAACTAGTCATCATGAGTTTATGATTGTCTTAGCTGAAGTGTGCTTCACTGGTGGAATCAGCTTGACTGAACTGAAGTAACTGAAGTAAAATGAGTAGGAAGTAGGTGGATATCCTAAAACAACATTGTTGCCTATTATATAAGAACTCAGATAAGTGGGTATAGTTCAGAAAAGCTGCCCTTGTTTGGGGAAATATAAATTTAGCAGCTGAGTGAATGTTAGAAGAGAGAGTCAAGATACTAGTTTGGAGACTTTATCAACAGTTCAAGTGAAAGATAATACAGGCTTAAACAAGGGGAAAGGCTATGAGGAAGGGGAAGATATAAGAGGAAGCCTGTAGAGGTACAGTGAAAAGCTTAGGTGACTGCCTGGAAAACACAGTTTCACAGAGGAGGAGGGTGAGGGAGAAAGTAGAGTGTAAGATCCTCATACTTTGTGCCTCTGTGACAATTAGACATTAAGTTAGGAAACACAGAAATAGACCATAGGTAGGTGAGGAAAAGAGTGAGTTTAGGTTGTTGACCAATTTGAAGCACTGCTAAGATATCAACATGAGAAATGGAGAAAATAGAAATTTCACTCTGGGAATTATAGACATTGGATCTGTGCATATGGGAATAATTCCTGTATAAGTAATGGATGAAGCATGCCTGGATGAGATTGGATACAGCCATAAAAAGTTATGTTAGTCAAAAGCCCAGTGAAAAAACTCAGCGAATACTATGTTTAAGATGAATAGGAGCTGGTGAAGGAGGCGAAAGAGAACCAGAGAGGTAAAAAGAGGATCCAGGAGAGTGCCATATTATGGAAACTGAATGTGGCAAGAGTGATTTTACCTTGCACTACAGGAGGCAGGTTAGGATGAGTTTTGACAATTATGTAGGAAAAATTATCAAAGACTTAGAGGTGGGAAAAGGAAATTATTGCATATCTAGAATGCTAGATGTTGTTTAGAGGACCCTCCAGGAGTTATATGATTCTGATTAAGGGATATGCATCTTTGTATTTGATTGACAAGGCTGTTTCACAACTCTGTAAAAAGGGATAAAAGTTAAGTTGTAGAAAACTGAAAGCAGTACAAATGTTTTCTGCCCATACCAATGCAAATTATGTTTGTGCCATGAAAATGAATTTTGTAAGTTGAGAAATAGTAAATCAGATTCTTATTTGAATCAGTTTTAACATCTTATTTCTTTCTTCCTTAATCAATGAATTACGTAAATTTTTTGCCAGATCTTCATTTCATGTTTGTATGAGAGTCATAATTTTACTGTTTTGAAAATTATACTTTATCTGTTACAAAGGCTTTTGGTGAACTTTGAGATAACACTTCAATGTAGGTGTAAGGATAGAAATCAGATTGTATAGGATGTTAACAAAGGTGTGTGTAGCAGGTGAGGGGAGGGGAGTGGGGGAAATGATTCAGGTTGGAATGTGAGGGGGATTTTTTATGAGAGAGGTAAGAAATTAGCTCAAGGCATAGGTTCTGAACAGGCTGAGGAAAAGTGAATTTTGGTTAGATAACTAGACTTTTAGTCAAGACTGAGCATAGTGTATTCACAGGATGATAAATAAATAAAATATATAGATAACTTTTAGTCAAGACTGAGCATAGTGTATTCACAGGATGATAAATAAGAAATAAAATATATAGATAAGGTGAGGCCTGAATATGTAATTCTTTGAATGACAGACTGAAGTAAGTTTAGAACATCTGACTGTACTAAGACCTACTTTATAATTCTTACTTTCCTATTAAATGGCCGTGGGACTGACCTTGGGTAAATCTCTCTCCCTTCATTTAGTCATTCAGGAAAACATTCAGTGAGAGCCTGTTATCTACCAGGTACTGTGCAAGTCATTGGAGATACAAAGATGAAGGTTATGGTTCTTGCCTGTAAGGAAACTTTCACACCACTAAAGGACAATTAGAACATACAATGTTAAAAAGGACCTCTGTGGAAATCTGCAAATACAATTGTGAAAGCACAAAGGAAAGACAACTTTAAAGGGGTGGGAAAAGGGGTAAAGGTGATGAGTGTGAGTTCTAGAGGTGTGTGTGTGTGTGTTTGTGTGTATGTGTTGGGGAGTGCTGGGTGTGAGATATGAGACTGAGAGAGGAGGAATTCTAGAATGCTTCTGTAGTAGGCCGTTCTTGCATTGCTATAAGGAAATACCTGAGACTGAGTTATATATAAAGAAAAGAGGTCTAATTGGCTCATGGTTCTGCAGGCTGCTCAGGAAGCATAGCAGCGTCTGCTTTTGGGGAGCCTCAGGAAGGTTACAATCATGGTGGAAGGCAAAGGGGGAGCAGGCATGTTGCATAGCAAAGGCAGAAGCAAGAGAGTCGGGGGGAGGTGCTACACACTTTTAAATGACCAGATTTCATGAGAACTCGCCATTGTAAAGATGTACCAAAAGGGATGATGCTAAATAATTCGAGAAACCTGCCCTTTTGATCCAGTCACCTCCCAGTAGGCCCCACCTCCAACACTGGGGATTACATTTCAATATGACATTTGGGCAGGGACACATATCCAAATTAGATCAGCTTCTTGAAGATACATGAGTCAGTGTACTTACATGAAAAGAGAGGTTTTTTTTTTTTTTTTTCTTTGAGGCAGGGTCTCATTTTGTCACGCAGGCTGGAGTGTAGTGGCATGATTTCAGCTCACTGCAACCTCTGCCTCCTGGGTTCAAGGTGATTCTCTTGCCTCAGCCTCCCGAGTAGCTAGTGGAATTACAGGTGTGTGCCACCATGCCTGGCTAATTTTTGTATTTTTAGTAGAGATGGAGTTTCACCATGTTGGCCAGGCTAGTCTTGAACTCCTGACTTCAAGCAATCTGCCTGCCTCAGCCTCCCAAAGTGCTGGGATTACAGGCATGCACCACTGCGTCCAGCCTGAAAAGGGAGTTTCTAAGAAATCGTCTCTTATGTGACACCATTGGAACCTGCAGTTACTTGAAAAAGGAAATCATTTAAAAAAAAAATAGAAAAGTGTGCATTAATTTGATAGTTTTTGATGTAAGGCTTGATTCCAGGTCTGAGTTCTTTTGCTCACTTCTTTATCCACATTTATTCTTTAGGTGATCTCATCTAGTTGCATACTTGAATACCTGATAATTTCCTATCGTGTATTACCTGCACTGGCCTCTATCTTGAATTCCAGATTTGCCTATCTAGTATTTTTACTTGGATTCAAAATAAGCATCTTAAGCTGATTTTGTCTCCATCTCCTCTACCTCCCATGGCTTCTCTATATCACAGTAAATGTCAACATTCACCTAGTTCTGCAAAAACCCAGGAGCTACCCTTTCTTCTTTTTGTACTCAAACTTCATATCTAGTCCTAAAACAATTGTTAGAGCTTTTCCCTTCAAATTAAATCTCATATCCATTCAAATAACACCCTCCCACTGCTATCATAATATCCAGGCCACCAGCATTTTTTACAAGATTACTGTAAAAGCCTCCTAAGTTTTCCACTTCCATTTTTGTGCCTACCTTTCCCATCTGTTCCATGTGGAATTCAGAGTAATATTTTTAAAACCATAGTTAGGTCTGGTGGCTCAATACGTGGCACAGGGTGGGTGTCAGTATGTCCTTGTGTATTGAATGTATAAATGAGTATTGTTCTGCTGATTTTGCTGATGGAATTTCAAGTTGACTTTCCTGTGTAAATTACACCCGCAGACTGATATTGCCTATTATTCGTTAAAGTTGATTAAAACCTTCAAGACCATGGTGAAGCAAACTTGAATACAGAATTCCTTTAGTACATTTTTTTCTTCCCATCTAGTTTAGCTGTCTTATCTACAGATAGTTAATTAGACAAACTTTTTTGGTGATTCACCTTTTATCAAGGCTTTTTGAAGCATTCAGTTTCATTTTCTATAAAACTTTACTTTTTATATTCTCAGTTTATATAAAATTTAAATTACGTGATGAAAATAAGTTCAGCTGGCATGAACGTGTTTGAGAAACACAACTGACTCTTCATATGTCTAGAACTTTAACTGATTGGAATAGGAATTGGACTTATTAGAAAGCAGTAGCCTATTTTATTTTTGTCAAACTGAAATTAGCCATGTCCATCAGTCAGCATGGCCTCTGTATGCTTTGCACAGGGTATAGAAGGCATTTGGTTATTTGTGTGAATTGATAAATTGGAGATCACTAGTAGTTTTTGTTTTTTGTTTTTTGTTGTTTTTTTTTTGAGACAGAGTTTCACTCTTGTTGCCCAGGCTAGAGTGCAGTGGCACGATCTTGGCTCACTGCAACCTCCACCTCCTCGGTTCAAGCGATTCTCCTGCCTCAGCCTTCCAAGTAGCTGGGATTATAGGCATGCGCCATCACACCCGGCTAATTTTTGTATTTTTACTAGAGACGGGGTTTCATCATGTTGGCCAGGCTTTTCTTGAACTCCTGAACTCAGGTAATCCACCCGCCTCAGCCTCCCAAGGTGCTGGGATTACAGGCGTGAGCCATCGAGCCCAGCTTAGTAGTTTTAATGTATGTTAACTACATAATTGCCAAGGTCCCTTCTAGTTCTAGAATTGTATGATTTCTGTGATGGTAATACCAAAATAATTTTTAGTATTATAAAAGATATAACGATAGGTTTTTGAAATTTGACATAAAATTCATTCTCAAATATTTTTATTTGGTTTGGGTTGCATATTTTAAATAATTGGATATTAGGGTTTCCTAGAGATTAAAAAATGCTATTTAAAAAAAAGAGAATTCTATTGACTCTGGTTACTTTTGCCATTTTTATCTTATCCTATCTGTCTTCTCAATAGCAACAGCAACAACAAATTAAATATCTTAATGACACGTATTTTTATTTAGTTTTCTTGTTTTAAGTGATGTAGGCCAGCAGGAGTTAAAAGGCTGTAATAGAATGACTTAATATTAAATTACTGTGCTACAGTGTATATGTCTTAGAGAATGTGCTGCCAAGCCTTTTATTGGTATTATGTATGGTATGGGGTCAGATTCTAATTTTGAGGTTAAAATACCCTTTTTAATTGTCTGGCTTAGTGTTAATATTTTTTGCAATTAGGGGCATAATTTGGGGTAATGTGGGAATAGAAAGGAAAGATTGAATGAAAGGAAGATAATTAAAAAGAAGAATAACCATCAGAGTAGAGTGACATGTAGGTTTTTGGAAAAGGAGGAGTCACTGATTATATTTTGAGATCCCATGAAGAGAGACATAACAAAGTTAAAAGGAACTAGTTTAGAAATTAGGATAAGCTTAATTTTAGGTGTATCAAAGTTTGTTTTAGGTGTATTGAGGTTAGGGTAACAGTGGGATATCCCGATACAGTTGGTTAGCAGGGACTGAAGCTAGGAAGAGAAGTTGGGACTAGGTGTGTATTTTTAATTGGAAACAGTCTTTTGAGAGGTGATAATTAAAATTAGGGTAATGGGTGAGAATACTGAAAGAGGAGCATATAGCAAGACAAAAGGAATGGCAGTCTTTTCTATTTTTTTGAAACGGACTCTGTCTCAATTGGTCGCCCAGGCTGGAGTGCAATGGTGCAATCTTGGCTCACTGCAACCTCTGTCTCCCGGGTTCATGCAATTCTTCTGCCTCAGCCTCCCTGGTAGCTGGGATTACAGGCATGCACCACCATGCCCAGCTAATTTTTTTGTGTTTTTAGTAGATACAGGATTTTACCATGTTGGCCAGGCTTGTCTTGAACTCCTGACCTCAAGTGATCTGCCCTCTGCAGCCTCCCAAAGTGCTGGGATTACAGGCATGAGTCACCGTGCCCAGCCAGTAATGGCAGTCTTTATGATTATGATTTTTAAAAAGTATATTTTAGGCCAGGCACAGTGGCTCATGCCTGTGATCCCAGCTGCTCAGGAGGCTGAGGCAAGAGGATCAGTTGAACCAGGGAGACAGAATGCAGTGAGCCGAGATCACGCCGCTGCACTCCAGCCTGGGTGACAAAGTGACACTTCGTCTCAAAAAAAAAAGAGAGAGAGAGAGAAATAAAAAAATATATTTTACATGTTAAACTTTTTTGTATTCAAACTTTTATGGTTTATATCATTAGCGATAAGCCTCAATGCCCCTTTCCCACCCAAAGATGATATAAATATTTACAATGTTTTTGTAATACATTTAGAGTTTTATTTACACATATAAATCTTTGTTCCATCTAGAATTTACATTGACACTGAGGTTACACTCTAACTTCTTTTTCCCCAAATGATGATCATTTTCCACAAAATGATGGCCAGTTATTCCAACACTACTTATTGGATCATTTCCAATTCAGTGAGGTAAGTAAATATAAGTGTTAATGTAAATTTTTAATATTTTACGATCATTTCTAGGCTATTTAATTTTTAAAATGTGGATTTTTTCTGATGAAAAATACAATCATAGTAAAGAATTCAAATGATACGAAGAAAGTGTCTGTGTAATATCACCCATAAGAAGATAAGAAATACAACACTGGTAGTAGTTTTAAAATATGAAAATATAAATGTGCATATATGCACATATGTGTTAATATGAATGTGTGTTTACATGGAAACTTTGACATCTCTATTCACAAGTGTGATTAATTCATATTTTTCTTTTGGGAGCTAATTTTGTTAATTTTAACAATGAGATCATGTTAGCCTTATAGTAACTTCCTATCCTTTTTATGCCCCCAACAGTATAAATAACATAGGACTTCTGTGTTCCATAAACCTTTGCTAGAATTCACCTATAAAGCAATTTGGGTCAGGGGTTTTTGAGAGGAGTCAGATTATTTTTATAGCAATTTCGAGATTCCTGTCCAGTCCACACATCAAACTGCCCACATCAAACCCCTAGTTAATACATGAATTTAGCCTCTAATTTAGTAGCTGGTGACTCTGTAATCTACTTTCATTCTTTCTCCTCTGGAAGGTTTATTGAGTCAATAATTGATACCTGAGCTAAGCTTTGCCCATTTGGAATTTGGAAAAGGGATGCAGAGACTGTAGTCAGTTGGTATTGGGCCTTGGCACTGAGTAGTCATAAAAAATAGATATCTTTGCATAGAAAGGTGGTTGTAGAAAGACAAAAGAATGAACACATATGCAGAAAGGAACAAACAAGAGAGAATTCAATTCCAAAAAGGAGTTGGGTTCTAACATTCCAGAATCCTTAGACTTGACTATACTACTTGAGCACAAGTTTCCATGAAATACTCCTATATTCTTCCAATGCTTTTTTTTGTTTGTATGACCTAGTTTGAGTAGATTTCTGTTCATTGCAGTGAAACAATTCCTGACTTAGATCATCTTTGACATACTTTTTATTTCATTTGTGTTTATTGGTTATTCTAGGTTTCTTGTCAGTCAGTTTGATAATTGAATTTGCTATTAATGCATATTTTCCTAAAATACCTGCCGTTAAATCTAGTCTTCCATTCTCACATGTATTGCTAAAGTTGTATACCATATCTTTTATTTAATAAGTACCACAATTGCTATGATAGTCCCTTTCTTACATTACTAATAGATATTTATTTTTTTCTTCTTTTTCTTTCTTCGACTTGCTAGATGTTTTTATACTTTATTGATCTTTTCAAAGCATAACTCCTATGGAAGGAATAAAGAATATTGTCAAAGAGTTACCTCCACAAAAAACATCAGGCTTAGATAGTTTCATAGTTGGGTTCTACCAAAGTTTAAGAAACATGTGACTTCAGTGATATATAAATTGTTCTAAAACATGATAAAAGAAGAGGAAACAATGTGTAGAATTATCAAATAGGATACAGAAGCATATTTTAAATGTATATCCTACATTCATGTTGAAAATGCAGGAATAATTCAGTATTGGAAATATATTAATATGTCATTATATTAGTAGATCAGAGTATAATTATATGATCACTTCCATAGATGCTGAAAATACTTTTGATAAAGTTCAATATTTATTCCTAATAAAATTTAGTACTAAACCAGAAATAGAAGGCTACCAAATCAGCTCAAAAGTCAGCATCATGCTTAATGGGTAAAATTTAGAAGTTCTACAAAGTCTGGAGCAAGATACAAATGCTGGCTGTCATCACTATTACTTATTGTGCCAGAGGTACTAACTAATGCAGTATAAAAGGTATAAAAATGGAAGAGGAAGTAAAATTTATTGCTGTTTTTAGGACAATATTATTATATCCCAAAATATCTAGGAGAATCAACTGAAAAGGTACTATTAATAATAAGAGAATCCAGGCCGGGCGCTGTGGCTCACGCCTGTAATCCCAGCACTTTGGGAGGCCGAGGCAGGGGGATCACCAGGTCAGGAGATCGAGATCATCCTGGTTAGCACGGTGAAACCCTGTCTCTACTAAAAAAAAAAAAAAAAAATTAGCCAGGCATGGTGGCAGGTGCCTGTAGTCCCAGCTACTCAGGAGGCTGAGGCAGGAGAATGCTGTGAACCCGGGAGGCAGAGCTTGCAGTGAGCCAAGGTCGCGCCACTACACTCCAGCCTGGGCGACAGAGTGAGACTCCATCTCAAAATAAATAAATAAATAAATAAATAAATAAATAAATAAATAAATAAATAAAAATAAGAGAATCCAGCGATGTGGCTAGATACAATTTTTATTAGCCTTAGGTGCAGAGAATTAGTTTAAGACATTATCATTACAGGTTTATGTAAGGTCTCTTCCTTGTTTTCTTTCTTTAGCCTCCTTTATTCCTATTTGAATTTCCCTTCTCCCATACATAAATGCATTGTTTGTTATACAGTATACATTGTGGTTATATTCTAATATATTTATCTTTTTGTAACTGTGTGTTCATGCAAAACAGATATTGTTTTATGTGCATTTATTTTTAACTTACATAAATGCTATTGTGTTGTATTTCTTATTCTGTTTTTTTCCCACAAGCACTAAATGTCTAAGATGTACTCATGTTGATACTGCTAATCCATTGCTTCTAACAGCTGTATAATGCTCTGTGAGACCTTTACCATATTATATCTGTTATCTTAATGATAGCTACCTGTTTACTTCTAGTTTCCTGACACCACAAATTGTTCTGCACTGAACATCCTTGCACATGACTCTGTGTTAAGTATTTGTTTGGAGTGTATATACAAATCAATAGAATTGCTGGGACATAGGTTAGCCCCATATGTAGTTTGACTAAGAAATGCCAGATTGCTATTCACAGTAGCTGAACAAGTCTATATTCCCACTAACAATGCATGAGTCTTCTCATATCCTTATGTCCCAACATTTAAAAATTATCCAGCTTTATAAACTTTACTGATCTAATAAGCATAAACTGATGTTTGATTCTTTTAATTTGTACTTTTCTAGTTACTAAGTTTGAGCATTTCTTATACATATTAGTTTTGGAGGTTTTTCTTTCTGTAAATTACCTTTTAATTGTCTTGTTCATTTTTCTGTTGATGTGCTGTCTTTTCAGTTTTATTTGTCGAAGTTTAAAGTATATATATGTATATATACTTTATATATATACTTAATATATATTACATATATACTTTATATATATACACTATATATACACTTTATATATATACTTTATATATATATACTTTATATATACTTTATATACTTTTTATATATATACTTTATATATATATACTTTTTATATATATACTTTATATATATATACTTTATATATATACTTTATATATATATTATATATATACTTTATATATATAATATATATATAACAAACAATGGCTACAGGCACCTGAAAAGATGTTCAACACCATTAGTCATTAGGAAAATGCAAAACAAAACCACAGTGCAATACCACTTCATATGCACCAAAATGACTATTATTGAAAAAATTTTATACAAAAAATTAGCTGGGCGTGGTGGCGGGCGCCTGTAGTCCCAGCTACTCGGGAGGCTGAGGCAGGAGAATGGTGTGAACCTGGGAGGTGCAGCTTGCAGTGAGCCAAGATTGCACCACTGCACTCCAGCCTGGATGACAGAGCAAGACTCCATCTCAAAAAAAAAAAAAAAATTTAAACGGAAAGTAATTGTTGGCGAGGGTGTGGAGAAATTGGAACCCTTGTACATTGCTGGTGAGAGAATAAAATAGTACAGCTGCTGTAGAAAAATTTGCCATTTCCACAAAAAGTTAAACATAGAATTACCAGCAATATCACTCACAGAATTCCAAAAGAATTTAAAGCAGGCATTCTAACAAAAACTTATACATGAATGTCCATAGCAGCACTATTCACAATCACCAAAATGTGGAAACAACCTAAATGTCTGTCCACTGATGAATGGATAAACAAAATATGGTCTCTTCACATGATGGAACCATAAAAAGAAATGAGATACTACAACATGGATGTCAGACACATTCTAAGTGAAAGAAACCAGACACCAAAGATCACATATTATATGATTCCGTTTATATGAAACATCCAGAACAGGTGAATTCATAGAAACAGAAAGCAAATTAGTGGTAGCTCGGGGCAGGGGGAAAAATAGAGAGTGATTCCTTAATGGGTACAAGGTAATCAGTACAGGGTTTTCATTTGTGATACAAATGTTTTGGAACTAGATAGAGGTGATAGTCACAGAGCATTATCAATGTACTCATATGCCACTGAATTGTACATTTTAACATTATTAATTTTGGGCTGAGTGCGGTTGCTCATGCTTATAATCTCAGCACTTTGGGAGGCTGACAAGGGTGGATCACTTGAGGTCAGGAGTTTGAGACCAGCCTGACCAACATGGTGAAACCCTGTCTCTCCAAAAAAAATACAAAAATTAGCGGGGCATGGTGGCACATACCTGTAGTCCCAGCTACTCAGGAGGCTGAGGCAGGAATTGCTTAAACCAAGGAGGCGGAGGTTGCAGTTAGCCAAGATCATGGCACTGCACTCCAGCCTGGGCAAAAGAGTGAGACGCTGTCTCAAAGAAAAAATTATTAGTTTTGTATTATATGTATTACAATTTTACCTCAAAAAATTGTAATCAAATAGTTTCCCTATATATCAGAGATTGGCAAACTTTTAATGTAAAGGGCCAGATGATAAATATTTTAGGTTTTTCAGGCCATATGATCTCTCTCTCAGCTACCCACCTCTCCTATTGTAGCATGAAACTAATTAGGATGTCTGTGTTCCAGTAACACTTTATTTACAAAGAAGGCAGTGAGCTGGCTTGACCCATAGTTGGCTGGCCCCTTGCTACATATAAGCAACCAGTTAGCAAATATAACAGGAAGAAAAATTCTGTGTATAATAGCAACAAAGAGAAATACAACAATCTAGAGATAAATTCAGATACAAAGAGAATGATGATTGGATCTTGTTCTCTACTGAAGCTCTTGTTCTTATGGAATAGTTAGGAACTGACTGCCTTATGGCCCATGGAACATCCTCGGTTGAGAACATCTGTCAGAAGGAAACCTATAAATTATCATTCAGTCAGTTTCAAGATTCCAGCCTTGTCACAGACTCCTGTTCATTGTCTTCCTTCTCCTGTCCCCTACACTTTTCCAACACCTTCTTCCCCCCATTAATCTGCAGTCTGGTATCTTTCTGTATAGACTGTTATTTACTCCTAGTCATGGAAGGGCCTCTTTTCCAGATGTCACAGATTTAAAATGTGAAAAACAAAACTATAAAAGTAGTAGAAGAAAACTAAGGAAGTTTTTTTTTTTTGCCTTTGAAAAGAGAAAAGTCTTCCTAACATGCAGTCCTAAAATCAAAAAGAAAAGATTGGGAACTTTAGATAATCATAAAAGTTGTGCATGCCGATATCACCATGTCAGCATCTAAAGACAACATCCCAAGGGATAAAAGGGAGTCTGTGAGATAAAATTTGATTTCCTTAATATATAAAATTCTCTTGTGTATCAGTGAATTATGAGTTCCAGTAGATTGTACCTTTTGTCAATATAGAGTCGATAGTATAGACTAAGTAAGGGCTGGCAACTTTCTTGAAGAGTTAGACAGTTAATATTTTCAGCTTTGTGAGCCACACATAGGGTCTCTTTCTCATATTCTTCTTTTTTTTATGCAGCCCTTTAAAAATTAAAAGCCTTTCTTAACTTGTGGGCTATACAAAAACAGGCCACAGGTCAGATTTGTCCCATGGGCCATAGTTTGCAAACACTTCTGTAGACTATTTCCTATTTGTTTTATTGAGTCCTTTTGAGAGACCAAGGTGGGAGGATTGCTTGAGCCCAGGAGTTCAAGACCAGCCTGGGCAACATAGTGAGACTCAGTCTCTTCAAACAAACAAATACATAAATAAAATTAGCTGGGTGTGGTGACATGTGCTTGTAGTCGCAGCTACTCAGGAAGCTGAGGTGGGAGGATCACTTGAGCATGTGAGGTCGAGGGTGTGGTGAGCCATGATCTCCAGTGCCACTGTACTCCAGCCTGGGCAACAGAGCAAGGCTCTGTCTTGAAAAAGCAAAAACAAAACAAACAACAGCAACAACAACAAAATTAATCTAAGCCAGGCACAGTGTTGCATGCCTGTAATCCTAACAATTTGGGAGGCCGAGGCGGGTGGATGTTGAGCTCAGGAGTTCGAGACCAGCCTGGGCAATATGGTGAAACCCCATCTCAACAAAAAATACAAAAATTAGCCAGATGTGTTGGCACATGTCTGTAGTCCCATGTAGTCTCTGTTACTTGGGGAGCTGAGGCAGGGGGATCACTTGGACCTGGGAGGTCGAGGCTGCAGTGAGCCGAGATCGTGCCACTGCACTCCAGCCTGGGTGTCAAAGTGAGACCCTGTCTTAAAAAAAAAACAAAAAACAAAACTTAATCTACCATCTAGAAATAACCATCTTAAACATTATGTAAATCATTCTGGGTCTCTCTATGTACATTTAAAGATAAAAGGATGAATGGATATAGAGAAATGAAGATGGGATCATATTATGTACACCATTTTAAAATAAAAAGAAGTAAATTTACTTGAATATAACAAGGAAGTAAAATGTAAGAATAGCTAAACTTAGGATAAACTTTTAAAAATTATTTTAGAATTATGATTTTACTGAACTGTAAAGTTGGTGTTGGGGGATGGGCAATAATCTTCACTTTCCCAGTTTCGGACTAATCAAAGGAGAGATGCACACACACAAAGGAGGGTTGTACTGTCAGAAATAATATTCACTTTATTCCTAGTAAAAACTAGGTTGTACGACTGTGTAGTCAGAATGAGCCTTATGATACTTTATTTTTGAATTAGACTTATTTAGCAACATAGTCATAGACTGTGCTTGTCAACCACAGCAGGAGTGGATAATGCCTCTATAATTTTACTGCATGGGAGAATAGAAACTACATCCTATAGGGCTGGGTTGAGCATGTGTACTTCCTTGTTTTTTAATGCAGAGGCAGAGATAAATTGAAGATGTTCCTTTTACTTTTTCATCTTGGTTGTGAAGTAGAAATTGCTTCCATTTATGAAAATATGAAATGTTAGGAATAAGTGTCTCATTTTGGGCAACGTCCAATTTCCTTATCTTTCATGGTATGGATCATTTAACATACTGTATTTCTTTCTACCACCAGTGCCAGATTATTCTTACTTTGTTGAAGTTTATAATAGTTCTGTTTTATTTTGTTCTATACACCAAAATTCCCAGTTATTTTTACTCTTTTTTTTTTGAAACAGAGTTTCGCTCTTGTCACCCAGGCTGGAGTGCAATGGCGCAATCTCAGCTCACTGCAACCTCAACCTCCAGTGTTCAAGTGATTCTCCTGCCTCAGTCTCCCGAGTAGCTGGGATTACAGGCGTGCACCACCACGCTTGGTTAATTTTTTTGTATTTTTAGTAGAAACAAGGTTTCACCGTGTTAGCCAGGCTGGCCTCAAACTCCTGACCTCAGGTTATCCGCCCGCCTTGGCTTCCCAAAGTGCTGGGATTACAGATGTGAGCCACCGCGCCCGGCCTTTACTCCTTTTTTTTCAGACAGAGTCTCACTCTGTCGCCCAGGCTTGGAGTGCAGTGGCATGATCTCAGCTAACTGCAACCTCTGCCTCCTGAGTTCAAGCAATTCCCATGCCTCATTCCTGAGTAGCTGGAATTGCAGACGCGTGCCACCATGCCTGACTGATTTTTGTATTTTTAGTAGAGATGGGGTTTCACCATTTTAGTTAGGCTGGTCTTGAACTCCTGACCTCAAGTGATCCACCCCTCTTGGCCTCCCAAAGTGCTGGGAAAATGGTGTGAGCCACCATGCCCAGCCCATTTTTACTCCTAAATAAATTCAGAACTTATCAGCAGTCCTTTTATCTCCATTTATCTGTTGTTTGGCTTGATATCATTGTCCAGCTTTTGCCCCTCCCTCAAGTTCTTTTAGTTAGAGAATGTCTGTTGCTCCATTAGCATGATAATCTGGTGGAATTATTTTTCTTCTAACATATTTGTGAATACTTTTTCTATTCCATTTGTTGTGTTTACTGTTTGAAGTTTACTAATTAAGTTAGATTGGTTTTGACTCTCCTGTCTTTTTGTGGTTTCTGTCATTTCACTGTTTTTCTTTCAAATTATTGTGATCTCCTAGAAACACCTACATGTCATAGTTATTTGGCGATATTGTGTGGATTCTGCCCATTTCTATTTCTAAGTTATTCTGTATTTTGATTTTCAGTTTTGTTAGCTTTGTGGTCTTTTTATGTGCTTCCACTGTTGATGATTTTTGTCTTCTGTTTTAACTTTATTGAAGACTGCCAAACTGTTTTCCAAAGTAGCTATACCATTTTGCATTCTCACTGACTATATATGAGACCAGCTGCTCCTCATCCTTGTCAACATTTGGTTTTGTCAGGTTTGTTCTTTCCCATTCTAATAAGTATGTGGCGGCATCTCATTGTGGTTTTAATTTGCATTTTGTTGTTGTCTGTTTTAATGTACTTATTTTCCATCTATATATCTTTGGTGAAGTGTGTTACTCTAATCTTTTGCTAATTTTTTATTGGGTTGATTATTTTCTTATTACTGAGTTTTGAGAGTTCTTTATGTATTCTGGATATTGTCTCTCTTTGCCTAGTTTATTTCACTTAGCATAGTGTCTCTACATGCATTCACATCACAAATGACAGAATTTTCTGCTTTTTAAAGGTCGAATAGTATTCCATCCCGGTCGTAATAGAATATTTCTATAATTACAGAAAGTTCTCTCATAACCCTTTTTGAGTCAATCCATTCAGGGAACTTAAAAAAAAATAAGTATACTCTCAGTTTCTACCCCAGATCTATCAAAGAAGTAATATCCAGGGTGGCGCTTAGGAGATTTATTTTGCAAACCCCTGTCCCCCCAACCCCAGTATGAATATAATGAGCCCTGATTAAGAACTATGACCCAGCTGGACGCAGTGGCTCATGCCTTAATCCCAGCACTTTGGGAGGCTGAGGCGGGTGGATCACATGAGGTCAGGGATTCGAGACCAGCCTGGCCAACATGGCAAAACCCTGTATCTACTAAAAGTACAAAAATTAGCTGGGCGTGGTGGTGCATGCCTGTAATCCCAGCTACTCTGGAGGCTGAGGCAGGAGAATCACTTGAATCCAGGAGGCGGAGGTTGCAGTGAGCCGAGATCGCACCACTGCACTCCAGCCTGGGCAACAAGAGCAAGACTCTGTCTCAAAAAACAAACAAAAAAACAAAAACTATGACCCAGCTGGGTTATATATTGCATTTACCACATGGCCTAGATTACCCTGTAACATATTTGCCCCCTAGCCTGTTGCATTTTCTTTCCCTTTAATCTCCATGTCAGCATTGAAAAACTTGCCCCAAACATAGCTTTAAGTGGTGAGGCAGGGAAACAAAAGCAAAAGAACTCATATATTAGAAATCCCTAATTCTCCTGAGTTCCAGTCCTTTTTATCTATTTGTCAGGTAATTGACAACTCAACCAAGAATATTTAAAACCAAATTTATTTCTTAATTAATAGCGTATCCTCTCAGCTCCTAAGCTAGAAACTTAGTGCCATTTTTGAAGTTTCCTCCTCTTCTTGGATGTAAAAATCCTATTGGTTTCCACCTCTAAAACAGCTTTAAGTCTGTTCCATTTGTGTACACTGCATTTCTTGCTTAGAATATTAAGACTCCAAAATGGTGTCTTGAGTCTTCTTAATCCAAGATCTTCCTCACTGCTGGCACAGTTTTGTTTCTAAAATTGAGTTCACAAACTGGGAAATAAAGAGAACACCATGAAATACATATTTTTAACTTAAAAATAAATAAAGTTTTGTATAAAATCAAATACTACCTTATATACACAGTATCCTAGTATAGCAAATGTCAGAGAAGCAAATGATAGTCAAGTTTTAAATTGAGAAAAACTTAATCATTAATGAATGTTTTAGGAAGTAGGGAAATATTTGCCAAAAAGACTGAAATTCACTTATGAAGCTATTGACTGGACTGTTCTGGAAGAAGAGGCAGAATAAGCTATTTGACAATATTCTTTTATCGTATGACGTTATGGATAATCCTGTATTCATGGTATACAATGTAAAAGAGTCAGTACTGTTAAATACTGGCTTGAATATATATTTCCTTTTGTTTGAATGCAACTCCCAGTGTGCATTGTAGAAATGAGGTATTTGTACTTCTATGGTGTATGTATGAGGGAGATCTGCAAGATAACTTACTATTTTATCACAGAAAAACCAGGAGAAGAAATTCTTAGTTTAATGATTCTTTTGTGACTTTTTTTAGACTGGAAAATATATATTATGTCAGCGCTGACACAGTACTAGCTTTGAGCATCAAGGAAAAACTAAGTTTTAAGTGATAGTAGAATAAAATAACTTGTACTGTAATGTAATTGCTGACATTGTTTTATTCAGAAAAAAGAGTTGGTAGTCAACATTTTGCTTCCTAATCATGATTAATTGTTGAATGTAATACAAATTATGAATATAATTAAAACTATAATAATCAAGTGAAAATTGTTTCATCTTCCTGAAAATATCTTGAGTCAAGGCTTTGGTTTCCATTTCTGAAGTATATTATAAAAACAAAAGGTGCTCATGTAAGTTTTTGAAATATAGGATGAGATGAAAACATTTATTCATAATACGATGTCAATAAAAAGTTACTTCTGTGACTTTTTAGTTTCCGGAATAGAGCCAAAATAGGATTTTTAATGTTGAATGTTGAGGATAAGATAATAGGGTTTCTTTTCTTTTTTTTTTTCTTTTTTTCTTTTTTTTTTTTTTTTTTTGAGACAGGGTCTTGCTCTGTTGTCCAGGCTGGAGTGCAGTGGCACAACCTTGGCTCACTGCATCCGCCTCCACTTCCAGGGTTCAAGGAGTTCTCGTGCCTCAGCCTCCCAAGTAGCTGGGACTACACCACTGTGCCTGAGTAGATAATAGGATTTCTAAAGATTGAACTGTGATGGTGAAGTTTAACTCCTTCCCAGCATTGGATAATTTTGATCACTTGTTTAGAGAAAGAAATTAATGATATGCTAGTGGATATGGTAAGAAAAATGTGTATTTTTGTGCATTGAAATAGGATTTGAAGAAATATTTTCCAAGTCCAAATGCAACTAAAGAATGTATTAGGGGCCGGGCGCAGTGGCTCATGCCTGTGATCCTAGCACTTTGGGAGGCTGAGGTGGATGGATCACTTGAGGTCAGGAGTTCAAGACCAGCCTGGCCAACATGGTGAAACCCCATCTCTACTAAAAAGACAAAAAAATTAGCCGGGCGTGGTGGTGGATGCCTGTAATCCCAGCTACCCAGGAGGCTGAGGCAGGAGAATTGCTTGAACCTGGGAGGCAGAGGTTGCAGTGAGCTAAGATCACGCCACTGAACTCTGTACTCTAGCCTGGACAACAGAGTGAGACTCCATCTTAAAAAAAAAAAAAAGACTGTATTAGGAATCAGTTTATTACTATTTCCTGAATTGAAGCATTTGGCTGTCAGCTTTTTTAGGGTTCACTGAATTAACTTCTGAGTGCTTATAGTAGTGAGCCATCACTAATAAGGTAAAGAGACACTGGTAAAATATTGTGGTAGAAAACGATCATTGTTATTATTAATTAAAATATGTTTACATTTTATTAAACATTTTAATATATTTTCTATTAATTTACCTGAATTTAGTGGTCCACATATATGTTAAATAGTTGTTATAGCCATAGATCCTTTAATGAACTTTTTAATAAAAGTTTGATAAGAAATAGGAGTTTAATAAACACAGACTTCCAGCTTTTTGGGAATCTCAGTAAAGAGAAATAATTTTTTTTGTTTGTTTGATTTTTGTTTTTTGAGACAGAGTCTCACTCTGTCACCCAGGCTGGAGTGCAGTGGCGCGATCTCAGCTCACAACTTCCGCCTCCCGGGTTCAAGCCATTCTCCTGCCTCACCCTCCCGAGTAGCTGGGACTACAGGTGCCCGCCACCACACCTGGCTAATTTTTTGTATTTTTAGTAGAGACGGGGTTTCACTGTGTTAGCCAGGATGGTATCCATCTCCTGACCTCGTGATCCGCCCACCTCGGCTGGGATTACAGGCGTGAGCCACCACACCCGGCCCAAATTTTTTTAAAAAAGAGTTAAAAGGTCATAGTTTCTCTTCAGAAAGACCTGCGTTCAGTTCCTGATTTGAGCATTTACCCACTAACAACATGTGTGACCTGGGTAGGATATTTAACTTTTCTAAGATTGTTTCTTTATTTTTAAATGGAGATAATACTATCTTAGTCTGTTGTGTGCTGCTATAACACAGTACCAAAGACTGGGTAATTTTTAATGAACAAAAATATATTGCTTATGGGTTTGGAGGCTGGGAAGTCCCAAGATGAAGGGGCTGGCATTTGATAGGACCTTCTTGCCCCATCATCCCATGGCAGAAGAGCAAAGAGAGGACAAGAGAGAGAGAGCAATAGGAGGCTGAACTTGTCCTTAGATGAAGAACCCACTTCTGTGATAATGGCATTAATGAAATAGAGCCCTCCTGGCCTCATCACATCTTAAAGGTCCCACTTCTGAACGTTGTTGCATTGGGGATTAAGTTTCTAACATGTGCTTTTTGGGGGACACATTCAAACTATAGCACCACATATCTCATAGAATTGTTTGAGTATTAAATGAGATAAAGAAAAATACTTAGCATACTATATTGGGGAAATTATACTCAGTAAAATGTATATTAATATCAACGCATATAATATCAATATTTTGTTCTTTTATGTTACATGGATGGGGACTACAACTGATCACTCTGATCCAGATTAAATTTGATCTCAGATTACCTTTGATCTGCATAGTACCAAAATATTTATTTATATCACACATATTTATTAAAAACAGTATTATTTATAGATAACAATAAATTGGTGAATTACACTGAGATCACATAATAGGCTTGAAGTTAACTAAAGCCTGCAGGTCTTGTTCATTTCACCTGCTGCCAGGCTCTGTTGAGAGGATTTCTGAACCTAAATGCAGAGCCTTACCTGTGTAGATTCATTTTGTTTTCAACCCAGTGTTCAGTTGTTTGGTATAATTCTGAGTTCTGTCACTGTGAGATCATCATTACTATTTATGTTGATATAGTATACATCATCTACTGGTTGGATATCATGGATTTTGTTTGATATCTAAATTGGAGAACTATTTATTAAATTGTACAGCTGTATATAGATGACTTTAGAAGTCTTGTCCATTATTTTTTCAAACCTGTATTCATGATCAGGCATGGTAGCTCATGCCTGTAATCTCAACACTTTGGGAGGCTGAAGTGGGAGGATTGCTTGAGGCCATGAGTTCAAGACCAGCCTGGGCAACATAGCGAGACTTCATCTCTACTAAAAAAACGGAAAAAAAATTAGACAAGTATGGTGGTGCCCACTAGTTTCAGTACTCAGGAGGCTGAGGCAGAAGGGCCACTTGAGCCAGGGAGGTTGAGGCTGCAGTGAGCTGTGATCATGCTACTGCACTCCAGCCTGGGCAACAGAACAAGACCCTGTTTCAGAAAAATAAACAAAATCTCTATTCATGTCCCATTTTTGGTTATGATATCAATTTGGGGGGTTGTAACTTACATTAAAAATAATGAAATAGACTAGAAAATATTAGGCACATTATGTCATAAGAGCATTCTGTTTTATGAAACTTTTGTTTTAGTTACATACACCAAACACATACATGTTAGTTGCACTGGATCATTTTTCTTACTATTAATATGAGGGACTGCCAGAAAGTTTGAATGTCACTGATTTCGTCCACTTATTAGATGAGGAAATAGGTCCAGTGAGATTAAACCACTTGCCCTAGGCCATATCTGTGCTTACAGTGTCTTAATATAAAACGTGATTGATTAGATTCCAAATCCTTTTAGCTTTTTTGTATAATTGAAAATAATTATGAAATCATCAAGAGCTGTATGGGTACAGAAAGCCTCATGATAGGCTCATTGGTATTAGAATCCTTATTCCAGGTTAGAATTTATTCATTCAACAATACTTTATTGGCTACAATTCATCCAGTTAAAAATCTTATCAACATTCAGAATTTTCTGTCTTCGCAAAAAGCATCATTTACTTTGCCATATACTATTGTCATATGTTATTGCCAGTCTAATAATCAGAAAGTGAAAAGAGGTTATCTTGACATGACCTTATTAGTAATTCAGTTTTTTATTTTAGAACAAGCTCTGTTTTCTAAGTACTTCTAAACTTTGTTTAATAACCCTTTATGTTACCTTCCTGAGGAAAGTAAGCACACTTACTGGCTTGTAAGGAATTTTCCCCACTGATAGCCACCTTTAAAAATCCAACTTGTTTTTTCATCTCCAGTCCTGTAACTATTTTCTCAACTTGAGCTCATTCATTGTGTCTGTGGTGTTCTGTTACTCTTGCCAAGAGGTTTATCTTGGACTTTTGTTCTCTCTTTAGGTTTGTACACTCCTATTTAAAGTTTCTTATTGAAGCGTGTGAGTGTGTGTGTGTGCATCTGTGTCTGTGTGTATGTATTTACCAGGTGCTAGTGGAAGAGGACGTTCTGCATTCTCTCTGTCATTTATTAATATTATATTATTCTGAGTTATAGGCTTGTATTCTCTTTGTTAATTTTCTTGCCATGAGCATGAATTTTAAAAGGAGTTATATTCTCATCTTTAACTTTTTTTTAAACTTCAGTTTGAATATTCCTGACACTTTATATATTTGTTTGTTTTTTTATTTTTGAGACAGGGCCTTGCTCTGTTGCCCAGGCTGGAGTGCAGTGGTGTGATCATGGCTTACTACAGCCTCAAACTCCTGGGCTCAAGTGGCCTCAGCCTCCTGAGTAACTGGGACCACAGGCACATGCCACCATGCCCAGCTAATTTTTTTTGTTGTTTTTTTGGAGAGACGGCGTCTCACTTTGTTGCCCAGGCTGGTCTTGAACTCCTGGCCTCAATCAGTTCTCTTGACTCAGCCTTCCAAAGTGTTGCAGTTACAGGTGTGAGCCACCAGTCCTAACCTTAATTAACTCATTCTTATTTTTTCATTTATTTATTCATTCTTATAGAGACAGGGTCTTGCTCTGTCACCCAGGCTGGAGTACAGTGGCATGATGATAGTCCACTGTGGCCCCCAGCTCCTGGACTCAGGTGATCCTCCCACCTCAGCCTCCCAAGTAGCTAGGAGTACAGGCACATACCACCACGCCCAGCTAAGCTGAAACTTTTCTTAAAGGCTTTTGTTTGTTTTTGCAGTTTTACTCAATTATATGCCAGTCCTCTCATCTTTGAAATGTGGGTTTGTGAGAAAACTTTGGAGAGAAAGAAAGAGGCATTCTTCTATTCCCTCACTCCTGATGTTAGATTCCGCTCGTTTTACTCATTCACGAGTGGGTAGGCAGGGCTTTCTTTTTAAATTCCTGTGCCATATTGCCTCCTGATTTGCCAACCCATTATTTGCTGATTATTATTTATGCCTATTAAGTGACAGGCACTCCATAAATCTTTCTACTTGGCATTTATTGGGCTTTCTTTATACCATTTTCATTGTTTAGTCAGTGTAGATTTTTCAATCTTGTTAACAAAAGTATGACTAAGTATTGTACAATACTTACTGCAGTATATTATGGTGCTTATGTAACTATTTGCTCTTCTGTATTGTAAGTACTTAGGAGGCATCTAATGCAGTGACTTCATTTTCTCTTAATTTTTTCTTTTTTTTATTGTTACATGATAGCTTTACATATTTCTTACATACTAGACAATCATCTGTAATCACTTTACTTCTGCCTAAAATATATCATTTAGAATTTTTTTTAGTGACATCTTTTGGAGACAAACTCTTTTATCTTTTATCAAAATGTCTATATGTTTGTCTTAATTCTTGAAAGATATCTTCATGAATATAGAATTTTAGGTTTCTGGGTTTGTTACCAGTTTATTGAAAATATTCTGTTGTCTTCTGGTTACCTTTATTGCTGTTGGAAACTGTTTCTCCTTTGAATGTAATTTGTCATCTACTCCTATCCTCTAGCTGCTTTGAAGATTTTTCTCATTTTTTGAAAGATTATTTGTGGGAACTTCCTGAGGCCTTTTATAAGGTTGTCTTCCTCTAGAACAATCTTTTGGCTTCCCTGGGCCACATTGGAAGAATTGTCATAGGCTACACATAAAATATACTAACATTAATGATAGCTGATGAGCTTAAAAAAAAAAAAGTCTGTGCTTAAATCTCATAATGTTTTGAGAAAGTTTACAAAATTGTGTTGGGCCACATTCAAAGCTGACCTGGGCCACATGCAGCCCGCAGGCCACAGGTTGGGCAAGCTTGCTCTAGAATTTGAACTTACTTCTTAATGGCATTAGAGTCATTACCACTGCAGGGCACTTTAAATTTATTGTTTGAGATTTCTTGTGCCCCTCTGATGAAAATCCACCTAAGGGCTGGCCAGTGCTTACAGCCTATAAATTCTTTACTTTTTATTTATATTTTCCATCTTTTTCTGCTGAGTGCCAAGGCAACCTCACAAAAGGTGTGGAGGAGGATTTTGTTTCTGGTTCACGTCTTCCCTAACGATGTCTAGCCTTTTGGCATCTTGGCTTAATGTTTTGGAGTATCTTAGACTCTCTGTCTTGAGCTGGTTCTAGGCTTTAATTTCTGTCCTTGTACCGTGAGGCTGTCAAAACCACTATTAAGGTTCTCTGGGATTATTAGCAAATGTTCTTAGGGCAAAAACTAATTATATGTTCGACTTAGCTTTTGGTTTGGGAATTCCTTATTGTCTTGCCAACTCTTTAGGGAGATATTTTATATATCTTAACCAGTATTTTTGTTTGTTTAGACCAATTAGATTGATCTAAATAACCTAAGCTGTTACTTGAAATTGAAACCCATTTAGCTTTATTCTTGTTTGATATAAATATATGTAGTATCTATGGTTATTTTGCCCTTTTCTTTCATTCTTTTTTTTTTTGAGACAGGGTCTTGCTCTGTCTCCTACACTCAAGCCATTCTCCTGCCTCAGTCTCCCAAAGTGCTGGGATTACAGGTGTGAGCAATTACACCCAAACCTTTTCATTTTTGATATTGCTTATTTGTGTCTCCTACCTTTTGTCCTGATACATTTCATCAGAGGTTGGTTAGTTTTATTGTCTTTTCAGACAACCAACTTTATTTGCCTTCACTATGGTAGGTTTGTTTTTTATTTCAGAATGTGTTAATTTTATTTCTTTGTTCTGCTTTTTTTTACGCTAACTTATTGAAATGGAGTTAGCCTATTGAATACCCTATTTAGCCTATTCAATTTAATAGGCTGAATTCTTAGGCTATTTTTAGCCTTTCCTTTTTATCTGATACAATTATTTAGGTGTGTAAATATCCCTCTAATTGCTACTGTAGTTTTATTCCACATTCTCTTTAATGTGGTATTTTCATTATTCAGTTCAAAATATTTTCTAAATTTTGTTATGATTTTTTTCTTTGGTCTGTGAATTATTTAGAATTATATCCTTTGTTACTTATAATATTTATTATATTCCAAACATGCAAAGTTTTCTAATTGTCTTTTCAGTATTAATTTTTAGCATAAATACGTCAAGGTCAGAGACTATGCTGTAAATAATTTCAGTTCTTTGAAATTTATATAGACTTTTTTTTAAATGGTCCAATATATGCTGAATTTTTAAAAATGTTCCATGTGTATACTGCTGTCTTCATTGTTATTAGACGGGATATTCTTTGTTTTTCCATTAGGTCAAGGTTGTTAATAAGTTGTCCAAATCTTCTGTACTCATTTTTGGTCTGCTTATCTCAATTATTATCAGAAGAATGTTAAAATCCCCACAGTTTAATCATAGATCTGTCTTTATTTGAAGCTCTGTCATTTTTACTTTATACAATTTGAAATGCTAAAATTAAATATATGTTCTCCTGGTGAAGTGAAGGCTTTTGTTCTTATCATTACGAGGTGTGGAGAAATGTGTAAAATATGTATATATTTAGATGATTATTAACCTGGTTAAAGTCATTATGAACGTGACTTTATAGTATATTTCTTTACAGTTCATTATGTTTATAATTAATATAGCTATGGCAGCTTTCTTTGGTATGTTTATAGTCAACTTTTTTGTATCCCTTTTTTTTTTTTTCAAACTTTCTGGAGTCTTTTAGATGTCTCTTGTAAATAGCATATATTAACTTTTGTTTATTTAGTCTGATAGTTTTTAATTAATTGAAGCCTTTCGTTAGTCTGTTTACATTTGTTATAATTACCAAAGTATTTGGATTTATTGTCATATTATTTTGTGTTTTCTTTTTGTCCTTCCTGTTCTATTTTTTAATATTCTTTTAAATTCTGTTGTTTTAAATTTCATTAATTTCTTTCTAATAACTAGATTTATTAATTTATCAGACTTAATAAATTTATTAATTAATAAAATAATTACACATTATTTTAGCTATTCTTTTAGTGTTTACTCTAGAAATTACCAGAAGCACATTGGTTAATGTCTAAAGTTAATCAATAATTTTGTCTATTTATTAGATAATTCAAGGCCCTTGAAACGCAAACTCTAATTACCTTTCTTCTGATTTATATATTCTAATTCTGGTCATTTCTCTGTTTTTGTTTTTAAAAACCAAAATATATTATTCTTGTTTTATAAGGCCAGTATTCATTTACCCACATATCTACTATTTACAATGTTCTTTATTCTTCCTAGCATCTCAGCTCTTCCATTGGGGAACATTTTTCTTTTATCTCAGATGTATCTTTTAGAATTCTCTATAGAAAAAGACTGGTGATGGTAAACTCTCTTAGGTTTGTTTGAAGATACTGGCCTTGTTTACACTGGATATAGAATTCTAGGTTGACAGTGATTTTCTCTGAGCCTGTTGGGGATGTAGTTATAGTCAGCTGCCACTCCCACTCATACTTTTTTTGGGGGTAATATCTTGTTTCTTTTTGTCTAATTTTAAATATTCTCTTTCTCTGACATGTTCTGAAGTTTTTCGATGATGAATCTCCGTCTGAGTTTCTTTGTATTTACTTCTCTTGGATTTACAGTGCTCCTTGAAACCTGTCTGTTGCTATCTTTCATCAGCTTTGAAAGTTTTTCAGCTGTTACTTTTTCAGATCTTGCTTTGCCTTGCTTTATTTTCTCTTTTTGGAAATACATTTGTAGCCGGCCACCGTGGCTTATGCCTGTAATCCCAGCACTTTGGGAGGCCGAGGCAGGCAAATCACCTGAGGTTGGAAGTTCGAGATCAGCCTGACCAACATGGAGAAACCCCCTCTCTACTAAAAATACAAAAAATTTGTCGGGTGTGGTGGCACATGCCTGTAATCCCAGCTACTCAGGAGGCTGAGGCAGGAGAATTGCTTGAACCCGGGAGGCAGAGGTTATGGTGAGCTGAGATTGCGCCATTGCACTCCAGCCTGGGCAGCAAGAGTGAAACTCCGTCTCAAAAAAAAAATACATTTGTACGTGTGTTAGACATTTTTACTGCACTCTTTTATTTTCTTCATATTTTCCATCTCTTTGGTTCTCTGTACTTCATTTTTAAAAATGTCTTTTTATCAGCTATTCTATAAATGTTATTTTTAACTGTATCTGTTAAGTTTGGATTTCAATTATTATATTTTTCATATATGGAGATTTTCTTTGGTTCTTTTTCAAATCTGCCATTTCTTATTCCTTGCTTTTTTTACTTTAAACATGTTGATTAAATTATATGGGCTCTGCCTTCAAAATGTATCCAAGTTCGGACCATCTCATGCTTCCACATTAACTACCGAATAATTTCCCTTCAGATTCTCTGGTTCTCTCCTTCTTCCTCTTCAGCTCATTGTGATCCTTCATAATCACAAGTAGGATCAATCTCTAGTGGCTTATATCTCAGAGTAAAAGGCAGAGCCCTTACCATAGTCTACAAGATGTCATGTGAACTGGAACTTGATAACTTTCTAACCTAATAATCTCTTGCCACTCTTTCACTCTCTGTGCTGTGGCCATACTGGTTTTTTGAGTATTCTTTTTAAAGTGCCATGCATGTTCTTCACCTGTGTTGTACATCTGCTGTTCCCTCTGCACAAAATGTTTCCTTACCAGCACTGCTTGCTCTCCAACTTTCCTTCAGGTTTCTGCACAGATGTTCTATTATCAGTGAGTATTTTCTTGACTTGTTTCATATAAAATACCAGTCTCCATTCCTTTATTCCCTGAAGTCCCAGTTTCCCCTTTAACTTTATGTTATTCAGTTATTACCATTTGAACAGTTTGCTTTACTGTTTTTGTATTATTCTGTCTTTACTCCCTCTCCTTCTAGAATATTAGCTTCAAATTGTAGGAAGTTTGACTTTAAAAAACCACAGGTGTGTTTCTAATATCTAGTACAGTCTTTAGTACATAAGTTCTCAATAAATATTTGTTGAATAAATAAATGATTATAAAGTGTTATTCAAGGGACTGCCCTTGTGGTAAAGAGGTACTGTCATTTTAGGAGAGTCTCAAATCTAATTACGTTAGATTTTTTAGAATTCTCTATAGTAAAAGGCTGCTAATGGTAAACTCTCCCAAGTTTGTCTGAAGATACCATCCTTATTTACACTGGGTATAGAATTCTAGGTTCTTTTATGACCTTCTTGATTTTCTTTTTCTTGTCTTTCTCTTTAAAAATCATCCTTACCAAGTAACCGTTAGAAAAACCTCGTGCAAACTTGGGATAGTTGTTTACAATTTATATCATAGGTCAGAAAAATCAGAATAATTTTCAGCATTTTTGAATAATTTTTTTGAGAAGGGAAATTTCTTTTAGACTACAGAAAATCATTATATATAGTTCTAATTTGCCTTTTACAAATGCTTAACAGATTTTATTTAATTTTATATAAGTCTCCTAAAGTCCCCAAGTAGATGTTCTGCTGATTTTCCCTCCCCTTTGGAGTCACAATATAGTGT
The DNA here is from genome assembly GCF_000001405.40 of Homo sapiens. NCBI lineage: Eukaryota > Metazoa > Chordata > Mammalia > Primates > Hominidae > Homo > Homo sapiens. Next base: position 107,051,839 of record NC_000012.12, on the reverse strand, counting down.
TCTTTAAAAATAGATAAAAATTAGTAGGAGCCTTAGATTACAATTACCTCTATGTGGTTTTTGAAATCATGGTGGCATAAGTTATATAGACTTGTGCTAGTGTAATTCAACTCTAGAAGGTATATATACTTCTATTACAGATCATTTTATGCTGCTGTCACAAAGTGAAATGCTATGATAGTTAAAAGGCCCATATCAAAGATTATCTTCGTGAAACTTTATGGACCTTCCTTGACAGATTGACTCCTCTGTGCCATGAACTTTAATAATGCAGTTTGATAGGTAATATCCATATCTTATTCTCATTAAATTTGGGAGGCTTCAAGGATGGGAATTCTGTATCTTCTTATTTATCTATTTTTAAAGCTTTATTGATTTTTTTTAACTCAAGAAAATACCCAAATGTTGATTGAAAGAATGAGTGAATGAAAGTGCTTCAGATACAATTTTCTGCATTTTATTGGTCACTAATATTTTACCATAAAAAGGACATAAAAGCAGTAGGACTATAAGAATATTTAAAAATTAATACAGGCCTAAATGTAACTTTTTACCTAAATAAGATAATGTGACTCACAGGATTAGTTAAGAATAGTTCTGTTGTTTCTGTTTGTTTGTTTGTTTTTTCTCTACATAACACATGTTTTTCATATAATTACATAACAGCTATATGGTTAGGGAACATTTTTATTTTCAAATGTGTAAACGCATGTAATTGAAATTTGTTTTCAGTCCATGACAGGTTCATAACCCTCTTGTTTGAAATTTTTAAACTGTTTCTCCACCTTTCTTTTGAAAACCACATCATATTTAGTGGCTATCTTAATTGGATTTATTTTGTTGTTCTTTCATTATTTTCTTTTTTCTAGAGCTCTCATACTCACTTCCTGTTAAGTCTCCTTATCAAAGTGTCTGAATCTTTCTGTCCTGCTCTTTCTCATCCATTCCACTCTTCCTTTCTTTCATGCTGCCCCCTCCTTCTTTCATAATTGACATCCAAACACCCATTTGTCCTTTCTAAGACTGGTTAGTCTGTCCTTCCAAGGCTGGTTAGTCTGTCTCTGTCATCTTTACAAAGATCCATCTTACAAAGGTCTGTCCTTTCTGTCAGCCTTTCTTCCTTTTTGTGTTATTTCTGTTTGTGCTGCTATGAGGGAACATCTCAGACTAGGTAATTTATAAAGAAAAGAGATATTTTGGCACACACTTCTGTAGGCTATACTGGAAGCTGCTGCTAACACTTGCTTCTGTTGAGGGCCTCAGGAAACTTACAATTGTGGCAGAAGGTGAAAGGGAAGCAGGAGAATCACATGACAAGAGAGGGAGCAAGAGAGAGGGGAGGAGGTGCCAGGGTCTTTTAAACAACCAAATCTTACATGAACTAATAGAGTGAAAACTCACGCATCATGACGATAGCACCAACCCATTGATGAGGTATCTGCCCCAGTGACCCAAATGGCTCCCCCCTAGGCCCACCTCCAATACTGGAGGTCACATTTCAACATGAGCTTTGTAGGGGACACAATGTCCAAATCATATCACTTATTCTGTCTCTCCCTTCCTTTTTTGGTGCTACCTGCCTATCCTACCTTCCTTCTTCCAAACTTCCCTCCCCTTGCCATCTTTCTTCCCAGCCCTCCTCATTGTTTTTCTCTCTACCTTTCCATTTTTTCTAGCTTTTTCTTCTTCTCTTTCCATTATTCCTATTTTCTTATGGAAAGATGCTCTCTTGCTTTTACTTTCCCCTTGTGTCTCCCCCACTTTGTCTTTTGTAACCACTCCATTTTCTTTATCTCCTTACTTCCTTGAATGCCTTAGTTTTTCTTCCTTCCAACTGTTCTTCCACTTGTATATCTAGTTTTATAGCAATTAGGGCCATTTCTACAGTAAGTCCCAAATTTATGTCTACTATTGCAGATGTCTAGCTTAAATTCCAGAATTATGTACATCATTTTATAATTAACAAGTCCTCTTGGATGTCTCATAGGCACTTCAAACTAAATACATGTTAAACTGGGCATTTCTACTTCTGGAAGTGGCTGATTTGGTTGTCCTAGACCAAACACCAGGTATGTATACTAAAAATACATAGGAAAGCTGAGAAAATATTTTTTAAAAATCTCTTTGAAGCCATCAGAGAGTTACACAGATAATAAGAATTTGTCTGGACACGATGGCTCACACCTGTAATTCCAGCACTTTGGGAGGCCGAAGTAGGGAGATCACTTGAGGTCAGGAGTTTGAGACCAGGCTGGCCAACATGGTGAAACCCCAACTCTACTTAAAAAAATACAAAAATTAGTCAGGTTTGGTGGCACGTGCCTGTAGTCCCAGCTACTCAGGAGGCTGAGTCAGGAGAATCACTTGACCCCAGGAGGCGGAGGCTGCAGTGAGCCAAGATCGCACTACTGCACTCTGGCCTGGCCAACAGAATGAGACCCCATCCCAAAACAAACAAAAAAAAGATAGTAAGAATTTGTGGGGCTAAGATCTGGAAGAAAAGGAAAACCAAGATAATCGAACTTGACATTTGATGCTGTTTTTTCCTTAATGCAAAAGTCAATTCTGAAAATTACAATGGTGACTGAGAGACTGAGCAGAATTTTTAGCAGTTGTGTTGGGCTGAAAGGGAAAAAAATGGAGTTCAGAGACTAACAAGGAAGAGGAGCCCTGGACTATTTCAGCTTTTGGTTGAAACCCCTGAAAGGCAATATCCTAGGAATAGAGTGAGTAAAATATCCTATACAAGCACTAAAGTCCATAGGGAAATCAGCTTAATACTTAAGTGATTAATGGTGTTAGATCATATTTTAGAAGTGTGCCACAAGTAAATGTTAAGGTTCTCTAAAGGAGGATATCTATAGCTTTTTAAATATAATGTCTGGAACACGGTAAAAAATAACCAGGCATTTTGAAAGACAAAAAATGACTGAAACCAGGAGGAAAAAAACCAGACAATTAGACTCATAGGAAATCCACATTAGACTTATCAATTATGGATTTAAAAACAGCTGTGATTAATATTTTCAAAAATTGAATACAATAGGGAATTTTGACAGAGAGCTTTAAATACTCAAATGAAAATATTAGAAATGAAAAATACGATAGCTGAAGTTAACAAGTCAGTGGATAGGTTTATCAGAAGATTAGATATAGCTGAGGAGAGAATTGATAAACTGATAGTTCAGAAGAAATAGCCAGATTCAAACACAAAATAATAGGATGGAAAATACAGAAAATAGCATGAGAGACATACGGTATTTGGTAAAGGAATCTGAAATGTTTGTATTGAAATCCCAAAAGGAGAGGACAGATAAACAGAATCTGCAGATCAAATATGAAGGAAATCTAGAGGGGTTTTGCCAGGCAAAAGGAAAATGATTCTATATAGAAATACAGAGATACAGAAAGATATAAAGAGCAATAGAAACCATAAGTATGTGGATAAATCTGAATGAATGGCTGGGCACAGTAGCGCACGCCTGTAATCCCAGCACTTTGGGAGGCCGAGGTGGGTGGATCATGAGGTCCAGAGTTCGAGACCAGCCTGGCCAACGTAGTGAAACCCTGTCTCTACTAAAAATACAAAAAGTTAGCCAGGTGTGGTGGCAGGTGCCTGTAATCCCAGCTACTCAGAAGTCTGAGGCAGGAGAATTGCTTGAACCCAGGGGGCGGAGGTTGCAGTAAATGGAGATAATGCCATTGCACTCCAGCCTGGGCGACAGAGCAAGAGTCCATCTCAAAAAAAAAAATCTGAATGGATACTAGCATTCAAAAAATAATATAATTGCTTTGAACAGTTATTTTATAATAGTACTTGTTTTCTATATTAGTCTACCTATTGGTTTGTCAATTTTGTCTTTAAAAATTTTCATTTTGTTGATCTTTTGTAATTTTTTTTAGTCTCAATTTTGTTTATTTTGCACCAACCTTGATTGGTTTTTTTCTCTATGAATTTTGGGTTTGCTTTGTTTTTGCTTGTCTGGTTCCTTGTAATGCATTGTTAGATTGTTTATTTGAAATCTTCCTACTTTTCTGACATAGGTGTTTGTATTAGTCTGTTCTTATACCGCTGTGAAGAAATACCTGAGACTGGGTAATTTATAAAGAAAAGAGGTTTAATTGACTCACAGTTCTGCAGGGCTGGGGAGGCCTTAAGAAACCTTACAATCATGGCAGAAGGGGAAGCAAACTCATCCTTCTTCACGTGGCAGCAGGAAGGAAAATGAGTGCCAAGCAAAGGGGGAAGCTTCTTATAAAATCATCAGATCTTGTGAGAACAAATTCACTATAAGGAGAACAGCATGGTGGGAACTGCCTCCATGATTCAATTACCTTCCACCTAGTTCCTCCCATGACACTTTGGGATTATGGGAACTACAATTCAAGATGAGATTTGGGTGTGGACACAGAGCCAAACCATATCAGTGTTTATTGCTATAAGCTTCTTAATACTGTTTTTGTTGTAGTCCATAGGTTTTGGTATGTTGGTTTTTAATTTTCATTTGTTTCAAATGAAATGATTTAAATGTTTAAATCTTTTTCTTAATTTCTTCATTGATCCACTGGTCATTCAGAAGTGGGTTCTTTGATTTCCCTATATTTGTATAACTTCAAAAGTTCTTGTAGTGATTTATAATTTTATTCCATTGTGGTCAGAAAAGATACTTGATATGATTTCAGTTATCTTAAATTTGTTGTGTCTTGTTTTGTGACCTAACGTGTGGTCTGTCCACAAGAACGTTTCATATGCCAATGAAAAGAATGTGTATTCTACAACTGTGGAACGAAGTGTTCTAAATGTCTGTTGGGTCCATTTGGTCTTGAGTGCAGTTTAAGTCCAGTGTTTCTTTGTTGATTTTCTTCTGCCTAGATGATCTTCTCAATGCTGAGAGTTGGATGATTAAGTCCCTATTATTGTAATGGAATCTATCCTTTTAGATTGAATAATATTTGCTTTATATCTGGGTGCTCCAGTGTTGGATACATTATATTAACAGTTGTTATATCCTCTTGTTGAATTGATCCTTTTATCATTATATTATGAGCTTTTGTTTCTTTTTAGTTTTTGACTTAAATTCTGCTTTGTCTAGTGTAAATATTGCTATTCCTTTTTGCTTTTGGTTTTTGTTTGTGTGGAATATCTTTATTCATCCCTTCACTTTCATTCTGTATGTTTCTTACAGGTGAATTAAGTTTCTTGTTGGCAGAATACAATTGGATCATTTTGTTTTTAAAATCCATTTGGCTACTCTGTAGCTTTTTAGTGGGGAATTTAATCAATTTATTATTCAAGGTTATTACTGATTGGTGAGGTCTTATTCCTGTCACTTTGTTAGTTGTTTTGTGTATTCTTTGTTTCTTTCTTTCTCTCTTATTGTTTATCATTGTGGTTTGGTGGTTTTCTGTAGTTGTAAGTTTTTATTCTTTTTCTAATTTGTGTTATCTGTTCTACCAGTGAGTTTTATACTTGTGCATATTTACGTGATAGTGATTATTGTCTTTGTGTTTTTAGATGTAGGATGCCTTTGAGCATTTTTTTTTTTTGAGGCAAAGTCTCACTCTGTCACCCAGCCTGGAGTGCAGTCACATGATCTTGGCTCACTGGAACCTCCACTTCCTGGGTTCAAGTGATTCTTGTGCCTCAGCCTCCCGAGTAGCTGGGATGACAGGTGTGTGCCACCATGCCCAACTAATTTTTTTTTTTTTTTTTTAAGACAGAGTCTTGCTCTGTCGCCAGGCTGGAGTGCAGTGGTGCAATCTCGGCTCACTGCAACCTCCGCCTCCTAGGTTCAAGCAATTCTCCTGCCCCAGCCTCCTGAATAGCTGGGACTACAGGTGCTGGCCACCACACCTAGCTAATTTTTGTATTTTTTTGTAATTATACTTTAAGTTCTAGGGTACATGTGGACAACATGCAGGTTTGTTACATATGTATACATGTGCCATGTTGGTGTGCTGCACCCATTAACTTATCATTTACATTAGGTATATCTCCTAATGCTATCCCTCCCCCGCTCCCCGCACCCCACAACAGGCCCCGGTGTGTGATGTCCCCCTTCCTGTGTCCAAGTGTTCTCATTGTTCAGTTCCCCCACTATGAGTGAGCTGGGACAACTGGCTAGCCATAGGTAGAAGGCTGAAACTGGATCCCTTCCTTACACCTTATACAAAAATTAATTCAAGATGGATTAAAGACTTAAATGTTAGACCTAAAACCATAAAAACCCTAGAAGAAAACCTAGGCAATACCATTCGGGACATAGGCATGGGCAAGGACTTCATGTATAAAATACCAAAAGCAATGGCAACAGAAGCCAAAACTGACAAATTTTTGTATTTTTAGTAGAGACAGGGTTTCGCCACGTTGGCCATGCTTGTCTCTATCTCTTGACCTCATGATCCACCCACTTCAGCCTCCCAAAGTGCTGGGATTACGAGCATGAGCCACTGCACCCGGCTGCCCTTGAGAATTTCTTGTAAGCCTTATCTAGTGGTGATAAATTTCCTCAGTTTTGCTTGTCTGGGAAAGATTTTATTTCTCCCTTGTTTCTGAAGGATATCTTTGCTGAGTATGGTATTTTTGGTGGCATTTTTTTTTTCTCTTAGCACTTTGAATAGATCATCCCATTTTCTCCTGGCCTGTGAGCTTTCTTCAGAGAAATCTGCTATTAGTCTAATGGAGATTTCCTTTTATATGACTTGACACTTTTCTCTTGCTGTTTTTAGAATTCTCTCTTTGTCTTTAACTTTTGACAATTTGACTGTAATGTGCCGTGAGGAATGATTTGGATTGAATCTATTTGGGGACCTTTGAGCTTCCTGGATCTGAATGTGCATATTTCTCCCCAGACTTGAGAAGTTTTCTGCTATGATTTCATTAAATAGGTTTTTCTACACCTTTTCCCTTCTTCTTCTGAAACTCCCATAATAGAAAGTTTTGTTTGCTTAATGTTGTCTCATAAGTCTTGTAGGCTTTCTTCGTTCTTTTTCATTCTTATTTCCTTTTCTTTCTCCAATGACAAATTTCAAATAACTTACCTTCATATTCAGAGATTCTTTCTTTTTGATCAAAGTGTGCTGCTGAAGCTCTCTAATGTATTTCTTTAAATTTCATTTATTGAATTCTTCAGCTACAGCGTTTTTGTTTGGTTCTTTTTATTTATATCTCTTTGTTGAATTTCTTGTTTATATTGTGAATTGTTTTCCTGATTTCATTGAATAGTCTGTCTGTATTGGTCCCTGCATTGATGTCTGTGCATCTGGTAGAACAGTTGTCTCTTCCAAACTTCCTAAAATATCTTTCATAGAGACAGACTTTCACCTGTTATTGGGTTTTAGTGTGCCATTTGGAAAGGGTATGGTGACTCTCTTTCCAGATAGGTGCAGTGGTATAGTCTCCATGCAGCTGCTCCAGCTGCATTGAACATCAGCAATAACTGTGGGCACCTCAGTAGCCTAGGCTGTAGAACTTTGTGGCGGCAGCAGCTGCAGCAGCATAGATTGTTAATGTTCTTGGTGTCATAGGCTTTTTGGGATTCTTCTATTCTCATTTTCCCCACAATTAGGAGACTTAGCCAAGGGGATTCCTCTTATTGTCAGGTCTGACACAACCTACAAGCAGCTGCAGCAGCTCTGGGTTCCAGGTGCAGATGTCCAGAGCAGCTGTGGGGCAGATGGAGGTCCTAATCTCAGGGTCTCATGACCCTGTTTTGGCAACTGGGTCTTGGAGTACAGGTTCGCTTTCTGTGGCAGGGTTGGATACCGGTTGTCCATAGAACCAAAATCTGTGACTCAGGTACCATCTAGCAGCCTGGTCTCAGGAAGCTGAGTTGTAGCTATGATTCTACCCCTGAAGGAGGCAGAACACAGCTCTGGCCTGACTCCATGGAGTAAGGGGTACTTTGGAGGTTTGAGCCTGGGGAGCAAAATTCAGCTGCAGTTTAGGAATCTGAGCCAATAGGGCTCAGTGGCAATTTGGGTTCTAGAGGATGAGCAACTGTGTAGTAATAACTCTAGACCGTGGTATAGTGGGGCTCAGCAGTATCCTCCCTCTGGGAGGCCAGATGTAGTGGCAGCAAATACCCAGAATGGCAGAGCACAGCTGTCATTGGACCCTGCGAGGAACAGGGAACAGCACAGTTCTGACCCCACCATCAAGGGAGATGGGTATCTCAGCAACTCACACTCTAGGTAGCTAGTCCAGCTCCACAGAAGCAGGATACTAGAGCTGTTTGGCCTGTAGAGCAGAGTATCTCAGCTTAGCCACTGCTTTTTTGCCCTGGGATGCAGGGTACTACATCAGCTCAGCTCTGAGATGTGCAGCTGCTCGGCTCAGCCAAGGCACCTATTCCCAGAGGGTGATAATGCTGCTTCAGCTCAAGCTTGGTAGAGTGTGATTATTCTGGGAAGACCAGGAACCATTTCCCTGGGATGTAGGGCTCCACTTCAGCTTAGGTACTGTAATGCATGATCATTCTTCTGGGTGGCCAAGTCACCATTTCCTGGGATGCAGGGCACTGCTTCATCTTAGACTTCAGGGAGACATGACTGCTCAGAGTGGCCAAGGTACTGTTTTTGCAAGAGGCAAGATACTACTTCAGCTCAAGCACAAGGGTGGAGGGGTAAGTAAAGTGGCTCTGTCTCTGCTTGGCCCCACAGGAAAGGAAGCTTGGCTTGGGGATGTTGGACCACTTGGCTGGGGCGGTGGTTCAGTTGCATCTTAGTCTCAGAGATGAAGGAGAGTCACGGCTACTCACCGCCAGAGCAAGACACCCTCCAGCCATAGTTCCAATTCTACGATGGCATAGCGTAGTAGCCCTGTAGCTGCAGGGTGTGGAGCCTAGTGTTTGCTTTTTCTCTACGGTGAGCACAGTTACGTGGACTCCAGGTAATTCCGTCAGCTGGACTTTGTACCTGTGAGGTAAGATCTCTACATGTTCAAGGTGTTGATGGAGGTTGCTGGGATCCTCTTGCTTATCTCCTCACCATGAGAAGTTCCTCCTGGCTTTCAGCTGATCCCATTTGGAGGATGAGGTGGTGGAGGCCCGGCATTTCCTTCCATTCTCCGTGTGGCCATCCTAAGTTTCTGTACTCACCAGGGTTTCTGTTCCTGTGATATACCCCAGTGTTCTCCCTTAGCTATTTTCTTCAAAATACATTTGTTTATTTGTTGTTCTGTCTGTCTTTGTGATGGCGATGAGTGCTAGGGGCTTCCAGTTGGCCATCTTACTCAGATACAGTATATCATTACCTGGCGAAGTATTTTGTAGACTGCTCCTCAATTTGATTTTATCTGATATTTTCTCATAGTTAGATTAAGGTTATGCATTTTGGGGGAAAAATGCCACAGAAGTGATGTGCCTTTTTTTTATATCAGGGGATATGTGGTATCGGTATGTCTTGTTACAAATGATACTAACCTTGATCATGTGTTTCAGTTAATGTCTGCCAGGTTTCTCAGCTGTAAAATTACTATTTTTCTTCTGTAATTAATATTTTGGGAGAGATACTTTCAGACTTTGTAAATATTCTGTCTCCTTAAACATTCAACCATGAATTTTAGTATTCAACAGTAGATCTTGCCTGAATTATGTGCTATTCTAATGATGATTTTTCTATTCCCTTCATTCATCCTATATTTATTAGTTGGAATTCTTCTGTAATGAAGAGTTGTTCCTTCTCCCTCATTGATTTAATTATTCAGTCATTCATTTATAAAAGTACAGACTCATGAGTATATTTTTTTTACTCTTTGGGTCATAATGTACTGCTATTACTGTTTATTTCATTTAAATTGTTCCAGTGTTGGCACCCATCCTGTTGTTTAACATACACCAATCCTATTTGTCTTGAGCACTTTTTTCTGACACTATGAAATGCTCCAGTTCATCTTCTGTTTTCCTTTCCGCAGCCCCGGAATCAGCAACTGCTCTGTTGAGTCTTGGTTATTCTTATTGGGGGACGATATTTAAAAACCAAAATCTGGGTGCTGTATTCAACTTTTACAGCTTTATTTTTCTTTTCCTGGCACTCTTCCCCACCCCCACCCCATAGTCCTACCACTATGAAAGCATCTGAAAAACTTGAATTCATCTAGCGTAAAAATAGGAATATCAGAAAACCAGCATATATAGCTCCTCCATTTGCTTTTGTAAACATGTTGAACATACTTCATTTAGTTCCATATTAATCCTGTAAAGCCTAGAAGTATATTTTATACATGATTTTTGGCCTGTAGTGTTATGTTGCAGCAGCTTCTAAAAATACACATGGAATAGTAAAAGTCCTATATTTCAAATACTGTTATGTGATTTAGAGATTAGGAAGGCATAAATTACATAGCCTTATGCTAGTGTTAAGTCAACCTCAGAAGTTAAAAAATACTTCAAGTAAAGATCAACTTAAGCTGCTGTCACAAAGTGCCATGATAGATATAAAAAGACCCAGATTAGTTACCATCTTTCTGTTATAAAACCTTAGAGATCTTCCCTAGTATAATTGCTTTCCTTTTTTATGTGCTTTAACATTGGGGACATCAATGATACAATGCATTCATTAATATAACAATAAATTTGTGTATTTTAATCTCATTAAATGGTGGAGATTCTAAGGAGTAGAATTTTTTTTTTTTGTATCCTGAGTAAACGCCCAAATGTTGGCTGTATAAATGAAAGAATGTACCTCAATAGGCGGTTCTACATGTTATCTAATTAATTCTTAGCTTCACCTCTCATATTTCTCTCTGTAAGTGTAGAACAGGTTCTGTCATTTAGTTGTATAGCATCCATAGGGCAGATGCAGTGGCTCATGCCTGTAATCACAGCACTTGGGAGGTTGAGGCAGGAAGATCACTTGAGACTGAGAGTTCAAGACCAGCCTGGGCAGCATAGCAAGATCCCATCTCTTTTTTTTTTTTTTAAAGGTTTATATAGCATCCATAAAGTCAAGAGATATGTCTCACTTACAAAGATGAAATCAAGTGTATATGCAATATATTTGAGATTCATGGAAGGTTCATAACTCACTTATTAGTAATTGACCTTTTTTGTTACAGAATATCACGTCAGATTTAGGATTCTAAAATTTTGGTTTGATTGTTCCTATCTACTCTTCCCTCTTCTTTTTTTTAAAAATATATTTTATTGCTGTAGGAATAATTGAGATCTACCCTGTTGAAAGATTTTTAAGTGTAAAATACATTATTAACTATAGTCACAAAGTTCTACAACAGATTTTTAGGAAGTTTTCATCTTTTGGCTGGGCACATGGCTCACACCTGTAATCTCAGCACTTTGGGAGGCCGATGTGGGTGGATCATGAGGTCAGGAGTTTGAAACCAGCCTGGCCAATATGGTGAAACTCCATCTCTACTAAATATACAAAAATTAGCCAGGTGTGGTGGTGCACACCTGTAGTCCCAGCTACTCGGGAGGCTGGGGCAGAAAAATCACTTGAACCAGGAGGCAGAGGTTGCAGTGAGCCGAGATTGTGCCACTGCACCTCCAGCCTGGGTGACAGAGCGAGACTCCGTCTCAAAAAAAAAAAAAAAACTAAAAAAAAAAAAAAGGAAAGAAAGTATTCATCTCTCATAACTGACACTGTATACCTGTCGATTAGCAACTTCCTGTTTCCCCTTTCCTGTAGCACCAGATAGCCACCATTCTATGTATTCTCTGCTTCTATGAGTTTGACCAGTTTATATACCTCATATAAATGGAATCATGCAGTATTTGTCCTTTTTTCACTGGCTTATTTTACTTAGCATAATGTCCTCAAGGTTCATCCATGTTGTCACATATTGAAGGATTGCTTCTTTTTAATAGCCAAATAATATTCCATTGTGTGTGTATTTTATATTTGTGTGTATGTATGCATATACGTGTGTGTATATGTATGTATGTATAATATTTTCTTAATCCATTCTTTTGGATTCATTCCATCTTGTGGCTATTTTGAATAGTGCTGCAGTGAACTTGGGAGTGCTAATATTGCTTTGGAATCCTTAGTTTAGTTCTTTTGGATAAAAACCTTGAGTTGAGTGGCCAAATCATATGGTAGTTCTATTCAAAAATTTTTTAGGAACCTCTATGCTTTTTTCTACACTGATCACACCATTTTGCAGCGCCACCAACATTACATTAGGGTTCCAGTTTCTCCATATCCTTGCCAACACATTGCCTTTTATTTTTTTGACAATAGCTAATAGGTATAAGGTGATATCTCATTGTGGTTTTGATTTGCATTTCTCTAATGATTTGTGATGTGAACATCATTTCATATACCTGTTGGCCATTTGTTTGTTTCCTTTAGAAAAATGCCTGTTCAAATGCATAGCCCATTTTTTAACGGGTTGTTTTCTGTTATTGAGTTGCAGGAGTTCCTTACATATTTTGGAAATTTACTCCTTATCAGATAAATGGTTTGCAAATATTTTCTTCCATTCTATAGGTGAGCTTTTCTCTCTGTTGATAGTTTCCTTTGCTGTGCAGAAGGTTTTAGTTTGATGTCATCTATTTTTGCTTTTGTTGCCAGTTCCTTTGGAGTCATATTGATGAAAGCATTGCCAAGACCCAATGTCACAAAGCTTTTTCCTCTGTTTTCTTGTAGGAGTGTTACAGTTTCAGACCTTACATTTAAGTCTTAATCCATGTTGAGCTGATTCTTGTGTATAGTGTAAGATGAAGGCCTTATTTTATTTATTTTATTTTTTTTGAGGTGGAGTTTTGCTGTTGTTGCCCAGGCTGGAGTACAATGGCACGATCCCGGCTCACTGCAACTTCCGCCTTCCAGGTTCAAGTGATTCTTCTGCCTCAGCCTTCCCGAGTAGCTGGGATTACAGGCATGCACCACCACGCCCAGCACTCTGTGTTGAATGATACAGATGCTAGTCTCTTGGGCAGCAGCTGGGAGGGATGGAACATTGGATGTATCTTCCTCAGGGAAAACCTAGGAGCTGAGAGTTTTGTCTCAATCATATGGCTCTGTGCCAAGAGTGGAGATTTTGATGAGAGGGTGTCTCCTGCTAGTTTCAGTGTGGCTAGTTTCACATTCTCCCAATGTGCAGGAGCTTCTCAACTAGTTTGTTTCTCACAAAGGGAATTGATCTGTGTATTGCTGTTGAATCAGTGTGTCTGTGGATGAAAGGAAAGTCCAGGACTTCCTATTCTATCATTTCACTGACATCGTTCTTATTTCCTTCTTTTTGACCCTCTTACGATTTTCCATCTGTCTTTATCCATTCTTGCTTTTATATTCCGTTAGTCTTCGTTTTGCTGTCCCACATGCCCTTGCTTCTGTCTTCTATCTTTGCTTCTCTGTCCCATTTAGCTGTTTTTCCTTCCTCCATTTCTTTTATAAGTCAATCCATCCATCTTTCCTTCTGAGAATACATACATCTATCCTTTGCCACTGCTTCTGTAGACTTTATTCCATCTTTCCTCTTTTCTGCTCTCTCTTCAGCCTTCTCTATCATTCCTTCTGTTTATTCAAAGTGAAGCTGCTTCTTTCTGTCAGCCATTCTTTTCCTTCATCTAGTCTTAAGACTACTACAAATGTGCTGATGATTTCCAGTTTTATATCTCAAATTCAGCCTTCTACCATGAACTCCAGACTTAGTCATCTCATTTCCTTTGCTGTATTAGCTCTTGAATTTCTATTCAGATCCCCACTCTTTTACCATTTTCACCATTACCAGTTTTATCCATGTCATCATCATCTCTCTTGTAAAGAAGTAGTAACCTCTAAGTGATTTTCCTGTGCCTGCCCTTTCTTTGCCTGGTACTTATTTTCTACTCAGCAGCCCAAGTGATCCTTTTAAAGGCAAATTCAGGGCCAGCTGTGGTGGCTCACACCTGTAATCCTAATGCTTTGGGAGGCCAAAGCAGAAGGATTGCTTGAGATTGGGAGTTCGAATCCAGCCTTGGCAACATAGTGAGACCCCATAGCTACAAAAAATTAAAAAGTTAGCCAGGTGTGCTGGTATGTGCCTGTAGTCCCAGCTACTTGGGAGGCTGAGGTGGGAGGATCGTTTAAGCCTAGGAATTTGAGGCTGCAGTGAGCTATGATCATGCCACTGCACTTCAGCCTGGGCAACAGAGTGAGACTCTTTCTCTAAAATAAATAAATAAATAAATAAATAAAATAATTTCTAAAAAACAAATTTATATTATGTTCCAACCTCTGCTCAAAAGCTTTCAATGAGTTCCCAACTCACTCAGAGTAAAAACTTAAGTCTCTACCATGATTTACACGGACACATGTGATTGACTCCCAGTAGAACCTGAACATCATTTTCCTTTTTTTTTTGAAATTGAGTTTCACTCTTGCTGCCCACACTGGAGTGCAATGGTGTGATCTTGGCTCACTGCAACCTCCACCTCCCAGTTTCAAGTGATTCTCCTGCCTCTGCCTCCCGAGTAGTTGGGATTATAGGCGCGCACCACCACGCCTGGCTAATTTTTGTATTTTCAGTAAAGACAGGGTTTCACCATGTTGGCCAGGCTGGTCTCGAACTCCTGACCTCAGGTGATCCACCTGCCTTGGCCCCCAAAGTGCTGGGATTACCATTTTCTTATTATTCTTTCCCCTTACTATTTGATGTCCAAGCATATTGGCCTATTTTTTGTTCCTCAAACAGTCATGAGGTCCCATGTGTCTGGGCCTTTATTCCCTCTGTGATGTTCTGTTTTCTCTGTTATCTGTATAGGTCATTTACCCCCTTAGGTGTCTTTCTGCTCACATGTCATCTTCATTCATTGAAACTATATATATTTATTGAATGTAGTGAATAAAAGAGGCAAAAACCTTACTTTCATGGAATTTACATCTGAGTGGGGGTGAGATACAGGTCATTAACACATAAATAAATTATATAGTATGTTAAAGAGATAGCAAGGAAGGGGGCTCAGGAATGCTAGGGGCCAGAGGTGGGGAGAGGTCTATTTTAGATAAGATGGTCAGAGAGAGCCTCACTTCAGAGATGACCTTTGAGCAATGACCTAAAGAAAGAGAGGAATTGAACCCTGTGGATGTATGAGGGAAATGTATTCTGGATGGAAAGAACATCCTGTGCAAAGGTACTGAAGTAGGAGCATTTCTGGCATGCTCACAGGATCCCAAGGAGGACATGTGGCTGGAACAGAGTGAGTGAGAAGGAGAGTAGTAAGAAAGATGGAGTCATAGTGGTATTGGTTGCCCGGGTTCGTTCTGTAGGACCTAGAAAGCCATTTTAAGGACTTAAAAAAAAAAAAAAACCACCAACTTTAAATGGACTGGGAAGTCATTGCAGTTGGAGACTTTGTTCATAGAGATGACATGACCACTTGGCATCTGGGTGAAGACTGGACTGGATGGCAGTAAGGACAAGTATGGAAGCAGTGAGATCAGATAGAAGGCCAGTGGAATCATCTAGGTCAGAAATGATGAAGAATTGAACCTGAGCTGTAGAGGTAAAGGCAGTCAGAAGTAATCAGATTCTGGATGTATTTTGAACATAGAGCTGTTAAGATTTGCCATAGTTTTAGATGTGGACTATGAAAGAAAGAGAGGTCAAGGATGATGTGGTAGTGTTCACCAATATCCAATTCACCATTCGTACCTGGGCTATGCAACATTTCAATTCTCAGCTCTCTTTGCAGTCTGGCGAGGCCGTGTGACTCTTTCTGGCCAATGAATTGTGTGAGGAAGTACTTGGTGAAGGCAATGTAAAGCCCTGTATGTTTCCCAGTTCTTCCCCTACTGTGGAGGAGGCCTTGTGTTGAAATTATAGAACCACAAGGTCATAATAGCTGGGACGGTAAAGTCACCATTAGAAGATAACTAGCTGGAGCTGCAGTGAACTCAGCATGAGCAAGATGAAAACTTTTGTTTTGTCAAGCCACTGATTTGGGAGGTTGTTTGTTACTGCAGCATAACCCTGTTCTATTCTGACCAACCAGGTGAGTCTTTGCCCTGATTAACTTGAAGGATGGAATTAAATGAGATTGGAAGACTGTGGGAGGAGATGGTCTGAGGCAATCTTCAAAGGGAGATGTTTAATAAATGGAAGGATATGAATAAATCCTTCTATGACTGCTTTGCATAAAATTATACCCCCCGATATCCTTCTACTCTATTTTAGTTTTCTCCATAAAAATTATCAGCACTGAAATACTGTATGGTTCAAGGAGCTTGGAATTTGGAGCCAAGCTGACTGGGTTTGAAATCATGGCTTTGCCACTTTATTATTCAAGTGTCCTTGGGAAAATTACTTAACCAGTATATGTTTCAGTTTCCTCATTTGAAATGGAGGAAGTACCTATATCAAAGGGTTATTGAGTATAAACATTTAAAGTGCTTAGAGCAGTGTCTTATACACACTTTCTAAATGTTTGCAGCTGTAATCATCATTATCATCATAATTATCATCTAACATCCAAACCTCATGATAGCAGGCACTTAATTTTGTTCTCTGCTTTATTACCAGGGACCACAACAATGTCTGACACTTAATAGGCTCTCAATAAATTGTTAATAGATACATTACTGGATAGATTGCATAAGTGACTAAATTTTTGCAGTAATGTCAGTACGAGAAAAATCTTGACCATTGGCCAAACTTCAAACAGACCTGAATAGTTACATGTGCTAAGTCATAGATCAAAAAAAGTGGAATAATTTTTCAGCATTATTAATATCTTTTTGAAGGACAGAAATTTGAAATAGGGCTGTTAGACTACAGAAAAGCATTATTCATAGATCTGGGACAGCATGTTTTTGAACACGTTAGGCAGATGTTATTTTAGTTGTATGTAGATCCTTTAAATCCTAGAAGTATATCTTATACTTTATTTGGCCTAACCTGGTAGAGTCACAATGCAGTGATTTCTAAAGTTAGATAAGAACTAATACAATTTCTGGACTATAAATAGCTCTGTGTGATTTTTGAGATCAGAGAGGCATAAGTTACAAGGATTATATTAGTCTAATTGATGCCAGAAATTAAGTGATTTTAATCCTTTGAAACGCTTATTTATGTATTTATTTTTTTCTGTATCGATAGTACTTATTTGCCTATCATCTATAAATAATCATGGTTTTGCTTCTTCCTTTCCCATCCTTATGCCTTTTATTTCTTCCTCTTCCGTTACAGGTTGAGTATCCTTTGTCCATAAAGCCTGGGACCAGAAGTGTTTTAGATTTCAGATTCTTCCCCATATTTCTGAATATTGACATTACTAGTTGAGCAACCGAATTCATTGGAGCATTTCCTTTGAATGTCATGTTACCAGACATGGGCTTCTGATTCAGCCCTTAAGAGAGGGTTCTTGGAACTCACTTAAGAAAGAATTTGGAGCAAGTCCACAGAGTAAAATGAAAGCGAATTTATTAGACAAGTAGAGAAACAAAAAATGGCCAGTCCATAGACAGAGCAGCATCATGGGTTTCTTGACTGAGTATACTCAGTCAAGAGTATATGCTAAACAAGGGGTGGCTTATTCATGAGTTTTCCGGAAAAGTGGTGGGGAGTTGTCAGAAGTGAAGATTTCTCCTCTTTTTAGACCATATAGGGTAACATCTGGATGTTGTCTTGGCATTTGTAAACTGTCATGGCATTAGTGGGGGTGTCTTAACTTGCTAATGCATTATAATTAGTGTATAATGTGGAGTGAGGATGACCAGAGGTCACTTTCGTCTCCATCTTGGTTTGGTGGGTTTTGGCTACCTTCTTTACTGCATTCTGTTTTATCAGCAGGGTCTTTATGACCTGTATCTTGTGATACCAGTCCTGCCGACCTCCTGTCTCACCCTGTGACTAAGAACGCCTAACTTCCTGGAAGTACTGCTCAGCAGGTCTCAGCCTTATTTTACCAAGGCCCTATTTAAGATGGAGTCACTCTGGTTCAAATGCCTGTGACAGTGTCAGCACTCAAAATGTGTTGGATTTTGAAGCATTTCAGATTTGGGATGCTCAACCTGCACTACATTAGTTAGGCCTACTAGATTGCATAGAGAAGCGGTGGGAGTAGGCATCTTTGTCTTCTTTCCGATCTTAAAGGAAGTGCTTTCAACATTTCACTATTACATATGCTGTTTTCCCTAAGTATTTTTACGGGTACCCTTTTTCAGATTAGGGATGTTACCTACTAGTTCTAGTTTATTGAAGCTAAAGGGAATTGAGATTTTGTTGCTACTCTTTATACATCTCGTCAATTGGTTATATAGTTTTTCTTCTTTATTCTATGAATGAGGTGAATTACAGTAACCAATTTGTAAATATTAAATGATTTAACTTTCTGAGGATAAGCCCAACTTGATCATGATATATAATATGTTTTGTATATTGCAGGATTTGGTTTGCTGTGATAATATGCTCATGAGTGAAATTAGTTTATAATTTTCTTTTATACTGTCTTTGTCTGGTTTTGGTGTCAAGGTAAATCTAACCTTATAAAATAAGTTAAATATTCCTTTTCTGTCTATCCTTTTTATGAGATTGGAATCCTTTGTAAAAATAGAATTATCTATTCCTTAAATATTTTGTAGAATTCATCTGTAAAGCTAACTGACTCTTGTGTTTTTCTTGTAAGATTTTAAGCTATGGATTCAATTTATTTAGTGACTTAGAATTATTCCTGTTCTTTCTTTACTCTTGAGTCCATTTTGGTAAGTTTTAAGTTTCTTGAGTCAGTTTTAGCAAGGAATTTATTTCATCTAAGTTTTCAAATTTGTTTGCATAAAATTATTTATTTTCCGTTTAATCCCTGCAGTATCTAAGATTATGTCCCCACTTTTTAAAAAATTCTTAACATTTCTTACTCTTCCCTCTCCCATTTTTTTTCTTAATTATTCTTGTCGGACATTTATATTATTGTCTCTTCATATAATACATTTTGGCTTTGCTGTTTCTCACGAATTTGTGTTCTGTTTTCACTAATTTCTGTTCTTTATCATTTTCTTCTTTTTAGTTTTTAAGGATTTATTCTGCTGTTTTTCTTAATTTCAAGTCTTCAAGTATTTTCTAATTTCAAAACATATAAATGATACCAATTTAAAATTGATCTTGCTCTGTCATGCAGGCTAGAGTGCAGGGAAGTGATCACAGCTCACTGTAGCCTTGACTTCTTGGGCTTGAGCGATCCTCCCACCTTTGCTTCCCGAGTAGTTGAGATTACAGGTGCATGCCATCATGCCCAACTAATTTAATCAGGGTTTCTCCATGTTGCCCAGGCTGGTCTAGAACTCGTGGGCTCTGAGATTATAGGCGTGAGCCACCGTGCCTGGCCTGAAGTCTGAGTTTTAAAGTTGAGAATACAGAGAGGATTTGTGACGTGTGTGTGTGTGTGTGTGTCTGTAACAGTTATCTCAGAGCACACCAAGCCTGTGACCACTTTAAACGCATTGTCATGCTTGAGGTGTTTGGGACCACATAGTTTCCATGAATTTGCGTTGAGGTGATTCATTCTCGGAGGATTTTTTTAATAAAATTTTTTTGAATAATTTTAGATTTGTAGAAAATATGCAGAGATAATACACAGAGTTCCTGTATGCTCTGTATCCTGTTTCCTGTAATATTAACATTTCCATTTCCATGGTGCTTTTATTAAAACTAAGAAACCATAGTACTGGCCGGGCGTGGTGGCTCATGCCTGTAATCCCAGCACTTTGGGAGGCCGAGGCAGGTGGATCACCTGAGGTCAGGAGTTCCAGACCAGCCTGGCCAACGTGGCGAAACCCCGTCTCTACTAAAAATACAAAATTAGCCGGGCGTGGTGGCGCATGCCTGTAGTCCCAACTACTTGGGAAGCTGAGGCAGGAGAATCGCTTGAACCCGGGAGGTGGAGGTTGCAGTGAGCCAAGATCATGCCACTGCACTCTATCCTGGGCGACAAGAGCGAAACTCCCTCTCAAAAGAAAAAGAAAAGAAAAGAAAAAGAAACCATAGTACTAACTAAACTCCAGACTTTATTCAGATTTCCACTAAGTTTTTCTTTTCCACAATCCCATCTAGAATACCACACTGCATCTAGTCATACGTCTCCTTTGTCTCCTCTGTAACAGTTTCTTAGGCTTTCTCTATTTTTAATGACCTCTGTGGTTTTGAGTACTGGTCAAATGTTTTGTAGAACGGCCCTCAATTTGAGTTTCTCTGATTTTTTTTGATAATTAAACTAGGGTTATGGGGGTTTGGGGGACAATATCACAGAGGTGAAATGGTTTTCTCATCACATTAAGTCAGAGTGAACATAATATCAACATGATTGACCTATCACTGGTGTTGTTGACTCTGATTGTGTGGTTAAGGTAGTACTTGTCAGTATTCACTGCTGTAAAGTTACTATTTTTTCCTTTCCATTCAAGGAGAGATTTTATTTTCTTTCATCCCAAACTGGCTAGAGACAGATAAGTTTCTTTGTAGTCTTCATCTGTGACTTAAGATTTGTATCTTTCAGAGCAGTCTGGGTATAATAAGCAAAAAAAAAAAAAAAAGATTTATGTCTTATTTACTAAAGCTTTTGGAAGCCCAGGCTTTATATTGAATCTATTATTAGCTTCCTTACTTTGGGTGGGTCTTGGGCTTTATCTCCTGTCCTCTTCAACCCAGATGAAGCTCAGAGTTCTCAGGGCTCTGCAGAAATCCCCAGGGCTAAAGCTGACTTTAGCTCCCTGTGACCTGTTATGCCTTCTTGCTTTTTGGACAACCCGGTGAATTATTTTAAGAACTTTTCTGTTGTTGTTGTTGTTTCTCAGTTTGTTAGTTATTTCTGTTAGGGTATCTTAATCCGGTGTACTGTCAACAACAGAAGTTGATAACAGGTTTGTTTTGACATTGATTTGAATATATTTTGAAATGTTAAAGCTTGTGTTGGGGAGAATATACAACTTAGTATAGAAAGCATAATACTTACAGTCCCCAGGTACCCCCAACCCCCAGCTCTTCTGAGTTTCTGTGATTTAAGCATACATACTATTTTTTCTGCTTTGGTTGCCCATTTCTGCTTTATCACCTTAAGCAACACCTATTAATTCTAAACTCTACTCAAATCTTTTCTTCCTTGTGCCTTCCCCTGCCCCCTTCCCCACCCCCACACAGTTAGGTTTCTTCTGGGCTACCATAATACACTTTTCATAATAAAATTTACCACATGGCACATAATATCAGTGCTTAGATATTGTGGTAGATATCATTACTGTACACTGTTATTTAGTGTCCCTTCCTGCAAGAAGATTATGCTTTCCTGCCTTTTTGAAGACTAACTTGGCCATGTGACCTGTTTTGACTGATTTGTTACCATGGTATATCCTAAATTCTTCTTAATTGATACACACGCCTATTCCTCAGCTTGAGGACAAAAACTGTATACTAGTCATTGTTATGTTCTTAAAGCTGTCAAATTAATTTTCCTAAAACATCTTAGATTATTACATATTCTGTAGAAAAGTCACATTATGTAGTACAAAGAGCACTATGGTTTGGAGTCAGAGACATCCAGATTAAATTTTCTGCTTCATTGTTTACCTGGGTATGGAAATGTCCTTGGTGAGTTTCAGATTCCATCATTTTTAAAATGAGATACCTTGTAAAATTGTTGGGAATATAATATATGTAAAGTATCCAGCACAATAGACATTCAGAGAATATTCTTTCCCATTCTTGTTCCTTCTTCATTGACTGTTGAATCAAGCCTTTAAAATCCCTTTCTTCTGCTTTCATTAATTTATTTAGTCATTAGATAGATATTTATTGAACTCCTGCTATATGTCAGGAATTGGACAGTGGGAAGTGGTGAACAAGGCCTAGTTGCAGGCTACAGTCCAGTGGCCAATAATTCTCCTTCCTTATCTCCAGCTATTGTATTGATACTTCAGGGTCACTACCTACCATCACCACCACATCCTTGAAATTTTTGCCTAAGCCGCTCCCCATATCAAAACAAGGAAAGAAAAATCCAGAAATGATTTCTCCCACCTGATTTTTCAGAGCATATTAGTGATATCTATTTGTATTTTATATGTTTTATTCTACCATAGCCAGTTCTGTAGTATTTATTTACATAATATACATATTCAGGTTACTTTTTTAGGTTTTAAGCTCTGTGAGTATTGGAACCTCATTTATCTTTGTATGACTCATAAATCAGTGATTGAAATTATAGAAGTAATTAACAGTATCACTCCTTCAAACACATTTTAGAAATTTTGTAGAGGAATTTTCAGTTGTCATAATGATTGATTTTTTTTTTTTTTTTTTTTGAGGCAAGACCTCACTCTGTCGCCCAGGCTGGAGTACAGTGTGCAGTGGCATGATTACAGCCAGCTCAGTGCAGCCTCAACCTCCCAGGCTCAATTGATCCTCCTGCCTCAGCCCACCCCAAGTAGTTAGGACTACAGGCATACGCCACCACGCCCAGCTAGTTTTTTTGTACTTTTTGTAGAGATGAGATCTCCCTATGTTGCTCAGGCTGGTCTCAAACTCCTGCGCTCAAGTGATCCACCCACCTTGGCTTCCCAAAAGTGCTAGGATTACAGGCATGAGCCCCTGTGTCCGGCCAGTTGTCACAATGATTGGAAGGTGCTAGTGGAATTAGTAAGGAGAAGCCAAGAATGGAAGATTTCTTTCAGTACTCAGAGTAATCCCTCAAAATAAATAGTTGTCTCTAGGTGCCATAGTGTGCATGCACGTAGTCCTGACTATTCAGGAACCGAGATGGGAGGATCACTTGAGTCCAGGAATTTGAGGCCAGCCTGGGCAACATAACGAGACCCTGTCTCTAAAGTAAATAAGTAAATAAAATAGTTTTTCTGAGTTACACATAAATTTCAAATGTTCTTCCAGATGTTTAATGTAAGTGAAAAACTTATTCATAATTGTCTGAACCTAGAGCCTAAATCTTTATGTATAAACAGTAGGTATTTTTTACACAATTTTAATATACACTGAGTTTCCCTGGAATGTATTTATCACCTATATAAATAAAGGAAAGATTGTACTTTGCTTTTTTTTCTGAACTTTCCTGTCTTGGTCAATATTTCAGAAAATCACATCACCAAAGGCAATATCACTCATGGTGTATGATGTTTGAGTCGCCAGTAACACAACTGTGTTAGTCTGTTTTGTAGCTGTTAAATTTTAAATGATTCTGTATGTAGGTGTGGACACTGAGTTTTAATTCATTGTCTCCTTATATCATGCCCACATATTTACCTCTAGAAGTACATGTTACTTCTTTTTAAAATATTAATGACTTTCCTTTAATTTCTCCTATATGTTTCAATTAGAGCATGATATTAATGCTTTAAAATTGTGTGTATGGAAATGTTATATTATCTAGGTCTTTTATTTCAGGATTTAAAAGAGGGCATTGCAAAATATTAGTTATAAAAAGTGATATAGGTCTACTGGTTTATGGCTTTTAGAGTGTGGCAAATGCAAAGTTTGCTTTTAAAATATATATTTCATCTTTATTGAACATTAAACTCTTATCTTCAGGGAAAGTGTGTATCACAAATATCCAGACAATTTAGGTAAAATTAAGTTAGATGAAAGCACTAAAAATTTGTAACAAACCAGAAAAAAGAGCATATGTAAATTTTATTAAATTTACACACACACAAATTGTTATATTTTTTAAATCTCTAATAAAATATAATAGACTTTGGTTAATGACTGAGAATCTCCATTTTTTTTCTTTATGATGGTGTATACAGAACTTTAGTTTTTTCTACATTTAACTCTTGTTTTATGTGGATAATAAGGTTATTCTCCTTGTAGTTTTAGTGATTTTAGTTTATATTCTTTGAATCAGTTCTTTGGGGTCAGCAATGAGTTGTTCCTGTTTAGATATTGTAAGTGTAGTTTTTATTGCTGAGTGTGTAAGATATATTTTACAAACTAGCATACAGAACCACATGGCTTTATTCTGGCATGGTACATGTTCTTAATGCCTTGTGTTCAGCAGCAATAGGATTATGTTGTATCTTACCATTGCCTTTTTTGGACTATTTCATAGACAGAACTAGAAATTCTAGTTATATAAAGCTGTTCTAGCACAGACTGGTAAGTAGGTCATTGTGACGGAGTATACTAAACCGTCCACTGGTTGCTATAGCAATGACCTACTTTAGGAAAATATTTCTGTTGATTCATGTTGAAGTCATCTTTTGGAAGTGGTATAAGGAAGCTTACTGCATATAATTTTTAAAATAACAGCAATAGATAGTGATCTCTGGAGGAAAAAAATCCTTAAAATGTTTAAAGTGAAGAAATATATATTTTGTCACCTAATGCCTCTTCAATTTAAAGTGGTGTGTTCAGTATTGTAATTAAATAATATGAGGACTGTGCTTCTATGTAGGCAGTACAATTATATGAAGGGATATAGTGAGTTTTACTATCATTTGGCCTATTTAAAAAGCAACCTGTTGTATGTAGTTAATAGCAGTAATAACGGAGCCATCAAATGGGTGTAGTTCAAGAAAATAATATATATGCCAAATTGGAGAAGGTCTGAAAGTATGTTCCTGTTAAGATGATATCATATGTATTTTCAGTGGAATATATTAAAAATAAATCATTCATTTCATTCAATATTGAGTGTCCCAGAGCACATGCATTTCTATTACATTAAAGTTGAACTTGGTGTGTTCTTTGGAACACACTGAATCTGAACTCTAACAGATCTAATCCTTTCCCAGTTAAGGGTAAAGGATTGAGCATTAGATTTTGTATAGTTTTGAAGTAACATTATTCGTTCAGCATTAAAGAGAAATCACACACATCACTGAGTTGATACTTTGAACCTGGGCTGTTAGAGGTATTATCAAGGAAAAATTATATGCTTAGAGATTAGTTGAGTCTTAATTGCGTTGTACCTTGTTTTATAATATTTATAGTCACATTGACCTTGCTACTGGGAAAGGTTTCCTTCAAATCATAGTTCAAAGTCACATTCAGATGAAGTTGTGAATTCAAAGTAATTCTGTATACAGGTGTAGGCATCCAACTAATTCACGTTTTCTTTTGTCATGCCCAAGTATTTACATATAGAAATGCATGGGGTGTTTTCTTTAAAAAAAAAAAAAAAAAAAAACAGGAATTATTCTCAAGGGAAAATAACAACTTCTGTTTGATACATATCTACCATGTGCTAGAGACTCTACTAGGTGATTTTATGAGGCTCCTAATCCTTTCAACAGTTACACAAGACACCCCTACTAGGTCATTTGATCCTGTTTCTAATCTTTTCAACAAATTATACAAGGCACATAATGAGATTTGTTTGCCAAATATAGAAACCAAAATATAGATTAAGAAAACTGTAGTTAGGGCCAGGCCTGATGGCTCATGCCTGTAATCCCAGCACTTGGGGAGGCTGAGGCAGGTGGATCACCTGAGGTCAGGAGTTCAAGACCAGCCTGGCCAACATGGTGAAACCCTATCTCTACTAAAAATACAAAAATAATTAGCCAGGGTGGTAGCACACTCCTGTAATCCCAGCTGCTTGGGAGGCTGAGGCGCAAGAATTGCCTGAACCTGGGAGGTGGAGGCTGCAGTGAGCTGAGATCGTGCCACTGCACTCCAGCCTGGATGACAGAACAAGACTGTGTCTCAGAAAGAGAGAGATGGGGAGAACTGACTTAATTTGAAATCCATTAGGAGGAGGTTTTATTTTATATATATATGTAATATATATATATATATTTTATATATATATGTAATATATATGTAATTATATATAATATATATATTTTATATATATGTTATATATATAATATGTATAATATGAGGTAAAATTTTTTCATCCTCTGAAGGACATAATGTACCTCAGAGGTTCAGAAGATGTAGAAGTGACTTTAAGATGGAAGATTTAAGGTTAGTGTGATATGAACTTAAAGGGATAGGAATTGGGAAAGGTATTCCAAGCCAAGGAAAGGCCCTGGAGCACATTCCAGGAGATTGAATGTGTGCTGAAAGAGAAGTTTGGTTTGGTGTGAGAGAAAGGGGTATGAGGTAGGAAATCAACCTAGAACCCTAGGTTAGTAGCCAAGCAAAATGATTTGTTGTGTATTGTATAGGGAATGAGTCGTTGAAAACCTTTGTATGGGAAGGTGTGCCTCATGAAGATCTGGAATTGCATATAAAATGAATTAGAATGGAGAGAGATTGTTAGTAGGCAGATCTATTTTAAGGCATTGCAGTAAATACAAGCAAGAGATAATATGAACTAGAATTATTGTAGCAAAAACAGAAGTGGAAAGGAAGGAGAACACTAAAAAGTAATAGATAACATATAATTGTGCTTACTATGGGCAGGCACTATTCTAAGAGCTTCGCATATGTTAATTTATTTAATCTCACGAACAATGCTATGAGACAGGTCCGATTACTGTCCCAATTTTACAGATGAGGAGACTAGATAGGACTTTTCAGGATTGATTTAAGGATAGTAATTTGTTGATAGACTTGTTAAATTATAGGACATCTGTGCAATGAAGTACTATGAAACTATGAAAATTGATGCTGTAGAAGTACGTCCATTGCCTTGAAAAGACGTTCACCATGTATTAAACCAGATACATATGTAGTGTATCTCGTTTTTCTTCTACTTTGAAGGAATGTATGCTAATTATCAATTTTAAACTTTTTTTATGAAGTTAAAAAAATGTGTTTGTTTCTCTGTTTCTCACCCCTATCTCAAACCCCCACTCCCTAACGGGGAGATATGATTAATAGCTTGGTAAGTATTTTTCCAATTATTTTCTTGTGCACATATAAACAAAAGTAGATGCATGCAATGTAAATTTTATTTTATCAGAGTAATATATGCAAATAGTTTTAAAAGCCTTATAACAAAGAATAGCATCATAGTGTGTTCTACTTTAGCCTTCTCTTTTGCTTTTCTTTTTGGATCTTTTCTACTTAAAATATTTGATTACAAAATACCTATATTATTTTTTAAGTGTTTCTATTTTTTAAATCTGTGCAGCTTTTATGTGAAATGAGAGATGTAAGTTATATCTGTGGAAGAAGAACACCATACTTAAATACAGCTTTTAGTCTTTTGTTTCATGAAGTACCAAAACAAAATTAATTCTTAGGTTTCAAAACTTTTCCTATTGTAACACATTACTTTAGTCCATATCATTCTGTGCATTTGTTTGGTTCATATAATGTTTATTAAGGCCAGGCCTGTGATGGTTCATGCCTATAATCCCAGCACTTCGGGAGGCTGAGGTGGGAGGATGACTTGAGGCCAGGAGTTCGAGACCAGCCTGGGCAACGTGGGGAGACCCCACCTCTACAAAAACTACAAAAATTAGCTGGGCATGATGGCATATGCCTGTGGTCCCAGTCACTCTAGAGGCTTAGGTGGGAGAAGTCAAGGCTGCAGTGAACCATGATTCCAGCCTTAGCAACAGAGCACAATCCTGTCTCCAAAAAAAAAAAAAGAATGTTTATTAAAAGCATTCGGAATGCTTATTCAGCCTATTAAGAAAGGGAAAGATTATTAATTAATCCATACTTAATTCTTCATTTTATGAATTAATCATGTCCTTTTGGTTTGTTTCTTATCCCATCTTACTGTCATTGAACTCTTGCACCACATAGAATTGTTTTGACCAAAAAGTTGAATATGGAGAACTCTTGCTGTTCTCAGTTCTTACTCACTTCTGGTGGGGAAGATTTTGAAACTAATGGTACAACAGAGATTAGGGGATTATTATTGCCTTAGATTACCCCCTCCAGGACATTTAAGTTTTGTACTGTTTCAATTTAAGAAAACTTAAAATTGCTAGTTCTTTCAACTTCTTAATTTTTGATCTGTGTAAAAACCCTTCGATCTTTGTTCTGTCTAGTAACTCTTCTTGCCAAGCAAATACATAAAATTAGATGCTTCCCAATAAACATTTGTCACCAGACATGATAAATTATTCATAGTTGGAGATAATTTTATTAAACTCCAATGCTTTTATATCACTATCCATCTAACAACAACAGTCTTCTCCCCTGAAATATTTGTACATTGGTAGTGGTGGGTTAGGATGGGGATCAGGTGTTAGGGAGGTGACTCCAAACCAAGGCAGAAAAGGGATGTGATAAAATATAAATGTGGGGATAGAAAGGTTTGCTTCCTACTTGGAAACCCATGAGACTTCCTAAGGTGAAATGGTGGGATGTCTTTAACATCCTCATAAAAATATAGCACCTTGACTCTTCAAGCTGTACAGATGGTGCTCCTAAAGAGGAAGAAGTGTCAGACCTGACTAGTGCACTTATGTCACTAATAACTACAGTTGTAAAAAATCAACAAGACTTATTTGGTGAAATGATGGTATCGGAATGTGTAAAGCGAACAAAATGATCTAGACCAAGCAGCTTTTTAGAACAATCTGTCCAGTAGAACTTTCTGCAATGATGGAAATGTTCTGTAGCTATACTGTTCAGTATGGTAGCCAGCCACCAGCTATACATGTGGCTGTTGAGGACTTGAAATGTGGCAAGTGTGACTAAGGAACTGATTTTTAAATTTAACTAACTTAAATTTAAATGGCTACATGTGCCTTTTGGTTACCATATTAGATAGTGCACTTCTAGAATTTGCATTTCCCTGCTTCTTAATCACTCCTCTTCACAAGTAAGAGATAATTGCTATTCTGAAAGACCATGTGGCCTGTGAAAAAGGCAGACAAATACTTAACCTTGAGATCAAAAACATAAAAGAAGCAAAATAGGAAATAAGATACGTCCAGCTGAAAAGAACAGAATCTAAATGAAACTTAACATGAGTCAAATAATAAGATTGGACCTTCCATGGGTGACATCTCTTTTAAATTTGTTCTTGGGAATGTTCCATTTCTTCGCAACAGAAGATGCACAGTAAGCAGTCTTCTGGTACTGCCCCAGAATTTTCCTAGATATCTGTCATGTGTAAGCCTTGTTACTACTTATTTCATTGAAAAAGTCTATAATCTCCACCCCAACTCCATGAAACCTTTTCTTTTTTTTTTTTTTTAGAAGTTAATCTGGCATTTTCTACACTCAGGGAATTAATAACCACATAATTTGGCATCTACTTATTAGTTTCTTTTTTTAATAAATTAGAAACTTGAAAATGGGCATTATGATTTCAATCTCTTAAATGATTACAATATTACAAAAAAGTACTCATAATCTTTTTTTTTTGTCCCCTCAGATTCCTTTTTACCATGATATTCTTAAATTATTCACTTGCTTATTCATTACATAGGATGTTTCTGGTTTTTTCCCCCCAGCAGAAGATATTCTAGATTTTTCAAGTTTTCCTTTCTATATGAAAAGCCATTTTCATACAGAAAATATTTCATCAAGTTTAAACAATGAAACCAATTTAATTGCTTTGATACTTCTTTGTATGTTTTTATGTTCACAAATTAAATTTTTGCTAATAGTCACTTTTATTTAATGAAAATTAGTGATTTTATTCAGTATTTTATTAAAATACTAGGTAATTTGTGCTATAATTAAAAAATATATATTAGTATGGTTTTTGGAAAAAGTATATATCAATAGGAGGTAATAAGATGATAGGTTGGCATTTCAACTTTTAGAATAACATGACTTTGTAATAATTTATGTCTTCTAAATATGTATTTTTTAATAATTTAAATAATACTTTCTTCTCTCTAGATTTTTGCTTCAGTGTCTTGAGGATCTTGATGCCAATCTACGAAAATTAAACTCCCGTCTGTTTGTGATTCGTGGACAACCAGCAGATGTGTTTCCCAGGCTTTTCAAGGTAATTTGAAAAATATTTGCATAAAACAATCTTTTCTCAGATAATATTACATATTTGGTAAATAAAGTTTTTTGACTAATTGAAAATGTAGCGAATATAAGTATTTTCAAGTAAAAATTTTGTGGGTTTTTTTTCTTTATTTAATGAAAAAGCTATACATGGTAAAAATCAGACAGTGAGAAAATAGTTTACAATGAAAAGTTCAATCTTTCTTCTACCTTAAACTGCTCGTTGCCCTCCCAGAAGCAACAGCTACTACCAGTTTCTTATGTATCCAATTCCAGTTTCTTGTTTATCCAATTAGAAATATTCTTTGCATAAACAAGAATTTTTTGTGTGTGTATATATATATATTTTTGTGTGTGTGTGTGTATATATATATGTGTATACACACACACACATCCATGTGTTTGTGTCTGTGTTACTGTCCCCTTTGTTAAAAGTTAAAATGACACACTATACACACCATTCTCTGCCATGCTTTGTTCACATAACCATATCTTTTGGAAGTTGTTCCATATCATTTCCTCGGTCTTTCAGATGACTTCATAGTATTCCATTTTGTAGATGGCTATAATTTTTTAAACTAGCTTTCTACTGAACGTTTAATTATTTTCTCTGTAGGCCTTTTGCTAGTATAAATGCCAGTGAACTTACTTGTCCACATTTATGAATCTTTGCTCACATGGGCCAGTACATTTGTGGGATAATTCTTAGAAGACTTTCTGGGTCAAAGGATTGTAACAATGGACATTTTACCAATAATACAGAATTTGTAGTGCTTTTTTTTTTCTTTTTTTGAGATGGAGTCTTGCTCTTGTCGCCCAGGCTAGAGTGCAATGGCGCAATCTCAGCGCACTACAACCTCTGCCTCCTGGGTTCAGGTGATTCTTCTGCCTCAGCTTCCTGAGTAGCTGGGATTACTGGCGCACGCCACCATGCCTGGCTAATTTTGTACTTTTAGTAGAGACAGGGTTTCACCATGTTGGTCAGGCTGGTCTCGAACTCCTGACCTTAGGTGATCCACCGGCCTCGACCTCCCAAAGTGCTGGAATTAAAGGTGTGAGCCACTGCGCCCAGCACTGTAGTGCTTTTTAAAAAACTTAGTAGGATCTTAAAAATCTTTAAAAATGTTTAAGATACCTAATCTTATCTCTTCCCTTTTTTCCAAATGAAAAAATTAGGCCTAGAGAATAATTGAGTTGCCCAAGATCATACAACTAGCTCATGGAAATGCCCAGACCAGAAACTGAGTTTCCTCATTGCCCTTTTTGTATTCATCCCTTCCTATTTATTACTGTATTAGTCCATTTTCACATTGCTGCAAAGAAATATCTGAGACTGTATAATTTATAAAGAAAAGAGATTTAATTGGCTCACAGTTCTGCAGGCTGTACAGGAAGCATAGTGGCTTCTGGGAAGGCCTCAGGAAACTTACAATCATGGTGGAAGGGGAAGGGAAAGGGGAAGTAAGAACTTCACATGGCCAGAGCAGGAGGAAGAGAGAAGGAGCGGGGAGGTGCCACACTTTAAAAAAAACAAAAAACAAAAAAAAAAACAGATCTTGCAAGCACTCACTCACTATCAGAGCACCAAGGGGAAATCTGCCACCATGATCCAATCACCTCCCACCAGGCTCCACTTCCAACATTGGCGATTATAATTCAACTTGAGATTTGGGTGAGGACATAGATCCCAAACCATGTCAACTACTATTAAACTTTATAAATGTATATCTGCTTTTTCTTGAATCATTTGATTCATCAAATTTTTGAAATAGCAATGTTTCTATTTGTATTTCTTAATGTAGAAGAGAACAGCTCTTTATGTGAATGAGAAGATCAATCCCCAGTGCTGGGAATCAAATAAGCATTACTTAGCCTTTTTTTTTTTTTTTGCTTGTATGAAAGACACATTTAATGTTTGTGAAAATTTACATTCAATAAAGAGGGTTCACAACTGTAATAGATCAAGTTAGAATTTAACCTAGGTATTTGGGAGAGTTCTAACAAGAAAGCATATCAGAAGCAATGATAATAATCTATCAGCAACTCATGAATATAAGAGTGTGTGTCGATAATTGTTTCAACCCTATCTCTAAATCTGTTTGATATAAATAAAATGAATCCTAAGTGGAGTTGCCTTTTTTTTTGTTTGGTGCTGGGGAGACAGGGTTTCGCTCTGTTGCCCTGACTGTAGTGCAGTGGTGCCATTGTAGCTCATTGCAGCCTCAAACTCCTAGGCTCAAGTGATCCTAGGACTACAGGATCGAGTAGCTAAGACTGCAGCTGTATACCACCATACTTGGCTAATTTTTTTTTTGTTTGGTAGTCTTGCTATGTTGCTCAGGCTAGTCTCAATCTTCTAGCCTCAGGCAATCCTCCTTCAACCTCCCAAAGCACTGGGATTACAGGCATAAGCTGTAGCACCTAGCCCTAGTTGCTTTAAAATAACAAAATTCTTATTTACTTGTTTTTGAAACAACATTTTTCAAACCAGCAAGTGTTTTGTGTTCTTTGTTTTGAGATTTCTTCTGCCTAAAATAGCACATTATTGGGCCAAACTATCTTCTGTATTTAAATGATGTCCTATCTTATCAATTTGGCAGAGAGGAATGGGTTTCCACATGGGCCCTAATATACAAATACATGAACACATACATATACATATAGTACTTATTATTTTATTCTGATTTTTTCTTTAGCTACATATAGTAGTCTGTATAAAATTCCATTTATAAAAACTTCCTTTTAGATTTATTTACCATATCTAGAGCCATAGAGGGAATTAATTCCTTTTTATTGAATTAATGTTTTGATTTTTACTTTTTGCTTATAGGTTCAACGTGCATATGTTTAAAAAAAAAAGGCTAAAAGGATATACAATTAAAAGCATGTTGTCCCCCACCTTCACCCTAACCATCACAACCACAGTTTCTCTGAGGGAGAAGATTCTTCTGTCATTAACTAGCTGAGTTACTTAATTAGTGTCTCAGGTCTTTTGGTTCTAGTACAGCAAGTAGTGAGGATTTTTAATAGGTAATTAATCTGGTTTTCCACATTGGAGGTAAGGCTAGTTTAGACCTGGTAACAGTACCCTTAGTTAATTGGGATAGTTGTGTCAGTGGCTCCAGTACTGATATCTCCCCTAGTATGTATCTTTCTTCTGTGTCATTCACTCAATTTATTCTGTTTATAAGGAGTAGATTCAGGAATGGGTCAGAACATTTTTATACACACTTAGGTAAACACATATATATCTAATAAACTATTGTCATTTTTTCTGGCGTTTTTTACTTAGTTTCTTTTCTAAGTTAAACTCTGACTTAATATAGGCTAACAAGATGGCTCTTTCTAGGCCCTGCAGAAACTTTTAATAAGGAGTTTAAATTATTGGTTTTAGAGACTAGGTGCATAATTAATATCTAGATTTTTTAAAAACATTCTCATTATATCTATTTCTTTTTTTAATTATTTCTATTTTTATTTTTATTTTTTGAGAGAGAGTCTTGCTCTGTTGCCCAGGCTGGAGTGCAGTAGTGCTGTCTTGGCTCACTGCAACATTTGCCTTCCAGGCTCAAGCCATTCTTGTGCCTCAGCCACCCACGTAGCTGAGATTATAGGCATGCACCACCACACCTTGCTAATTTTTGTATTTTTAGCAGAGAAAGGGTTTCGCCAATTGGCCAGACTGGTCTTAAACTCCTGGCTTCAGGATCCAGGAGTCTCCACCACCTTGGCCTCCCAAAGTGCTGGGATAACAGGCATGAGCCACTGTGCCCAGCCTCATTATATCTAAGAAACAGTGACACATGGCTAAAGTCTATAGATGGCCACACTGAAGCATTATAAAATGTTTTGTTCAAAATCACAGAATAAAAGAACATATAAAGCCACCATTTTTCAACAGTAAAATTTATATTATGCTTTTTTAAGTTACTTTGGATCTTGCTTTGTTAATTCATGACACATGCTTGATAGAATGTATTCAACAGATACTGATTGAGTGCCTGCTATATACAAGGCTGTGTCTGAGGTACTGGAGATACAGTAGTGAAACAAAAAATTTCTGTCTTCATGGTGCTTACACTGTAGTGGAAGGAGACAGATAGTAAACAAATAAGTAAACATGCAATGTCAGGTGGTGATATGTGCTGTAGAGAAGAGTAAAATGTGGGATAGTAAATGTCAAGGTGAGGGAAAGTTACTTTATATGGAATCAAAGAAGGCCTCACTGATAAGGTGACATTTGAGCAAGCATATGAAGAGTGAGCCATGCATCTGGGTTGTGGTATATCATATCCACAATATTTTGCAGCTCTTTCCGTCAAAAGGTAGAGTTTATTTCCTTACCCCATTGAATCTGACTTGCCCTTACAACTTGTTTTTAACCA
Source organism: Homo sapiens (assembly GCF_000001405.40). Taxonomy (NCBI): domain Eukaryota; kingdom Metazoa; phylum Chordata; class Mammalia; order Primates; family Hominidae; genus Homo; species Homo sapiens. The sequence goes on along the minus strand of NC_000012.12, from coordinate 107,017,690 downwards.
AGTGTCAAAGAAGACATTGTGAATTCCAAATCCTAGGCCTTAAGCGACCTTTCAGCTTCTACTTTTCCCCTCTTAGGATGCTCCTTCTATCATGTAAGAAAGCCTGGGGTAGAATATCTAACTTTGGGAGGCCACATATAGAGAGTGGACCAAACAACAGCCAACACCAAAGTCTGAGATGTGTGAGTTTGACTATCTTAGGCACTCCAGCCCCAGCCAAGCTGCCAGCGAATTGCAGCCTCATGAGCAGATCCGAGTGAAACCAATAAAAGAACCATCCAGATACCTGACAGAATTTTGAGAATTAACAATTCCACTAAGCTAACTGCAACATGGGGAAGGAGCATGGAAGGCAGAGGAAACAGTGCTTAACAAAGGCCTTGAAGTAGACATGTGCATGATTTGTTTAGGGAACAACAACAAGGCCAGTGTGCTAGAGCACAGTGAGTGAAAAGAAGAAATGGCGTCGGAGAGGTGGCTGGAAGCCAGATCATAGGGCTTTATAGATCATGTTAGGAGCTTCAGCCTTTACTCGGAGTGAAATAGATGCCATTGGAGAGTTTTGAGTAGAAGAGTGACATGATTTAACTCATGATTTACAAGAATTTCTCTGGCTGTTTGTGGAGAATACACAGGGGATTGGAAGTGTTGTAGAGGCAGAAGCAGAAAGATCAGTTAGGAGGCAATGGCAGTTATTTAGGAATAAGATGATGATGACCAGGACCAGGGTAGCTGTAGAGGTGTTGAGAAGTGGTAGGGTTTTGGATATATATTTTAAATAGAGGCTGTAAGGTTTGCCTATATGTGATATATGAGAGTCAAGGATGACTCTAGGTTTTTAGCCTGGACGCATGGCAGAATGGATTCCCATTTAATGGAATAACAGACTATGGAGGAACAAGTTTAAGGAAAAAATAAGAAGTTCATTTTATAAATTTTTAGTTTGGGATGCCTTTTAGGCATGTTAATGTACATGTTGAGAAGGCATTCAAGTCTAGTGCTCAGGGAGAAGTCTGGACTAAATTTAGGACTCTTCAGTATATAAATAGTAGTTTAGACCCTAAGACTAGAGTTATGAAACAGAAGGAAAGGATGATGGATGGATGGATGGAAATTTTTAGAGTTTTACCTTCTTTGTATTTGGATTATTTTGTGAGGTAGCTTTACATTTTTATGCAATTATACTGTTTAATTTACTGTCAATTTAAAAAATAAATGCTTTCTCCTAGGACATATGTGATTTACAACTTTTAGTTTTACTATCAAATTTTACATTGCTTATTTTCACAGTATATTAATTATGACTTAAGAACTTTTTTTTAAAATTGTTTGGGAGTGCTATTTCTTTCTTTTGTTTTGTTTTATTTTATTTTTGTTTTTTGAGACCAAGTCTCACTTTGTCACCCAGGCTAGAGTGCAGTGGCACGATCTCAGCTCACTGCAGCCTCCACCTCCTGGGTTCAAGTGATTCTCGTGCCTCAGCCTACTGAGTAGCTGGGACTACAGGAGTGCGCCACCATGCCCAGCTAATTTTTGTATTTTTAGTAGAGATGAGGTTTCACCATGTTGGCCAGCCTGGTCTCGAAGTCCTGACCTTAAGTGGTCTACCTGCCTTTGCCTCCCAAAGTGCTGGGATTACAGGCGTGAGCCACCACGTCCAGCCAAGAACTTTATATTCATTTAGTTGTTCATGTTATCCTTTCTGATTAACAAGTAATTGTGATACACAAAAATAGATACAAATCTTATTGCTTAAAATTGCCAAGTGCTTGAGCCCAGGAGTTTGAGACCAGCCTGGGCAACATAGTGAGACTCTGTCTCTACAGAAAATTTTAAAAATTAGCTGGGCATGGTAGCATACACCTGTAGTCCCAGCTACTCCAGTGGCTGAGGTAGGAGGATCACTTTAGCCTGGAAAGTTGGAGGCTGCAGTGAGCCAAGATCATGCCACTCTACTCCAGCCTGGACAACAGAGCAAGACCCTCGCTCAAAAAAAATTGCAAAGTGAATATTCACTTACTCAAATGAAAATATGTTGGTGCTATTTGCAGTCTTACTGTTAAATCTAGGTATTGAAATTCAAAGGTAACTACGTGTTGCTTAAAATAAAAACCTGCTCTAACGAGTAGATAAGCCTGGACAACATGCTGAGACCGCATCTCTACAAAAATTTTTAAAAATTAGCTGGGTATGGTGGCGCATGCCTGTGGTCCTAGCTACTCAGGAGGCTGAGGTGGGAGGGATGATCACTTGAACCCAGGAGGTTAATGCTGCAGTGAGCTATATTCATGCCACTGCACTCCAGCCTGGGCAACAGAGTGAGACCTTGTCTCAAAAAAAAAAAAAGAGTAGATAGGGACTTCCATCTCTGGTTAAGATGTAAAAACTCACAATAGATCATTGTTTCCCATATTAACAAGGAGATGAAAGTGAATGTGACACAAAATTATAGAGGTCTTTTTTCCTCTTATTTTGTTTGAACCCGTTAGAGAATTGAGAAAATAAAGTCTTTAAAGGCTGGGCGTGGTGGCTCACGCCTGTAATCCCAGCACTTTGGGAGGCTGAGGCCGGCGGATCACAAGGTCGGGAGTGCAAGACCAGCCTGACCAACATGGTGAAACCCCGTCTCTACTAAAACTACAAATATTAGCTGGGAGTGGTGATGCACACCTGTAATCCCAGCTACTTAGGAGGCTGAGGCAGGAGAAACACTTGAACCCAGGAGGCGGAGGTTGCAGTGAGCTGAGATTGCACTACTGTGCTCTAGCCTGCGCAACAGAGTGTGACTCTGTCTAAAAAAAAAGAAACAAAAACACACAAAATATATATATATAGATACACCCAGGTTATATCCTAATGCTACACCATTCTACATAAGGGACTTGAGCATTTGTGAATTTTGGTATCCACAGGGGGTCCTGGAACCAATTTCCTGCAGATACCAAGGGAGGACTGTATATCAAAATTTACAGAATGCAGCTAAAGCAGTGCTTAGAGGAAACTTAATATTATAGCTTTCAATATTGTATTAGAAAAGGAAAAATCAAGAACTAAGTTTCTACCTTAAAGATAGAAAAAGAACACATTAAACTAATAGTTAGTAGAAAGAAAACAAAAAATAAAGAGGAACGGGAATCAATGAAATAGAAAACAATAAAGAAAATCAGTATGCATTAATTAGTTTATTATTTCTTAGTGCCAAACCCACCCTTCTTGCCCTACTGTGTGATACTGTGTCACAGCAGGAGAGAAGAAGCTTTTCTTCTTGATATACTTGTGCTTTTTTTCCCTGGGCTAGCAGATGAGTATGCCGGAGGATCAGTAGCATTCACCTCAGCAGCCCTCCTGAACCAGCCACAGCCTACATACACCCTCTGGTGAATTTCTGTGTAAGCCTATTTATACCCTCTGATAAGTTTCTATGCCACCTGGTGGACAGCTTCTACAGATAACCTGGTTAGCCCATACCTACCAGGAAGTTTCTCAGCCAACCAGCAGGTTATTGGTATGAAACACCTTTGGTCATTGCCCTCCGGTAAATTTCTTTACAGGGAAGGTTGTGTGTTCCTGTGGCAGCACGCTCCATCCAATGAGCCATGAATCTCAGTGGCTTGGTGGAGGGAGCTTTTGTTAAGTTTTTTATTCATTCCTTGTTTATTTTCCGTCCACATAGAGGTGGCAGCTGCTTTCTGCAATTGGTACTTTTGAACACCTTAGAGCAGTACCATCCAATAGAAGTCATGTTAAATTTAAAATTTTCTAATAGCCACATTAAAAAAGTAAAAACAAACAGGTGAAATTAATTTTAATGATTTATTCAACACAGTATATCTAAAATATTCTATATAAAAGTATTAATAAGCTATTTTATCTTTTAAAATAGCTTATTTTAAACGGAGTTTTAAAAAAATATGAAGTTCTTGAAATCTTGTATGTATTTTATACTTCCAGCTGATCTCAGTGCCAGCTAGTCACATTTCAGTGCTCAGAAGCCACACGTGGCCTAGTGGCTACTACCTACCATACTGAAGTGTAGCCTTATCTCCTGTTTTATTCCTTGTCATTGTTGACCACCTTTAGTAGCTAACAATTACAATTTTTGATACAGGCATACCTGGGAGATGTTACAAGTTTGGTTCGAGACCACCACAATAAAGTAAATATTGCAATAAAGCAAACATCACAATAAAGCAAGTCACAATTTTTTTGTTTTCCAATGCATATGTATAAAAGTTGTCTTTATACTATTCTGTAGTCTTTTCTGTGTGCAGTAGCATTATGACTAAAAAAAATACACACCTTAATTAAAGATATTTTGTTGCTAAAAAAATGCTAGTGATCATCTAAGCCTTCAGCAAGTCATAATCTTTTTTGCTGGTGGAGGTTCTTGCCTCAATGCTGATGGCTACTGGCTCATCAGGGTAGTGGTTGCTGATGGTTGTGGTGGCTATGGCAATTTCTTAAGACAGTAATGAAGTTTGCCACATCAATTGACTCTTCCTTTCACCAAAGATTTCTCTATAGCATGCAATGCTGTTTGATAGCATTTTACCCACAGTACAACTTTAAAAATTGGAGTCAGTCCTCTCAAACCCTGCCACTGCTTCATCAACTAAATTTGTGTTATAACCTAAATCCTTTTTTATCATTTTGATGATGTTCACAGCATCTTCACCAGCAGTAGATTCCATTTCAGGAAACCACTTTCTTGCTCATCCATAGAAAGCGGCTCCTCATCCATTCAAGTTTTATCATAAGATTGCAGTAATTCAGTCACATCCTCAGGCTGCACTTCTAGTTTTAATTCTATTGCTATTTCTACCACATTTGTAGTTCCTTCCTCCACTGAAGTCTTGAACCCCTCAGAGTCATCCATGAGGACTGGAATCAGCTTCTTCCAAATTGCTGTTAATGTTGATATTTTAACCTCCTCCCATGAATCACAAGTGTTCTTATTGGCATCTAGAATGGTGAATCCTTTCCAAAGATTTTCAATTTACTTTGCTCAGACCCATCAAAAGAATCACTGTCTGTGGCAGCTATAGCCTTACAAAATGTGTTTCTTAATAAAACTTGAAAGTCAGAATTATTCCTTGATCCATGGGCTGCAGAATTGATGTTACATTGGTAGGAATGAAAACAATGTTAATCTCCCTAATAAATCTCCATTGGAACTTTTGGATGACAAAGTACGTTTGTCTGTGAGCAGTGATATTTTTAAAGGAGTCTTTCTTTCTGAGTAGTAGGTCTCAACAGAGAGCTTAAAATATGTATAAACCATGTTGTAAACACATGTGCTGTCATCCAGGCTTTGTTGTTCCTGTTCTGCACAGGCAGAGTAGATTTAGCATAGTTCTCAAGGGACCTAGGAGTTTTAGAATGGGCAATGAGAATTGGCTTCAACTTAAAGTCACCAGCTATGTTAGCCCCTCACAAGAAAGTCAGCCTGTCCTTTGAAGCTTTGAAGCTAGGCATTGACTTTTTCTTCTTTTTTTATTTTTGAGACGGAGTCTTCCTCTGTCACCCACGCTGCAGTGCAGTGGCACGATCTTGGCTCACTGCAGCCTTCGCCTCCTGGGCTCAATTGATTCTCCTGCCTCAGCCTCCTGAGTAGCTTGGACTGCAGGCGTGCACCACCATGCCCGGCTAAATTTTGTATTTTTAGTAGAGACAGGGTTTCACCATGTTGGCCAGACTGGTCTCGAACTCCTGACCTCAAGCATCTGCCTGCCTCAGCTTCCCAAAGTGCTGGGATTACAGGCATGAGCCACAGTGCCTGGCCTGGCATTGACTTTTTCTGTCTAGCTATGAAAGTCCTAGATGACATCTTCTTCCAATAGAAGGCTGCTTCATCAACACTGAAAATCTGTAGTTTAGTGTAGCCACCTTAATTCATTATCTTAGATAGATCTGGATAACTTGCTACTTCTCCACCCAGCACTTGTTGCTTCACTTTGTACTTTTAGGTTATGGAGACAGCTTCTTTGCTTAAACCTTATGAACCAACCTCTGCTAGCTTCCAACTTTCCTTCTGCAGCTTCCTCACCTCTCTCAGCCTTCACAGAATCGAAGAGTGTTAGGGCCTCTCTCTGGATTAGGACTATGCTTTAAGGGAGTATTGTATCTGGTTTGATCTTCTATCCAGACCCCTAAAGTTTTCTCCATATCGCCATTAAGGCTGCTTTGTTTTTTTTTATGATTCATGTGTTCATTGGAGTAGCACTTTTAATTTCCTTCAAGAACTTTTCCTTTGTTTAGACATCTTGGCTAACTGGTGCAAATGGCCTAGCTTTTGGCCTGCCTCAGCTTTCTTTTTTGTTTTTTTTTTTTGTTTGTTTTTTGAGACAGAGTCTTGCCCTGTTGCCCAGGCTGGAGTGCAATGGCTCGATCTCAGCTCACTGCAAACTCCGCTTTCCGGGTTCAAACGATTCTCCTGCCTCAGCCTCCCGAGTAGCTGGGATTACAGGCACATGCCACCATGCCCAGTTTTTGTTTGTTTGTTTGTTTTTAGTAGAGACAGGGTTTTACCATGTTGCCAGGCTGGTCTGGAACTCCTGACCTCGTGATCCGCCCGCCTTGGCCTCCCAAAGTGCTGGGATTACATGCGTGAGCCACTGCGCCCAGCCTGGCCTGTCTCACCTTTCAACATGCCTTCCTCACTAAGCTTATTTCTAGCTTTTGGTTGAAAGTGAGAGATGTGTGACTCCTCGTTTCACTTGAACACTTAGAGACCATTGTAGGGTTACTAACTGGCCTAATTTCAATATTGTTGTCTCAGGGAATAAGGAGGCCTGAGGAGAGGGAGAGAGGGTGAAAGAGATGGGGGAAAGGCTGGGTAGGGCAGACAGACCACACTACATTTATCAGTTAAGTTCACCCTCTTTTATGGGTGCAATTCATGGCACCCCAAAACAATTACAATAGTAGCATCAGAGATCTCTGATAAAAGCTGGGTGTAGTGACTGGTACCTGTAGTGCCAGCTACTCAGGAGGCTGAAATGGGAGGATCACTTGAGGCCAGGAGTTCAAGACCAGCCTGGGTGATACAGTGAAACCACGTCTCTTAAAAAAAAAGAGAAGAGATCACAGGTCATCATAACAGATATAATAATGAAAAAGTTTGAAATACTGTGAGAATTGATAAAATGTGACACAGAGACACGAGGTGAGCACATGCTTTTGGGAAAATGGCACCAATAGAATTGCTTAGTGCAGGGTTGCCGTTAGCCTTTGATTTATAAAATGCACAATATCTGAGAAGTGCAATAAATAGCAAAGCACAATAAAATGAGTTGCCCTTGTAAATTTTTCATGTTCAAATTGCTGATGTGATTTTTGTCTCCTGTTAGTCAACAAAGCCAAAAACGGGTTCTTTGAAAACATTAATAAAATTGATAAACTCTTAATACTGATTCGGACAAAAAAGAAAGAAAATACAAGTTACCTATATCAGGAATAAGAAAGAGGACATCACTAGAGATTCTCCAGACTTTAAAAGCATAGTAAAGAATATCGTAAACACTATACTGTCAATAAATTATATATCTGAGATGAAAAAATTTCTTGAAAGGTATAATTTACTAGAACTCTCATAAGAAGAAAAAGAAAACCTGAATAGCCCTATATCTCTTAAATAAATTGAATTTGTAATTAAAAACCTTCCCATAAACAAACTTCAAGCCCTTAGATGGCTTTATTTTGAGTTATATCACACATTTAAGAAGGAAGTATTTCCTTCTTAAATTAAACTCTTTCAGAAAACAAGATTGAGATTACTTCCCAACTCATTTTATGAGGACAGCATAACCCTGATACCACAACCTGACAAGGAAAGTTTGAGAAAAAATTAAAAGTATAGCCAAGTGTCCCCCATAAACAAAGACTCAGAAATCACTAAATTGAATCTAGCAATATTTTTTATTTAAAAAAAGTTTTTTTTGTAAAGACACTATGTGGTCTCATTATATTTACCTAGGCTGAGCTCGAACTCCTGTGCTCAAGCCATCCTCCCATGTTGACTTCCCAAAGTGCTGGAATTACAGGTATGAGCCACCGTACCGGACCGTGAACCTGGAGATATAGAGATTTTATATATATATATATATATATATATATATATATATATATGTTTTTTTGTTTTTTTGTTTTTTCTGAGATGGAGTCTTGCTCTGTCGCCCAGGCTGGAGTGCAGTGGTACAACCTTGGCTCACTGCAACGTCTACCTCCCGGGTTCAAGCAATTCTCCTGCCTCAGCCTCCTGAGTAGCTGGAATTACAGGCACCCACCACCACGTCTGGCTAATTGTTGTATCTTTATTGGAGACGGGGTTTCACCATGTTGCCCAGAGTGGTCTCAAACTCCTGAGCTCAGGCTATCCGCCTGCCTCAGCCTCCCAAAGAGCTCACTGGTGTGAGCCACCGTGCCCAGCCTGCAATATTTTAAAATACTGCTACTTCAGGATCAAGTGGGGTTTATCTCATGAATACAAAGTTGGTTGAGCATTAAAAAAATCAATTAATATAACCTACTGGGTTAATAGGATAAAGGAAAAGAGAAATTATCTTAACAAATGAAGAGAACGCATCTGACATAATTCAACACCCGTGTATACTTTTTAAAAAGGTCTTTTAGCTAACTAGAAATTCTTTAAAGTGCTATATTAGTTTGTTCTCACACTGCAAATAAAGACATACCTGAGACTGGGTAATTTATAAAGGAAAGAGATGTAATTGACTCACAGTTTCACGTGACTGGGGAGGCCTCACAATCCTAGTGGAAGATGGAGGAGCAAAGGCACATGTTACATGGCAGCTGGCAAGAGAGCATGGGTAGGGGAACTGCCCTTTAAAAAAACCATCAGACCTTGTGAGACTTATTCACTATCATGAGAACAGCACGGGCGAAACCCACCCCCATGATTCAGTTACCTCCCACTGGGTCCCTCCCATGACATGTGGGGATTATGGGAGCTGCAATTCAAAATGAGATTTGGGTGGGGACACAGCCAAACCATATCAAGTGCTAAATAGCAATTTGATAAAGGAAGTCTACAAAAAAACATAAAATCTTACTTAAAGGTGAAACACTGAATGCTTTCTACCCAAGATAGGAAAAAACAAGGATATTTGCTTTTACAAATTACTTGAAGTCTAGCCAGTGCAGTCATGGAAGACAGAGTGTGGATTATTAGCTTACCACCTCATACCCCATCCCCGTATTCTTTATCATAGCATTTTTTTCCCTAATAGTTACGTATTCAGTAATTTACCTCTGTATTGCCACTCTTTCTCAATAAGCTCCAGGAGAGGGGCATCTAGCATAATATCTGTCATATAATTAGAATTATAATAAATACTTAGTGTATTACTGAATGCATTTAATTTTGGGAAACTTTCTCTTCCCTAGATTTTCATTTTTCTTTTGGAGAGATGTTCACTAATTTATCCCCAGGGAAGGAAAAGTGAATGATCTCATTGGTGAGTTTAGGAGAAGGAGCTGGGCTAGTTTAGCTGAGACGGTTCCTTTTCTTTTAGTTGTAGAGAGCACACGTTATATTCTCCTCTTCTATGTGATACGTTTTATAGGGAAAGCCCACACTGCGGGAGGTGCTGCTTATGATTGAGTAGGTAAATCTGTTTGATTCAACAGTGAAATAGTATTAGCAAGTTTACCTGCCCTGAAACCTGGTATGTTTTCTACAATTCAGCTTTGCTAATAATATGGCTGATATTTTTATCTTTAGCCCCCTGGCTTACGTGACTGAACTCAAGAAGGAAAAGGGGCAGGAAGTGTTATTTATTGACTCACTTCAGTATTTACTAAGATTTAAAATAATGTTTTTCAAAAAACAGTGCTAAATTGCACTAGGCACATTGGCTCTCGTCTGTAATCCCAGCACGTTGGGAGGCTGAGGAAGGAGGATCTCTTGAGGGCAGGATTTTGAGACTAGCTTGGGCAATACAGTGAGACCCTGTCTTTACGAAAAAAAATTAAGTTAGCTGGTTATGGTGGTGCATGCCTGTAGTCCTAGCTACTCGGGAGGTTGAGGTGGGAGAATTGCTCAAGTCCTGGAGTCTGAGGTTGCAATGAGCTATGATTGCACCATTGCACTCCAGCTTGGGCAACAGAGTGGGAGCCTAACTCTTAAAAAAAAAAAAAAAGAAGAAAAAGAGTTCCTGTCATTCATTGAGGGCTTGCTATGCATTGTGCTCTGTCCTAAACACTCTATATGCATTATGTTATTTAATTCTTTAGCAACCCAATAATATGGTTAATTTTTTCACATCACTGTAGCAAATACTTACATAGGGTTTATTACGTGCTAGGCACTCTCTCTGCACCTTACTTACTCTACCCATTTTATAGACTAGGAAACAGGCATGGAGAGTTTAGCAGTTTGCCTAAGTAGTTGAGCCAGTCTTTGAACTTAGGAAGTCTAACTTGTTAGATCCTGTGTTTTTAAACTATTCTATACTACCTCACTATAAAACAAAGAAATAGAATGCTTTTCTATTCTCATCTTAGTTTTATTTTTAAATTTCAAAAATAGCAAGTTCGTACTAACAAATCTGAGCAATGCAGCAGAATGTAAAAGTTATCTTATTTACATGCTCAAATTCTATTCCTCAAAGTCAACAGCCCTTAATTTCTTGATGTGCACTTTTCAGGACTTTTAAGAAAGGAAAAAATTTTTAATGAGATACTATTTTTTTCCTAATAGTTTAGCAGACATTTAAAAACAATTACTGGCTGGGCATGGTGGCTCACGCCTGTAATCCCAGCACTTTGGGAGGCCGAGGTAGATGGAGGTCAGGAATTTGAGACCAGCCTGGCCAAAATGGCAAAATGCCTTCTCTACTGAAAATACAAAAATTAGCTAGTTGTGGTGGTATGTGCCTTTAATCCCAGCTACTCGGGAGGCTGAGGCAGGAGAATCGCTTGAACCTGGGAGGTGGAGGTTGCAGTGAGCCAAGATCATGCCACTGCACTTCAGCCACTGCACTTCAGCCTGGGTGACAAAGTGAGATGTCATCTAAAAAAAAAAAAAAAAAAGATTACTAATACATATTATTGGCAAGTGTGTGGAGATCAAGCCTTAGGTGCACTGCTGATGGGAATATAAATTTGTACAGTCTTTCTGGTACATAATTTGACAGCCTATCAGAATTTTGAATGTGCTTATCTTTGATCCATCAGTTGTTTTTCAAGGGATTATTTCTAGGAAAAAATTGGATAAATACCCTATAATTTGTAAGATGTGTGCATAAAGGTAAAGATATATACTGTAAAGTTTATAATAGCAATTTTTTTTTTTTGAGATGGAGCCTCGCTCCTGTCGCTCAGTCTGGAGTGCAGTGGCACACTGCAACCTCCACCTCCCGGGTTCAAGTGATTCTACTTCCTCAGCCTCCCGAGTAGCTGGAATTACAAGCATGTGCCACCATACCCAGCTAATGATTTTATTTTTAGTAGAGACGGGGTTTCACCATGCTGGCCAGGCTGGTCTTGAACTCCTGACCTCAGGTGATCCACCCACCCCAGCCTCCCAGAGTGCTAGGATTACAGGCATGAGCCACCGCACGCCGCCTAGAATAGCAATTTTTTTAAACCCACCATTGGAATAGCCCTTGTCTAATCTGGAGGTGTTTGGTGAATTATAGTATGTTACCATATAGGCAGTTAAATAATGGTAGAATTTTTTCTTTATGAGATAAATCAGAATAGACTTAGAATAAAAAAAAAACTTTCTCCTTAAGAAAAATCAATTCCTTTAAGTCACAGTTTCCTCATTTAAAATCAGTATAAGGAGATGTACAGAACTTATTAACATAGCTCCTGATAATAAGTAACTGCTATTATTATTACCATCTCCAAATTTTTCAGTTAACGTTTTTTAGTAATCAGAAAGAAAATATTTACATACACACACACACACGACCTCAGCCAGGCAGCTTATACCATATCAATATCAAAGGTTAGTTAAAGACCAGTTCTTAGACTCAACAGACATAAATTCAGGTGGTCTGGCTTTCTGTGAACTCTGGCAGGTCCCTAAGTTTTAAAAATAAACTTATCTCCAAAATGGAAATACTAACCAAAGTGCCAAACTCTGAGTGTTGTTTTGAGGCTCAAATGAAATAATGTAAGTATGAGTAATTTGAAAAAGTAAAGTGCTCTACAAACACATTTAGTATAAGAGCTGGTTTTAAGCATATTGCTTTGCTAGATTGTTGCCTAGCATAATGCCTAGAATCTAATGGGTTATGCATTCATTACTTATGTATTTTTTAATTGATAAATTGTTTACTTTTTCCTGCATATTCAAAGTTTGATTTATGTATAATCCTTTGATATGTAGATTTTCAGCTTTTTCACTTTTCGTTATAATAGAAAAAATAACTATTACAATTGGTGTACATTGTTCCCCTTTCTCTTACTTTAGGAATGGAACATTACTAAACTTTCAATTGAGTATGATTCTGAGCCCTTTGGAAAGGAACGAGACGCAGCTATTAAGAAACTGGCAACTGAAGCTGGAGTAGAAGTCATTGTAAGAATTTCACATACATTATATGACCTAGACAAGTGAGTCCTTTTTTTTTTTTTACTGTGGGAAAATGCGTATAACATAATATTTACCATCTTAACCATTTTTAAGTATATAGTTCGGTGGTATTAACTACATAGATAAGTTTTTAACTGAGGTTTATAAAGTAGAAATAACATGTACTTCACAGAGTTATGGGAGAATTAAGTGAACATATGTCAAATCCTTAGCATTTTATTTAGCTGCTATTGACCCAATGACAGGTATCAGCATTTCAGTTTCAAAACTATTATGGATTAAGACTATTACAGAATTTTCCTTGACTACTCTTAACTCAGCCTCCTGTGGTCTTGCCTTTCTGGGCTCTTAGCATTATCAATTTTATAGTTATATATAGTTATAAATTGCCTTGACATATTTTGTATGCTTGTTTAATGTTATCTTATTTCATGTATATCTATTATGTCTGTCTGGATTTTAAATCCAGATGCAAATTGGATGTAATATAACATTGCATAGCTGTAGTCCTCTGAACAATGGCATAATAGAATATTTCCCAAAGTGTATTTCTTCCAGCACCAGTCCTTGGTGATGCTTTGTCCCACAGAAATTCTGTGGTCAAACTTAAATTTAGGGAGTGTTATATGCTATGAGTCTTAGAGGTCTGTAAAACTTAACTTTTTAAAACTTTTGGCATACCATTGTCCTTTTAAGTACTGAAATCTTATAATTTATTTACCTTTTAAATCATTTTACTTTTTTAGTAATTTATGTATTTTATCAAGTTAGTAAAACAAATTCTGTAACATGACAAACTAGTTGATTTGATTTCACATTTTAAATGTATCAAAAAATCATGATTTGATTCAGACAAAGGTCTTGATACTAAGCTAGAATTCATATATCTTTTAATAATAATCTTGCCTTCGAGCTCACCAATTTGCTTAACTTTAAGGAGCTCATAGCAAGGAGGGGGCAACACAGGATAAAAGCAGTTGCTTCTAAGTGGGAGACTCAGTGTTATGCATAAAATTGTTTAGGCTAGGCGCGATGGCTCACACCTGTAATCCCAGCACTTTGGGAGGCCGAGGCAGATGGATCACGAGGTCAGGAGTTCAAGACCAGCCTGGCCAAAATGGTGAAACCCTCATCTCTACTAAAAATACAAAAATTAGCCAGGCATAGTGGCGGGTGCCTGTAATCCAGCTACTTGGGAGGCTGAGGGAGGAGAATCACTTGAACCCGGGAGGCAGACGTTGCAGTGAGCCAAGATAGCACCACTGCATTCCAGCCTGGGCAATAGAGCAAGACTCTGTCTCAAAAAAAAAAAAAAAAATCAAGTGTTTATTGGATTGAATGTGAATATTTACTATATGTAATCTATCATATTAAAATGTAACATATAGAAAATGTTTTGTCCTAAGATTCTCATTTTGCTACTGTTGTGTAATTAACAATGTCCTCAGTAGTATTATTGTAGCATCATTACATTCAGCAAAATTCATTGCAACCCTATGAATAAATTCAAAATACACCAAAACAAAATTTACTTAAACAGGATATCTTTTATGGTGATTGCTTTCTGTATTACTTTCTGTATGTATCTGTAGTTGATACATCACTACGTATTGTATAATGAAAAATACACTAAAATACACTAAGAAAACCTTGATTTGCCGTTTATCAGTTATATGACCTTGACTAGTTTACTTAACTCTCCTGGTAGGCCTGTTTTCACATCTATAAAATGATGGAGTTGGATTTCACCTGTCATTTTTTATTAAGGCCAAATGCTAAGCAAATGGCCATAGTGAAAAAGAGTAGTTATTCCAAAAGAGTGTCTAAACTTAATCTTTAACTACCATTGGCAAAGCTAGTTATTTTTTTAATTAATAATTGATTGAGTTAATTAATGATCAGAAGTAAAAAGATACTTAAATTTAAATAACTTGAAATTTGGGGGCTTATGTGTTCTAAGTATGTGACATAGATACATATGCTGACATCTCTCATGCCTTCATTAGCACAATAGAAAATAGGAAGTAATTGTCACCACAGTAATATAGAATCAAAATTTATAAAATTTGCTGAAGGAAATAGGGTAATTGTTTTAGTCTGTTTTCACGATGCTGATAAAGACATACCCGAGACTGGGCAATTTACAAAAGAAAGATTTAATGGACTTACAATTCCACACGGCTCAGAAGGCCTCACAATCATGGTGGAAGGCAAGGAGGAGCAAGTCATGTCTTACATGGATGACAGCAGGCAAGGAGGGATCTTGTGCAGGGTAACTCCCCCTTTTAAAAACCATCAGATCTTGTGAGACTTACTCACTATCATGAGAACAGCACGGGAAAGACCTGCCCCCATGATTCAGTTACCTCCCACAGGGTCCCTCCCATGATGTGGGAATTGTGGGAGTTACAACTCAAGATGAGATTTTGGTGGGGGCACAGCCAAACCATATCAGGAATGTAGGTCCAAGGATACAAAGTAGAAGTTATGTAAGATGAACAACACTAGAGGTCTAGTGTACAGAGTAAGGATTTTAGTTAATAAAATTGTATTTTATTTGGAATTTTAATCAAATAAGTAGATTTTAGCTGCTTTTGTCACACACATACAAAAAAGTAACTGAGATTATAAATATGTTAATCTGCTTCACTATAGTAACCATTTTACTATCTACATGTATCCCATAATGTGTTGTAAACTCAAATATATACAATAAAATTTATTTTTCCTAAATGAGACCTGCTGATTACTCTTTCATATAATTATCAACCTGGTTTAGTTTTTATTGATGATTGAGATTCTTTGAGCTGGGCCATAACATGTTTTTCATATGTCTGTGTGTATTAACTTTTTGTAATTGCCTTTAGACTAATTTCCCCTCTTACTTGTTTTTTCCTCTCATAAGTTTTTAATATTCTTTGTCTTAAAGGTTTAATATTTGTGTAGTATATTTGTGTAGTATATTTGATACCCAGAGGATGTCTAGAAGCTCAGGAGAATGATTTTTGGACTCATTAATCATTTTGGACACATTTCTTGGTCATTATAACAAGCTAACACCCTCAAAGACTTCAGTGATTAATTTTATTTTCTGCTTTTTAAGCCTTTTGGGAGCTTATTAGCCAAAATGTATTGTCTTTTTTAATACTAACTACATTTTACTAACTCTTGTTATAGGATCATAGAACTCAATGGTGGACAACCGCCTCTAACTTATAAAAGATTCCAGACTCTCATCAGCAAAATGGAACCACTAGAGATACCAGTAGAGACAATTACTTCAGAAGTGATAGAAAAGTGCACAACTCCTCTGTCTGATGACCATGATGAGAAATATGGAGTCCCTTCACTGGAAGAGCTAGGTGAGTGTAAACTGTAGTCAGTGTGAGGCTTGCAAGTTAATAAATCATAAATTACTCAGAAAATTCCCCTTTTAATTTTGCCATGTAAAGTATTTTGCATTAGGAGAGAAAGAAAGGGCAGGGGGAGAAGAAAAAGAACCCTTTAAGAAGTGATATGTTTGTTCATCATTTATGTGTTTTATAAATATGTGATCTATTGTTACCACCTTAAGATGTACATCCTGAAAAATTGAAACCATGTCATATCCTCTATAGGTGAGGGCTTATTTAGGCCTTCAGTTCATTTTTATGGTACTCTCTTAATTTTTCTGCAAAGTAATTTGTTCTCCCAGTTATTGGGGTTAAATAAAAATTAGTTTCGGAAGAATGATGTTTTTTTCTTTTCTTTCTTGTAGGTTTTGATACAGATGGCTTATCCTCTGCAGTGTGGCCAGGTGGAGAAACTGAAGCACTTACTCGTTTGGAAAGGCATTTGGAAAGAAAAGTATGATAATGTAGATTATATAGCTATGCTTGTATTTCCAAACTGCCATTTAAAAAATAATTTTTCTCTCTTTTAAAAATAACAAATAGATTGTTGAAAGGGGAGGATTAACAGAAATGGTTAAAATAGCACAAACCTAATTGTTTGAAAGTTAACTACCATCTCCTCATTTAAATGCTCTTTCTCCTTCTCTTCTAATTATTTCCCCTTTAGCTACTACCGCACTACCTCTTCTGTTCTTTCTACCTAAGCTAGTATCTAGTGGCCACAATTTCGAAACTAGAATAGAATTATATTTCACCTTTACCTTTGTGTTAAAGAGAGGTTGAAAGCCAGGCATGGTGGCTTACGCCTGTAATCCCAGCACTTTGGGAGGCTGACGCAGGTGGATCACTTGAGGTCAGGAGTTCAAGACCAGCCTGGCCAACATGGCAAAACCCCCATCTTTACTAAAAATACAAAAGTTAGCCAGGGTGGTGGTGTGTGCCTTTAATTCCAGCTACTTGGGATGCTGAGGCATGAGAATTGTTTGAACCCAGGAGGCAGAAGTCGCAGTAAGCCAAGATCGTACCACTGTACTCCAGCCTGGGTGATGGAGTGAGACTCCATCTCAAAATAAATAAATAAATTTTCCAGGCCTGGTGGCTCATACCTGTAATCCCAACACTTTGGGAGGCTGAGGTGGGCAGATCATTTGGGGTCAGGAGTTTGAGACCAGCCTGGCCAACATGGTGAAATCCCATCCCTACTAAAAATACAAAAATTAGCCGGGCGTGGTGGCGCATGCCTGTAGTCGCAGCTACTCAGGAGGCTGAGGCAAGAGAATCCTCCACCCGGGAGCTGGAGGTTGCAGTGAGCCGAGATTGAGCCACTGCACTCCAGCCTGGGTGACAGAGCGAGACCCTGTCTCAGGAAAAAAAAAAAAGAGAGAGAGATTGAAGGTGCTCTCAGCTTTCTGTTGGAAATTTGAAGGAAATTTATTTCACATGAGTATGTGCTGCACAAGGACGACTGAAACAAAAGAATGCTCACTTTTTTATCCTGTCTTATTTTTTATTAAAACATGTAATTTGTGGCTAGGATAAGATTTTATTCCCCAAGAACTATGTAACTTTAAAAAAAAAAATCTCCATTCTGAGTGTTCTTTTAAAATGAAAAAGACAATTAGTTAATATAATTTTCTCTGTGTGTTTTCAGGCTTGGGTGGCAAATTTTGAAAGACCTCGAATGAATGCGAATTCTCTGCTTGCAAGCCCTACTGGACTTAGTCCTTATCTCCGATTTGGTTGTTTGTCATGTCGACTGTTTTACTTCAAACTAACAGATCTCTACAAAAAGGTATTCTCTAAAATTAGAGCTTATTGTTTAATACTTTAAAAAAAAATTCTGATAATACTTCTTTGCTTTTTAACCATAGGTAAAGAAGAACAGTTCCCCTCCCCTTTCCCTTTATGGGCAACTGTTATGGCGTGAATTTTTCTATACAGCAGCAACAAATAATCCACGCTTTGATAAAATGGAAGGAAACCCTATCTGTGTTCAGATTCCTTGGGATAAAAATCCTGAGGCTTTAGCCAAATGGGCGGAAGGCCGGACAGGCTTTCCATGGATTGATGCCATCATGACACAGCTTCGTCAGGAGGGTTGGATTCATCATCTAGCCAGGCATGCAGTTGCTTGCTTCCTGACACGAGGGGACCTGTGGATTAGTTGGGAAGAAGGAATGAAGGTAAGTGTTCTAACTGATATAGCATGCCTTATTTTGAAGGAATCCTTACCTTAATAAAACAAATCCTAGAAGTTGTCTGTTTATAGATTCATTTATGGTGTAGTTTTTCAGTGGATAAAACATTTAATTCCCCAAATACGGGGACACTTTCAGAGAAAAATGGTATAATCAGACAAGCAAAAAGGTGAAAACTGGTTAAATTGATTAACCTAAAGTCATTTTAATGGTTAAACCAGCCTAGCCACTAAGAGAACTGTAAAATTTAACACTGAATTTGTTGATAGATATATTTATAGGTGATATTTCTATCACGAAAAGAATTCACTAAAGAGTTCCTAGAGATAGTGAATTCATATTATAAATTTTAAAATATAAATCATTTCACCTCACTTCTCAGCTTTTTAGTAATACTTCTATTATGTAAAGAGAAGCATACTACATTTTGTGACGACATCTTGTGGATTACACGTAATAAGACTTAGGTACTTTTTTTTTTTTTTTTTTTTTGAGACGGAGTCTCTCACTCTGTAGCCCAGGCCGGGGTGCAATGACGTGATCTCAGCTCACTGCAACCTACGCCTTCCAGGTTCAAGTGATTCTCCTGCCTCAACCTCCCGAGTAGCTGGGATTACAGGTGCCCACCACTGTGCCCAGCTAATTTTGCATTTTTAGTAGAGAGAGGGTTTTACCATATTGCCCAGGCTGGTCTTGAACTCCTGACCTCAAATGATCCCCCTGCCTCAGCCTCCCAAAGTGCTGGGATTACACGCATGAGCCACCGTGCCCGGCCATTACGTACATTTTTTACCTTTCTGGCAATACCATACATTTGCCCCATCCAAGGACCATTTCTGAGCTTGTGTGTGTGTGTGTGTGTGTGTGTGTGTGTGTTTAATCTCTTATATTTCCTAGTACACCGTTGTATACAAAGACAATATATAACATACTTAATGAATATATATAAAAATCATTTATTTTAATTCTATTTTCTTTCTGATCAAGGAATTCGAAATTAAACTATGTAATGCTAGTATATATTTTTAAGTGAATTTATATTTGAGTATGCTTCCTTTATTTAGGCTAGAATATGAAGCTAAGTTTTTGTTGGTGTTTTATGTAATAGCATTTTTGCTTTCTTGAAAGTGGTTGACTGCTTTTCCTGTGTCTACTAATAATATCCTTTTAAATCCACATCCTTTTAAATCAGTGATTTGAATATTTTTTTTACCTTCCATTCTCCCAGTAACACTGCAGAGGTTGGAAAAGTAAATTCTCTTCAGAAGCATACTATATTACCACTATGTTTCTTTCTCTGGAAGAGCTCATTATAGAACAGAACATAGGGAAGCTAACTTTGGAATGTTTAATTTTACAATTCTGTGCTAGATTTTCTTTGCCTTGACTTTGGCTCTACTGTGACCTTGAAAATGCTTGCTTTGCGAATTATGTGTGTGCAAACTAATTGGTTACTGTTACTTCTGAAGGTATTTGAAGAATTATTGCTTGATGCAGATTGGAGCATAAATGCTGGAAGTTGGATGTGGCTGTCTTGTAGTTCCTTTTTTCAACAGTTTTTTCACTGCTATTGCCCTGTTGGTTTTGGTAGGAGAACAGATCCCAATGGAGACTATATCAGGTAAATCAAGGGTGATTACTACTCAGTTTGGAATAGTTAATTCAAGAAGAGCTTTTCATGTTTAATCAATGCTTAAAGTATTCCCCACTCATGATGGGCAGCAGAGATGAGAAGGGTAAACAGATCATTTAAATGGTCTTGATTTGATTTTGGTCTGTCATAGCTAGTAGTTATAGTTTGCTTAGAGTGCATTTTATTAGTAATCTTTCTTTTTTCTCCCAAAGGCGTTATTTGCCTGTCCTAAGAGGCTTCCCTGCAAAATATATCTATGATCCCTGGAATGCACCAGAAGGTATCCAAAAGGTAGCCAAATGTTTGATAGGAGTTAATTATCCTAAACCAATGGTGAACCATGCTGAGGCAAGCCGTTTGAATATCGAAAGGATGAAACAGATCTATCAGCAGCTTTCACGATATAGAGGACTAGGTATGTTAAGAACTGTCTTTGTTTCTTTGGCAGCTGTTTATGTACTTATCTTTGAATTTTATCTTGATCATAATTTAAAAGAAAATTTTTTTGTCCTTTAGGTCTTCTGGCATCAGTACCTTCTAATCCTAATGGGAATGGAGGCTTCATGGGATATTCTGCAGAAAATATCCCAGGTTGTAGCAGCAGTGGAAGTAAGTGAAAAGGAAATTTCTGCACTTAGTAACATGAAGAGGTTATTAAACAAATATATTTGTTATTGATCCTCACTAACATATTTTATAAAAATCTGTCTTTGAAATTAGCTTAATAGATTCTTTGTATGCATGCATACATGTGCACCCAGACACATCTCTTCACTCCATTGATGACATTTTAGAGATGGAAAATATCATTACGTATAATAGATACTGGGTCAAGTTAAAGCTCTTGCAAACTGAGGAGAGCAATTTTAAGGATAAAATGAAACTCAAATGTCATATTTTCAGAATGCTTATTATTTTTTACTCCTTAGGTGTATGGCAACTATAAGGTAATTAGTTAAGAAAGTCAGTGGCCCTGTGAACATGGCCAAAAGATTTATTGTACACATGCATAGAGCCCTCTAGTCTTTTTGCACATAAGTTTTTCTTATAAAGTCTGGTCTGTAGTAGTTTTCTGTATGATACAAATTTAGTGACCATGTAAATTCTTATGTGTGATATTAATAATTTCAGGAACTCAGTATGTGTTAGAAATTTGAACCATCATATTAGTTTTTGGCTTTGACCAAAAATAGCATGAAGCTCAGTAATTTGATTAAAAAATAGGACAGCATCAGTGAGAATGGTGATTATTAAAAAGTCAAGAAACAACAGATGCTGGTGAGGATGCAGAGAAAAAGGAAGGCTTTTACATTGTTGATGGGATTGTAAATTAGTTCAACCATTGTGGAAGAGAGTGTGGTGATTCCTCAAAGATCTAGAAGCAGGAATACCATTTGACTGAGCAATCCCATTACTGGGTATATACCCAAAGGAATATAAATCATTCTGTTATAAAGATACATGCACACGTATGTTCATTGCAGCACTATTCACATTAGCAAAGACGTGGAATCAACCTAAATGCCAGTCGATGATAGACTAGATAAAGAAAATGTGGTACATATGTACCATGAAATACTATGCAGCCATAAAAAGGAACGAGATCATGTTCTTTGCAGGGACATGATGGAGCTTGTAGCCATTATCCTCAGCAAACTAAGGCAGGAACAGAAAACCAAACACCTCATGTTCTTGCTTGTAAGTGGAAGTAGAATGATGAGAACACATGGATACATGCGGAGAACAACACATACTGGGGCCAGGTGCAGTAGCTCACACTTGTAATCCCAGCACTTTGGGAGGCCGAGGTGGGTGGATCACCTGAGGTTGGGAGTTTGAGACCAGCCCCTGACCAACATGGAGAAACCCCCGTCTCTACTAAAAAGACAAAATTGGCCGGGCGTGGTAGCGCATGCCTGTAATCCCAGCTACTTGGGAGGCTGAGGCAGGAGAATCACTTGAACCCAGGAGGCAGAGGTTGTGGTGAGCTGAGATCGCGCCATTGCACTCCAGCCTGGATAACAAGAGCAAAACTCCATCTCAAAAACAAAAAACAACAAAACACACATGCTGGGGTCTGTTGGGGGGGCAGGGGCAGGGAGAGCATTAGGAAGAATAGCTAATGCATGCTGGTCTTAATACCTAGGTGATGGGTTGATCTGTGCAGCAAACCCCCATGGCACATGTTTGCCTATGTAACAAACCTGCACATCCTGCACATGTACCCCAGAACTTAAAATAAAAATTGAAGGGAAAAAAAAGAAAAAAGAAATCTATACATGTGATAAAAGAGCATAAAATCATACAAACACTTTGTATCAATGTCAATACCTGGTTATATTGTTGTACTGTAGTTTCATAAGATGTCACTAAGAAGATAGGGAAACAGGACCTCTTTGTACTAACTTTACAACTGTTTGTGAATCTATATTTTTCAAAATAAAAAAAACAGGATAAAAACAGGGTAGCATTTGAGGAATGCTTTTTTAAGTCAGATGTTCTAAGTTGATATTAAGAATAAAACCTTTTAAAAACTGAACCTTTTTGAATTCAGAAATGTCCTGCATCCTCATGAAAACAGCATGTATTTTATCCTCCAAGAATTAGTTTTGGGAGAAGGGGACAAAAGCACTCACATTTTGACTGCCTACCTTTGCCCAGTAGATAGTAAGGGATTTTTGCATACTTTCTCACAGTAACCTGGGGAGGAGGTAGTGGGATCCTCATTTTATATTTGGGGAAATAATCCTAGAAAGATTAGGTAACTTAACCAAGATCCCACAGTTAGTAAGTAGTTGAGCTAAGATTCAGATCCAAGTCTGACTAGCTCCAAAGCTTGTACTTCTTCCTGCATCATTGGGCCTCCTCTGCAAATGGAATGCCATAAGTGTTTACAAGAGAAAATATTTTATTCCTGGAATGTGATCCACCCAGCAGTCGACAGTTGCCAGTGATGGCAGTATACTTGAGAAATGTTCCTTCTCAGTATCTCCTACAATTTGAATAAACTTCCACAAGATAATCATTTCAAAAGTTCTTTCAGATCTCTTGTTCAGTTCACAGCCTGCCTTGTCAGCCCACACATGAGTGAGGGACAGAAGCTCTGTGAAGCACTAAGATAACAGGCAGGTAGCAATGGGCTAGGAACCAAGGGTTGGGCTAATACACAATGATGGCACAGACTGCTTCTTAGACCACTCAAACCTGTGTCGTTTATTTGGAATTATCTTCAAAAGCTAATCATAGTAGCAGGTTAAATTGGGACAATTTTGCTTCACAAATGTATATAGGGTAGTTTATTATATAATAGAAGAATTAATAAATCTTGAAATTATTTTAATCATGTAAATATTTGCCTGTAACATAGTTTGTAGCCAGCTTCTTGGAGGCTTTCAAAAGACATGAGACATGAAAAGCTAAGTAGAACTTAAGTATAAATGGGGGTGTGGAGGGAAAACAAAAACAAATGAAAAAGTGATAAATTATAAGATGCTGCCTCCATGTGCAATATGAGAAAAGGGAGAGATTATTGAGAGCTGAAGGGACTAGAGAAACTTTCTTGAAAGGTGGCAGGATTGAGTAGCATTTGGGTAGTCAGATGAAGGAAAAAAACATTTTAGACCTGGAAATGGGAAATTGTGAAAAGACACGGCTTGGGCTATGCTATTAATATTAAACATTTCTCCTCTCAGGTTTCTGCCCCATTTGAAAGGACTTAAATGCTTCTAAAGCATATCCTTTTATGCCTTACACTTATCCTGTCTGTAGGCTTTTATAGTACCTTACAAGGCATGTCAAAGGGCAAAATTCTTTTACTTGTCTTAGTTTTTTGTTTGTTTGTTTTTGTTTGTTTTTTTAATGACTGTGGAACATTCTTAATCTCTGCAACACAAATTGCATTTTTCTCTGCTCATCTTTGTATTTGTGTGTGTGTGCACATGTGCTCAGGAAAGGAATAAACTATACATAGAAGTCTTACTTTTGTTCTTATAATAAAACAGACTGTAATATGTTTACTACTGTAGCAATATGTTTTAGTTTTTATTTAACTTTTAGGTTTTTTTATTGTAAAATATCAGTTCATCGGCATTATTAGTCATTAGGGAAATGCAAATTAAAACAACTATGGGATAGTACTTCATACTCACTTAGGGTGAGCAACTGCCACTGATTGCCTGGGATTGAAGTTAATTAAAACGAAAGTAAGTGCACAGTCTTGTTCAGGCCATAAGGTGTTGACCTATCCACCTGCTCGTGGATAGGTCCAGAATGCTCATATTTTTCCATAAACTGGACACACTGACAGAAATGTTTCCCTAAAACATACTTCTCTGTTCTAGCCAACCTATTCTCCTATAATAGTGTTTGTTTTTAGAAGGGTTGATAGGATTGCTTAGGCTAGGTAACTGCCACATAGTCTGTGTCTTCTGCTTGTCGTATGATTTGAATTGTTTAACTCATCGGGCAGGCCCTTATTCCCTTATCCTCAAGGAAATATGTTTGGAGGAGCTCTGAAGGAAAAGCGTGGGAAAAGGGACAAGAGTGAGGGAGGAATGTCTATCTCACTCTTGCCCCTATGTTTTACCTTCATGGTCAAGTTTCAAATTGTCATCTAGTAAGGAAATGTTTTTTAGAAAATGATCATCAATGATTTTTCCTTTGAGCTGTCAACACTTCTGTGAGCCTAAATTTAAGTTTTCCTGGTTTGAGCATGTGATTTTTGGTTCATAGGAAGATTGAGATTTAGTCTTAAAAGCATATAAATGACCTTAAGTACAAGCGCTAAAAGTTGGATTTGTAGACTTAATAATACATACATCTTGGATTTGATTTTAAGTAATTTTACTGTGTTTTAAATACTAACAGGTTGCTCTCAAGGGAGTGGTATTTTACACTATGCTCATGGCGACAGTCAGCAAACTCACCTGTTGAAGCAAGGTAAGAATGAAGCATTGGAGCATACTGTTCTTTTTCCTTTTCCTATCTTAAACATACATTTTTTAAATGTGCAGGAAGAAGCTCCATGGGCACTGGTCTCAGTGGTGGGAAACGTCCTAGTCAGGAAGAGGACACACAGAGTATTGGTCCTAAAGTCCAGAGACAGAGCACTAATTAGGTAAATATTTTAGAGCTGTATTTCTTGCTTTAGAAGAGTATATAATTAACATAAATTAAGATAATTTCAAAAATGGAGCAAATCTCTATTTTCAAACCAGAAAATCTTGAGGCATTAATTTTTAAGCAATTTTTACAAACTCAGTTAATTTTTGGTCAAGAGACATGCATCTGTACTGGAGAAATTGTTGCACCAGTTTTATATTCATCTGAACCAATGCTCTTTAAATTAGAGATGTTTATGATTTTGTGGTCAAGTTTTTTCTTAGAAAAAGACAACTTTTTTATTTCCTTACTATGTAACTATGAGTCTAAAACAATTAAAGTGGCCTGTTTATTTTAGTGACATTAATATAATCTTTTTATGAACTTTCCCCTAAATCTTTGCCTCTTAAATGTTGATAAATTTCTTTTATCTGTTATGATGCTTCTAAAATCTAAATTATTTCCAATTTGGGAATAGTTCAAAATTTTTTAAAATGCTGGCCCTTATTAGAAGTATCAGAAAGCCTTGCCTGCATTCAATTTAATTGGATTTGGGATGTCATTTTGTGATTTAAATTAATATGAAAAATATTTATACGTTGGATTTGCCAGTTTTTAAAAATTTTCTGTTTCTTCAGTTTCTAACACTGTTTACATTTTTTATTGCTTAGTTTTTTTATGTCAACCTAATTAGACTATAAGTATCTTGAAGATAAGGTCAATAAACACTCATCACATTTTTGTCATTGAATTATTTGCAATCAAGCTTTACCTAGTTTTTTTTTCCCCCTTAAATCACAGAAAACATTCAGGAGGAATACTGTTGCAGCTGAAATTGGTGGGGAGTTCAATACTTTTCAATTAAGTTATTTAAAAATATTCTTCATTGATGGAAAGCAGTTACATATTGAAATATGTTGTTTCTAATGACATTTCTGTGGTTTTTAACTTTTTAATGAATTTCACAGAGGACAATTGGTAATTTGTATATAAAGAACTTGGCAAGAGAATTTGCTTAATGTAAATATAAACAGTCACAATTAGTATAGACCCATCGATATATTTTTGATAATTTTTCATGTATGGTAAAGTTAAAATGACAAATTGATATTCTGATATAAAACTCAAAGTTTTGAAGTCAGTGGGAAAAAAGGAGGTTTTTAGACTTTCTTAAAAGACGTTAAAATTTTAGGACAGAATTTTCTTGATGTTGTTTGATCTAACTTTGCACTCTTTGATAATAATGTTTTAGATAATGTGCGTAATCCAAATTGGTATTGTAGCCTCTGTTAACACAGACAGTATATGTTTTAAACTTTGATGTAAACCTTTTTAGACCCAAACTTGTGGAAGTATCATGTGTTAAGTTCTCTGTCTCTGTTTCTTTGTTCATTTATTACTAAAATGAACTTGTTATTAAAGTATATGCAAATATGAAATCTTGTGTACGTGTTTTTTTTTCTTTTTTGGTAAGGGAGAGAGTATTGCTGTATGATATATGATTACAAATTACAAAGAGATTCTATAAACCACATCATCATTTTGAAGGAACAGCTACCATATGTTTAGTTAAACAGTGTTTTTCAAAATTATATGCAAGAAAGAGGTAAAACTAAAGGGACTTTTTTCAAGTAATGGCATTTGTAACCATAAATCAGGCAGTATGGGCTAGCAATCAATAGAGTGAGCTCTCGAGTCAAATGCCCATTTCTGCCATTCATTAGCTTTGAGGTCTTGAGCAAGTTTAACCTTCTATGTCTTCTTTCTTCTTATCTATAAAATAGGGATGAGGGTAGTATCTGCTTTATAGTTCAGTTCCATGTAAAATACTTATGAGCTGGCATGTGATAGGGTACTCAGTGTTAGCCACAGGGCTGCCATGCTGTGTCACCCCCTGTCGTGTACAGTGCACAGTCTGCATAGCTGTATGCCACAGCTCTGGTTAGCTGCCATTATTTTTATTAGTATTGTTATTATCCCTTTAGTGTTCTCTAGTAGGTTAGTTCTTGCCATTCTGAATTATAACCAGTGGCTTTTCATTTTCCCATCATTAATCATGATAGATATTTAGTATGATAATTTAAAGATAACTGAAGATAAAAGTTGAGTAAAAATACAGAAACGATAACATTTTAGATGATATGCATTTTTAAAAATATCCTGGATAGTGAATTAACAATGATCAATAAATTCCATTACTGAGGCTAGGTGTGGTGGCTCACGCCTATAATCCCAGCACTTTTGGAGGCTGAGGTGGGAGGATCACTGAAGCCCAGGAGGTCAAGGCTGCAGTGAGCTATGATTGTGCCACTGTACTCCAGCCTGGGTGGACAGATCAAGACCTCATCTGAGCTGGGTGTGGTGGCTCATTGCCTGTAATCCCAGCACTTTGTGGGGTTGAGGCGGGAGGATCACTTAAAGCCAGGAGTTTGAGACCAGCCCTGGAGACTTAGCAAGACCCCATCTCTATTTTTAAAAAATCAATATAAAAATAAAAAAAAAGTAAAGAAGACCAGGCAGGGTGGCTCATGCCTATAATTCTAGCACTTTGGGAAACTGAAGTGAAGCAGGAGAATCACTTGAGGCATGAACCCAGGAGGCGGAGTTTGCAGTGAGCCGAGATCACATCACTGCACTCCAGCCTGGGCGACAGAGTGAGACTCTGTCTCAAAAAAAAAAAAATGATTAGCCTGAACAACATCTTGGGACCCCATCTCTACAAAAGGAAACAACAAAAATATTAGCCAGGTGTGGTGGTGTGCACTATGGTCCCAGCTACTTGGGAGGCTGAGGTGGGAGGATGGCTTGATCTAGGGGATTTGAGGCTGCAGTGAGCTATGATTGCACCACTGCACTCCAACCTGGATGACAGGGTGAGACCTTGTCTCGGGGATGGGGCGGCAGGTGGGAAATCCATTACCGAGAAAAAGAATAAGAAAAAATCCTGTGCTTTATCGTTCTTTTTTCACCACTGTTAAAGTGAAGTAATATTTTAATTGTTTTTTATGGTAAGTGTACCTCACATCCTACTCTTTGGACCTGGTTGTACAGTGCAGAGTTGAGAAATTCATAGACCTGAGATTTACCATCACCGTACAAGAGGTCATAGATTTCAGTTTTCTTGTTGTTATTTTGAGACAGAGTCTCACTCTGTCGCCCAGGCTGGAGTGCAGTGGCACGATCTCGGCTCACTGCGGCATCTGCCTCCTGGGTTCAAGCGATTCTCCTGCCTCAGCCTCCCGAGTAGTTGGGACTACAGGCGCGTGCCATCACGCCCGGCTAATTTTTTGTATTTTTTAGTAGAGACAGGGTTTCACCGTTAGCCAGAATGGTCGCGATCTCCTGACCTCATGATCCGCTGGCCTCGGCCTCCCAAAGTGCTGGGATTACAGGCATGAGCCACCGCGCACGGCCAAAGATTCAGTTTTAATGTGAATAAATAAACAGTAAAAGAACACTATCTCAGCATAAGCACTGGTATGCTATTTATAAATGTAAGAGGATTTTTTTTTTATTAGGGAGTTTTTTGGAAAGCTTTTTCAGTTTGGTGTAAATAGTGGTCAAAATGAATCACTGAAAGGGAAAGAAAAGGCATCAGTCATCATGCTCTACTTGAGCAGATACATGATGTTCGAATCAGTGTTCTCCCCTTAACTAGAAATCCTACTTGTGGTTAAGGGATTTAAGACATTTTACTCATTCAGCAAATACTTCTTCAATTCTTATTGCCAAAAACTGTACTGACAACTTGGGAAAATTATATTGAGAGAACCAGGGTTTTGAATGAACTGTACAAAGTCCTTATGTTTTTCATATTTGCTTAAAATAAATAAGTAAATTTGAGATATAAAAGTCTATCAGTATTTTTAATGCATCTCTTACATACTAGAAATTTCAGGATCTTCTCACAATTCAAATGTGTTTGTAATTTTCTTGTACATAATATGCATAATTGTAAGTTCTTTTCCCCTTTTCTTCATTCAAGGTTTTTTTTCTGATTATATGGTCCTAGAAATGCACTGTTTAAATATTTGGGCTGGAAAAAACTTTGAGTAGCATTTATTTAATACAGTTGGCATAGCTGATTTGTCAGTTTCAAGTTTTGATTACAATGCACGGGGTCATATGTATTGTAATTCCTTGCACAATTACGTGGAGCCCTAATACAAGCTTCCAGCACCCTGGTGCACATTTCTGCTCCCTCCCTCCTGACCAGTGATGGCAGCTTGCAGTTCTAAGTCCTGAGTTTACATTCCTTAACTTCCTTTTCTGTATCCTAATTTCCTTTTCCTAAGTGCAAATGACACACTTTGGTTAGTCTGGACCCCAAATCATTTTATTTCAGGAAAAAGTGTGCAATAAATCTATGCATAATAGAGTTTTTATATTCGGATAACTCAGGAGTTGCTGGACAAACACCCCCCAGCTGTACACATGAGTTGCTCAGATCATTCTAGAATATCCTAGAGATCAGAGGTGGGTGATCTTGAGGAGCCAGGATTCTTGCTGCTACTCAGTGGAGTTAAATGCACGTGTGAGCTCCTCTCAATATAGCCTGTTGAGCCTAAACTGCATAGTGAGACTAGACTCAAAGATTTAGTTAACATTTCCTGAGTTCCTACTGTGTGCCCAGCATTGTTGACAGAAAAAATAATCAGTAGCCTCAAGGAATTCACTCCACAGGGTGCGAGGGCAGTCTGTATGCCAGTGCCACCGACGGCAGAACTGTGCACAGTGTGCTACGAACACCTGACAGCAGACACCTCCAGCTGGGAAAACCAGTTTTCCTGACTCCAACTCCACACAAACAGAATCACCAGGCCCAGCTCAGGGCACCCTGTCCTCGATAACACTTAACTAGGTGTGATTAGTCACGTTATTAGTTGTTGATATCTCTGCCCTCCACTAGAATGTAAGCTCCATAAGGACAGGGAATGTGTTTTATTCCCCCTCTATTTTCTCATTGCTGTTTCAATATGCTTGGCACTTAGCAGGCCTGCCATAAATACTTGTTTTTTGGATGGATAAATGTGAAAATAAATGAGAGAGACATTCAGCCTGGCTTTAAGGAGAAATTAACGTGTTTAGTGTATGAGGTTGGGCATCACCGGTAATAATTAGAATGGAAACCACTTGGCAGTTTATCAGAAAAGGGGAGTATTTAGGTGAAGGTGGCAAGGAGGGAGAGAAAGGAGAATGGCTTTTAAAGACAGTCGCTAACTGCTGGGGTAGGGTGGGGGCGGGGAAGAGTTCAGATGTGTTTCAAAGAACTTTGGGGGTTTTTTAAACATTTCTTTTGTAAGTTGGTTCTTTACCTAACTGAATTATTTTGGGAACAGTGATTGGCTCTATCTTAAAGATATAGCGGTTTCTGTTACTTCTTTTTTTTCTTATATTTTCTAAGCGTCAAAGCTACTGGAACTCCGCTTCCTAAAATGCTGGGAAGGAAAGGGTGTGAAAATGCCAGATGCCCCCGCCAGCACAGGCTGGGCTGCCTGGAAAGCCGATTCCCACTCCGACTCGCCCTCGTGGTGCGGGGAGGGACGCGTAGTTGTGTCCCGCGCTCTGACTGGCTGCGTTGGGACGCGGGGGCGTGTCTTGGGGGGGCGGGGGTTGGCGGTCATCTCCCGAGCCCTGATTGGCCATGGGCGAAGGGACTGATGGCCTGGTTGGCGCTGCTGAGAACTGTCGGGAGCTTCTTGAGACCGAGGACCGAAATCCCGGCTCCAGGCCTCGGGGACTGCGGACTGTGGGGAGGCTGGCCGGAGAGAGAGGGAAGGACGGGGCCTGGCCCCCGGGACTCCCTGTGCCTTGCTTGGAGCTGACGCCGACGGGTGAGTCGCCCCCTTCCTCTGCTCCTGGGCGTGTTCCTCACCAGCGGCGCCGCAGCGGTCAGGGCCCGCAAAACCCCACGCCTCGCCAGACGCTCAGCTCAGCCTGCCGGGTTTCTCTGGAAAAGCGGAGGCCCCACAGTGAATGTGCGGCCTTTTGATCGGTCCTGGAGATCTTCCGTGGACCCTCGTTTTTCCTTGCTTATAAACGTTGGTCAATTTGAAACTGGCAGCAGGGCATATGTGTTACGAAAGAAGAACTTTATTGAAACCAGTGGTGGTGTAGAGAAGACCATACTAACCATAACTGTGTATTACAGAAGTGAATTTCACTCCCCAAAAATGCTTAAGAAACAAGCATCCTAGAACAGCCCACATTGTGATTTAACAAACATTTACCAAAAGCATTGCTATATGTGGGGGCACAGGGCTAAGAGCAGGCAGGACTCTGGAGCCAACCTGTGGGGTTTGAGTCCAAATTCTGCCGGTTTTTTGTTTTTTGTTTTTTTTTTTAGCTGAGTAACCTTGGGCAAGTTCCTTTACCTGCGTCTGTTTCCTCATTTTAAAATGAGTTGTTGTGATGATTTAATGATTTAGTATATGTGAAGAGTTTTCTGCATATTCTAAGTGATTTATGGTATTAACTCGTTTGATCTTTGCAGTCACCCAGGAGATAGTATCACCATTTTCCTGATGCCAAACTGAGGCTCAGAGAGGTGAAGTAACTTCTTCAAGTCACAACACAACTGTTGTCCAGGAATCAGGCAGTCTGGCTCTGCTAACCCAGTTTTACCCACTGCATTAATGTACCGCATCCACTTGTTCACTCAGTTTCACCTGACAAATACTAATTTTGTCTCTCTGTGGAACAAGTTCTTTGCTGGGTGCAGGGAATAAAGCAGAACACCGTTCAGTTCCTGCCTTCCCAACGCTTGTAAATCTAGTGCAGGTCATTCATGGCCGGGCTGCAGGGTGTCCATGAATCCTGCTAAAATCATTTGCGAAATGTTGTGAGCGTGGGTCTTTTCTTCTGGAAAGAGAGTCTGTGACTCTCAGGTTCTGAGTTGATCTGTGATCCAAACAGAGGTGTGAAGAAGTGTTGTTTTAGCAGATCTGTGCCTAGTATGCCTGATACACAGCTTGAACTTCAAACAAACAGCAACAAAATTCCTACTGGTTGGAAGAATGAAGAACTTGTAAGAGCATAATAAGTGCTGCAGTAGCGTCCGGAGCAGGGTGCTGTGGAAGAGCACACAGAAGGCCACCTGCCCAGGAATGCCTCCTAGAGGCAGTGAAGGCAGCTGGGTGAAGGATAGGGAAGCAGTTCATTGGAACACTGTGGTGACCAGTCTGTCCATGTAGTGTTGAGACAGAAACAACACGTGAACAGCTGCAGCTGTTGTACCACTTGTGCGCAAGTGTAAAAGTCCATGGTGCCATGAAATCATGTAATGGGGACAGGAGGCTTCATGTATTCGTGAAGGTTAGAAAAGTTTCCTTGAGAAAGTGACACTTAGGCCTAAAAGTTGGAGCATTTTGGGCATGGAATCTGGCCCACAGTCTTCAAAGACCACATGGTAGAAACCAGTAGAGCACCAGGGACTGACAGGAAGCA
This sequence comes from Homo sapiens, assembly GCF_000001405.40. Classification (NCBI taxonomy): domain Eukaryota; kingdom Metazoa; phylum Chordata; class Mammalia; order Primates; family Hominidae; genus Homo; species Homo sapiens. The sequence goes on along the minus strand of NC_000012.12, from coordinate 106,985,356 downwards.
AATGCAGCTGGTGCAGGAGAGGGAAATGGGAATTAGGGTGGTGGCAGAGCCCAAAGAGGCCTTGTAGGCCATGGTAAGGCATTTCTATGTTTTATTTTACTTTGTCTTTATCCTAAAATGCCATTGGCAAGTTTATTGCAGGGAACTGACAAGATCACATTTTGAGAAGAAGTTGGAAAGAATCCCAAGTGGATGAACTGAATATCTGGATGAGGACAAGATCTGTGGGGAGAGACTGTAAGGTAAGAAGAAGAGAGGTCTAGAACCAAGCCTTGAAGGTGAGCTTGTATGGGAGACAGATAGAGGGTGGCGAGAAGTATAGAAAGGGAGAAGAATCAAAAAAAGTCGAGTGTCCAGGAAGTCAAATGAGAGAATATTTCAAGGAGAAAGTGGTCAACTCTGCTAAAAGCTGCAGAAGTCAAAAGAGATAAGGAAGGCTGGGTGTGGTGGCTCATGGCTTGTATTAGTCCTTTTTCATGCTGCTGATAAAGACATAGCCAAGACTGGGCAATTTACAAAAGCAAGAGGTTTAATGGACTTACAGTGCCACGTGGTTGGGGAGACCTCACAATCATGGCGGAAGGTGAAAGGCACATCTCACATCGTGGCAGACAAGAAAAGAGTGAGAGCCAAGCGAAAGGGGTTTCCCCTTATAAAACCATCAGATCTCATGAGACTTATTCACTGTCATGAGAACAGTATGGGGGAAACCACCCCTATGATTTAATTATCTCCCACTGGGTTCCTCCCACAACACAAGGGAATTATGGGAGCTACAATTCAAGATGAGATTTGGGTGGGGACACAGCCAAACCACATCACGCCTGTAATCGACACTTTGGGATGCCAAGGTGGGCAGATCGCTTGAGCTCAGGAGTTCAAGAGCAGCCTGGAAATGTGGTGAAACCCCTTCTCTACAAAAAAAAGAGATAAGAATGAAAACTACTCATTGGCTGTAACCACATGAAAGTTATCTTTATCGCAAGCTATATAAGTAGAAGAGGAAATGGAGAGAAAGAAGGATCTGCAAGAATTAGCTGAGGTGAAGAGAAAGATAGGGTTTGGGCAGGGAAAAGAAGAGCAGTGGAGAGAGAGAGGGTTTGGGCAAGGACAGGAAGAGCAGTGGAGTGATGGCTGGAGCATCAGAGGAGGATACACCTGAAGGAGCAAACACTTGAGAAAGGGCTTGAGAGTTCTCAGGCCAGAGAGGCTGAGCTCAGCACAGGAGCAGGAATGACCCTGGATAATGAAAGCTGTGACTGGATAATGAAAGCTGTGAAGGGGAGCTAGTGATAGGTTTATGTCTGCTGAGAGGAGCTGCTCTCCTTTCTTTGTACAGATAGGAGGCAAGGGCACTGGTTGTGAGTGAAGGTGGGTATGGAGGTAGGTGGGAGGCCAGAGGTCTGAGTTGAGAAGATTTGAGATAGTTGGTGGGAAGTGTGGAAGAGTGAGTCAACCAGAGCTGGTTTGAGGATGGTCTGGCAGGGGGAGCCAAGTATGCAGCAAAGACCAGAAATGAGCCTCTTGGCCCCTTTGGGGAATTGCAAAGTAGGGGGATGAGGATGGAGGCAAATTAGAGACAAAAGCTACATTTAACATATGATAAAGGAGGCATCATAAGTCATGGGGAAGGAAAGGATTGTTCAGAAAATGGTACTTGGAGAGAAGTAAACTATTGATAAAATCTATTTAGATTCTCAGCTCACACCCAGAAATTTCAAATGAACTTAAGGAGCTAAGTTTTAAAGTTCAAACAAAAATATGGGAGGAAATAATGGATGAATTTTTACTGATCATCTGGTACTTAAAAGCAGTAAGGATCATCAAGGAAAACTTCCCTGACCTTCCTTTGACCACGTGAAATTAACTGCTTTGTTCTAACAGATACTGTAATATGAACTTTGATAACATTATGCTAAATGAAATAAGCCAGACACGAAAGACAAATATTATATGACCCCACATATAAAAAGTACCTAGAATAGGCAAATTCATAGAGACAGAAAGTAAAATAGAGGTAACTGGTGTCTGGAGGGAAGAGGGTATGGAGAGTTATTGTTTAATGGGCACAGAGACAGAGTTGGTGTTTGGGATAGTGGTCATGGTGGTACAACATTGTGACTATACTTTAAGCCACTGAATGGTACACTTGAAAATGGTTTAAATGGTAAATTTTTTGTTATTTATATCTTACTACAATTAAAAAAGGGGCTACTTTGGTATGCTAAAATATACCATCAACAACTGAAAATGAGCTGAAGAAAATATTTTCAAAAATGAGATTATATTTCTTAATTCATAGAGTTTATACAAGTCAATTTTTAAAAAGCAGAACGATTGCAGTTTTACAAGTCAGGAATGGTTGATTCACAAAAGGAAATAAAGATGAACGAAATAGTTTAATTATGAAAACATCACCCTTATAAATAATAAAAAGAAGTTAAATTAGTGTTGTATCATTTTTTACATATCAAAATAAAAACTGATGAGAGAATCACTCATACTGCCTGTGAGAATGTCAACTGAGATAGTTTTTCCTGACAGGAAATTTAGCAGCTTTGCTTTCCCAGTGTTCACGTATCTCCTCTTCAGTCAGGAAATCTATTTCTAGGAATTCATCCTAAAGGAAAAGCATATGAGATGTGGACATTTATTCAGCATATAGCAAAAATTACAAATAGCCTAAATGCTCAATATAAGGAATGAATTACAAAATAACAGTATATCCATCCCATATACCAAGCACTCAAATGTTTACAGAGCATTTTTAATACCACAGTTAGATACTTACTGTGAATAAAATAGAAGCAGAAAGATAAATTAGATACAAATATATGTATTATGTGTTCATTACATAGGAGTCACAACATTCATACTTTTCACTTCCATAGTCAGTTGTGTTTGCTCATCAGAGACTAAGCAAGGCAGATTAACTAGTAAAGACGACTCATCTGAACACATCACAGTTCATAACCAACTACTTCATCTGTGTGGTGTCTGCATAAGAGATTTTCAAGAAAAATTCTGAGTCTTTGTAATTTTCACTTTATAGGCTGAATTCAGAACCTCAGTACCATGTGTAGGGAAGGTAACACACAGGAGACCAGTAATACACTATCTTTCAGCAAGTCCAGCACAGCCAGGAGTTCCTGGGGTTTGGAACCCCAGGCTAAGCACTAGATGCTGCAGTTGGCTTGGTTGGGGGTTACATTATACAGAATGACGGATCATTAAACATTAGAAGGACATCGACCATGGCAAGGCACATCCACTGACAGAGGCTCCTGCACAGTGAGGCTAAGGGAACAGCAGCTGTCTGCATTTCCTGCTTACTCCAAGCTGAACTGTGATGTGTTCAGGTCACACATCATCATGTATGCCAAAATATGAACAGTTGTCTTCAGTGGTGGGGATTGTGAAAGACTTTTTCCATTTCCTTATACTTTCCAGAAGTTGGCAATTTTTCCACATTGAATGTGCATTGCTTTTATAAGCAGTTATTTTGGGAAACAGAAGCATTTAAAATCCATTTTTTAGGCCAGGCGTGGTGGCTCACACCTGTAATCCCAACATTTTGGGAGGCCGAGGCGGGTGGACTGCTTGAGCTCAGGAGTTCCAGACCAGCCTGGGCAACATGGCAAAACCCTGTCTCTACAAAAAGTACAAAAATTAGCCAGGTGTGGTGGCTCATGGCTGTAGTCCCAGCTACTCAGGAGGCTGAGGCTGGAGAATCACTTGAGCCCAGGAAGCAGAAGTTGCAGTGAGCCGAGATCACACCACTGTACTCCGTCCAGCCTGGGTGACAGAGTGAGAACCTGTCTCTTAAATACATACATACATACATACATAAACTTTTTGGTTTTCAGTTCTCTTTGTAAATAATCTATTTCTGTCTAAAATACAATTTAAAGTCATACTACTACAAGACTTCTAGCTCCAGAAATTTTACTCTGTACCAGGCATTGTGCAAAGTATTTGACATGCATTTTAACCCTTACAGTTTTCCTGTAAGGCTTAGATTCTGTTCTTTCCATCTCACAGATTGCTGCTGGTAATACTCATTGAATAGTTAGTGTGAGGCGCTGTTCTAATCACTGCTGTCTTGTTTTCTCTGAGGCTAACTTACCCAAGGGTGCCCCATAAGCTAGAGCCAGGATTGGGTGTGGGTGGTTGGCAGCAGCCCACGCTCCTCCCCCACGTGTGGTACAGAGGTGCAGCCTGAGCTTGTGGGGTCGCTCAACAGGGAGTGGGGAGCGGGATCCCAGCCCAGATCTGCCTGTGCTTCATCATGCTGCGCCGCCTCCTTCCTGTTCAAGTTGATGGCCTTCTTAGAAAGTTTTTAAAATAATATTTTCATCTTGGCTTAACAGTATTAGGAATTATCTGAAGAAAATTCTAGTTGAACCACTAAGAGTAAAACAAGCTATGCCTACAATTATTTTAGTCTCCATAGGCGCTCACAGTGAGCTAAATCAAAATGGGAAACCAAAATGGAAAGGGTGTTACCTAACTTTCCTAACAGAATAATCATTTATTTGGATTAGTTAAGACAGGGCTGAAAGTGAAGAGTCCCCAGCATACCTGGCAAGGGCGTTTAAATTAAAGTCAGGGATGGAAATGGCTGCTTTCTTCTTTTCTTTCAGACCTGTAAAGAGTGAGGGAAGGCTGCCAACAGGCTAAATTGAGCCGTACTACACACTTTTGTGGCAAGGCTGAGACACTTACAACACTCTTAGGTACTAAAACCAGATGTATTTTCATTACCAGAGACAAAAGAAATAGTGGTGAAGGAGTTCATTATACCACTTTTGACATATTGACCATTTTGAATTAAAGGCACCTGAAAAATAGCAGGTGTAAGATCTTTCTTTCTGTTTCTTAAAAGCAGATAAAATTCCCATGTGAAAGACACCCTCCCTATACCAAAAGGAATAACATCCTTAACCTCAAGGATGAGAAATTGATACCAAAAGATTTCTGCACAGTCCTTTTTAAAATAACTTATCTTTTAGACCTCCCCATGTAATTCGGTTGCTTCTTCGCAGCTTCCTATTTTTTGTCCAACTCAGTACATAAATAACTGACTCTAACTGCTTCTTTGGGTCTTTGATTCCTTATGAGGGCTCCCATGCCATGTGAACTTGTATTAAGTAAAGTTTATGGCCAGGGGTGGGGGCCCACACCTACAATCCCAGCACTTTGGGAGGCCGAGACGGGCAGATCACGAGGTCAAGAGATCGAGACCATCCTGGCCAACATGGTGAAACCTCGTCTCTACTAAAAATATAAAAATTAGCTGAGCATGGTGGCACACACCTGTAGTCCCAGCTACTCGGGAGGCTGAGGCAGGAGAATCACTTGAACTTGGGAGGTGGAGGTTGCAGTGAGCCAAGATCGCGCCACTGCATTCCAGCCTGGCAACAGAGAGAGACTCTGTCTCAAAATAAATAAAGTTAAAAAAAAAAGTTTATGTTTTTCTCCTGTTAATGTATCTTATGTCTAATTCTCGGGTCCTGCCACGACCCTAAGAAGATGGAGGTGTTTTGCTGCCCCTATAGAGGCAAAGACTGTTAATGTGTCAGACACAGTATAGCCATCTCAAGATACCTACACATGTCAAGTGGATAGCTGATTACACTGTTCTGAAAGTACAGTCACCATTCCACAGCTGACCTGATTTCCCATGGCACCACGGGAACAGTCATGTGGCATTTTTTCATTTTACCCAGCTAGGGATTACAGGCATGTGCCACCACACCCAGCTAATTTTTGTATGTTTAGTAGAGATGGGGTTTCACCATGTTGGCCAAGCTGGTCTCGAACTCCTGACCTCAGGTGATCCGCCCACCTTAGCCTCCCAAAGTGCTGGAATTACAACTTATTCTAATTCTGGATTTATAAAAGGGAGTTTTGCTCACATAATTCTAAAAACAAAAAAATCCATTTATTAACTCATTTAAAATAAAATAATTGGCCCATTTTGGGTGATAGTTATTCAGCAAAATATTTAACGTATAAAATTAGAGATGACCCTTCCCCTCTTCCCCCTTTAAGTATCTGCTTCAGGTAAACATCAACTTAATAATGTAAAACATTTCAAAAAACCATGTTTGTGTGTGTGTGCATAATACAGGCCTCCTAAAAGAAAAGATAAACAGTTGTGGAAAAGGGAATTTGTATGAAAATAACATTTGAGGTCTGTGAACCTTTGAACTCTTTGGTCTTGCTGCTCTTCTGTAAAATGGAAGTAACTCAACAGTGTATTTACAAAGTATAAGATATCGAAGTTGTGGAGAAGTGTATTACAATTCAATTAATTATTTAGGAGGTTTTTTTTTTTTAAGAGTTTCACTCTTGTTGCCCCGTCTGGAGTGCAATGCTACAATCTCAGCTCACTGCAACCTCGGGCTTCTGGGTTCAAGCAATCCTTATTTAGGAAGATTTTTAAAAATATTCCACATGAGCAGTTTTCTTGTCTAATTTAAATCCACTTTATTTCCAGACTTCAACAGCTCAAATTTGTAAGTGTATGTGTTCTGAAAGTCAACACCCTTATACTAAAAACCTTTATTTTCTTTTTTTCAGATAGAATGAGTCCATTTAAGTCCCAGGACGGTGGAAACTAGCTAGTAGATTGCAGCCATGTTGTGGAAGCTGCTGCTGAGATCCCAGTCCTGCAGGCTGTGTTCTTTCAGAAAGATGCGATCACCTCCAAAATACAGACCTTTCTTAGCATGCTTCACCTATACAACTGATAAACAGTCGAGCAAAGAAAATACAAGAACAGTGGAAAAGCTCTATAAATGTTCAGTTGACATTAGGAAAATTCGTAGATTAAAAGGATGGGTACTTTTAGAGGATGAAACCTATGTTGAAGAAATTGCGAATATTTTACAAGAACTAGGTGCCGATGAGACTGCTGTAGCCAGTATTTTGGAACGCTGCCCGGAAGCAATTGTCTGTAGTCCAACCGCTGTTAACACCCAGAGAAAACTCTGGCAGTTGGTCTGCAAAAATGAGGAAGAGTTAATCAAGTTAATAGAGCAGTTTCCAGAATCTTTCTTTACTATTAAAGACCAAGAGAACCAGAAGCTGAATGTTCAGTTCTTTCAAGAGTTGGGACTAAAAAATGTGGTCATTAGCAGACTTTTGACAGCTGCACCTAATGTTTTTCATAATCCTGTTGAGAAGAATAAGCAAATGGTAAGAATTCTCCAAGAGAGTTATCTAGATGTAGGTGGCTCTGAGGCCAACATGAAAGTTTGGCTACTAAAATTGTTAAGCCAAAACCCATTTATTTTGTTAAATTCTCCCACAGCTATAAAGGAAACACTAGAATTTCTCCAGGAGCAAGGTTTCACCAGCTTTGAAATTCTCCAGCTTCTATCCAAACTCAAAGGATTTCTTTTTCAACTTTGCCCAAGAAGTATACAGAATAGTATTTCCTTCTCTAAAAATGCTTTTAAATGCACAGATCATGACCTGAAGCAATTAGTTTTGAAATGTCCTGCCCTTTTATATTATTCTGTTCCAGTTTTAGAAGAGAGAATGCAAGGATTATTGAGAGAAGGAATTTCCATAGCTCAGATAAGAGAGACGCCAATGGTTCTTGAATTAACACCACAGATAGTACAGTACAGGATAAGGAAACTGAATTCCTCAGGCTACAGAATAAAGGATGGACATCTAGCAAATCTAAATGGATCAAAAAAAGAGTTTGAAGCTAATTTTGGCAAAATTCAGGCCAAAAAAGTAAGGCCATTATTTAACCCTGTGGCACCATTAAATGTTGAAGAATGACATACTGACTGTTGTTGCTTCTTTCTAGCAGTGCAGGGTGAAACTAACTAGCAAAGACAAAAATTCAGGCAGTTTGTAGACACCAGTAATTTTAAGAACCTGCTTAGCTTCTGTGTTGTATTTAAGTTATCTCTAAATAGATAAATTCTGACTCATGTGCCATATTATAAAATATAAATCATATTTATTTTAATAAGGTTGGTAACTTTTACCTTGAACCATTATTTCAAAAACTCATATACTATTAAATGGCATATCAGTGTGATACTTTATAAGTGAATCACTTCTAAGAAATGGACAAGTGCTTCCTTAATTCAAGGTATGGATACATTTATATTCATACACCACATTTCATGTTAGGAAGCAAATCCAGTCTTTCTCACTACTAGCCATGAAACATCACTCTACTGTGGTCTGAATTCTGTAGCTTAGTGTTATGTGAACTATTAGCAAACTTCTATACCTTTTTTTTTTTTTTTTGGAGAAAATTTCATCTTGTGTTTGGAATAAATTACTGTCTTTGAGAATCAAGTATTACTCATCCAAAAAGAAGAGTTGGAGCCTACTTGTGTGGTCAGTTTGCTTAGAATTGACCATTATTATAACTCTTATAAAACACCATGTGCATTCATTACTTTCCTCATTTTACACATGAGGAAACTGAAGCTGAGAGGCCACTCAGCTGCCAAATGGCAGAGTCTGGGTTTATTAACTGGGCTCTGACTTCTGTTTAAACCTTGTGAACTGGAAGGATTACTTATGAATTGGCATAAGAGAAGTCACCCCTACCTGACAGGCCAAAAGGAATAAGTACTAACAACAAATTCGGGGACATTTATGAAAACCTCTCTATAAAGTGTTCTAATTCAAAATTATCTAATTTATATACATTTGAAATAAATGGAGCTTTTTAGAAAACTTTCTGAAGATCCAGGTCTGCCTGTAAGGGAAAGTGGGTGATGGTTAGTACTAATTTTAGGGGTGGTGTTTCAAGTTTCCATTTCTGAACCTTGTTCCAAGATAAACATACCCAGATAAAGAACTGACTCACTTTCAGCTGTGAAGTCTGAACTTTGTAACAAATGCACAGCCAAACAATTGACTGACAACATCTGTGCACTATTTGTACATGGCTTAAGTATAATGAAAAAATTATGGAAAATGCAGGCAGTATCCTCACTCTTCACTCCTTCAGCAAATGCAAGTAACCCTTACTATCCAAATCTGTTCACTTCCTATAGGGAGCTCTGTATATAAGTGCTTTACGATTCTAAAGTACCATTGTTCACTCTTCTATGGATGAGGAGACTCAGGGTAAGTCACTTACCCAAGGTCATGCAGGAAGGTTTGTTCAAGAAGAATAGCAGCCAGTACAGTTGGAGCAGGGTTGAGTGATTGGGAGAGTGGCACAAGAGGAAAGAGGCAGCACAGGTCCATCTAAGGAGCAGAATCTCATTTGAAGTGTGATAGGAAACGCTTGGAGTTTTCAGTTTATGCTTCTTGTCCTGACAAAGTATCAGGGGCGCTCTTGCTCTTTCACTCTGAAGTGTCTCAGTTGGGAAGACATTATATGTGATATGGTTACCTTGGTAGTTAGATGTCAATTTTGAGATGCCTACTAGACATCCTAGCAGGGATGTCAAACAGGCAAATGGCTAAGTCTGGAGTTGAGTTTCAGTCAGAACTGAAAATACATATTTGGGGATCATCTGCATATCTATGATATTTAAAGCCATGGCTCTAGATTAGACTGCCTGGGGGAAAAAAAGTGCAGATTTGGAGTAGGGTGGTTGGCCAAGCCTGGAAAAAGACTGGTCAAAGCAAGAAGTTGGTCCCAGGAAGAAACAAGGACATGGCCAATAATAATGAAGCCACTGAGGGGGTCGACTAAGACACAGAGAAGTGACTAATGGGTTTAGCAAAAAGGAAATAATTGGCTCACACTATAGAGTGATTCTGGGCCAGGCACTGTGGCTCACGCCTGAAATCCCAACACTTTGGGAAGCCAAGCAGGAGAATCACTTGAGGCCAGGAGTTTGAGACCAGCCTGAGCAACATAGTGAGATCCTGTCTCTATAAAAATGTTTAAAAATTTTTTTTAAATCAGCCTGGTGTGGTGGCACACACCTCTAGTCCTAGCTACTTGGGAGGGTGAACGGGGAGGATGGCTTGGGCCCAGAAGATCAAGGCTGCAGTGAGCTATGTTCATACGACTGTGCTGCAGCCTGGGCGACAGCAAGACCATGTCTCGGGGGCGGGGGTGGCGGTGAGTCATTTTGAGGAGGGTGAAAGCGAACATACAATAAAAGGGCATATTAGAAAGTCTGACCATGTGTACTTTGTGGCCATTAATTTAAAAGGAGACTAGTCAATACGCAGCAAAATTTAAGTGCTCAGATCTAGCCACAGAGAACCAGAAGTAGTTACAGTTATAGAAATACAATTGTAGCTTACTCTAACTTGAAAAGATTACATTCTTAATCAATTATGCAGTATACTGACTTTATTTTCCCTTAGGGTCCATTCCATTGCTTTTGGCTCTTGAACCTCTGAAATTGTTCTGCTTTGCCTTTTTTTTCCATTCATACATTCTAACTCAGATCTTCCTATGAAACAGAATTTTAAAAATTCAAAATCAGTAACATAGCAGGGGGAGATACCCTTTCATAAAACACTAGAGTCAAATTCGGTTTCCTCTGTGAAAAAAGGCTCTTTAACAAAATTAGATTTTCTTCAATTTGTGTAAAATCACACTAAATTCATTGCTGTAGCAAAATGTGGTCACCAAAGTAAATATGGTCACGTGAAAGACTTCCGGTAAGCTGCAAGTCAGACAGCCTGGTCAATCAAGCATACAGGCTGCACTGAATGTCAACACTAGAATAAAGGCCTAGTTACTGAGTAGCCCCATTTCTGTTCCTGGACATAAACTGGAGAAGTTGTGACCTACACTAATTCAAAAGTGATATGGAAAATTCAACTAACATTGAAAGTTAGCCTGTTCTGTATTTGTAAGAGAGTAATGATACTTCCTTCATAAGGCCCTCATGCTGATTAAATGAGAAGTATGGCCAGTACCTGGCAGGTAAGCAGATGCCCAGTAAATATCAATTTTCTACACTCCTCCCCACCCCTTTTAGTCAGTCATTTCTTTCCAGTGAGATGTCTCAGTTGGTTCCACAGCTACTTGGAACAGACAGAAGTGCTCCCTGCTTTATAATCCATCAGTTTTCAAACTTTGTTTGAAAGTACTCTTGTTGTACTCAAGAATTACCCAGAGAGGTTGTTAAAATGCAGTCCTGGGCCCCACCTTGCAGAGATTTGGCAAGTTGGGGTAAAACCTAGAAATCTACACTCTTAATCTTTATTATTAGAGTTGCTTAAAATATATTTGTATTTCATGGTTGTGTCAGCATCAAAATACATATCCAAAGATATGTTTGTACATTACTATAAAAAAAATTTTAAACTGGCTACAGCACTTTCTGAACTGCAAAGTAACTAAAAATGGTAAGATCACCCTGTTTTAAAGTTTCCTTTATTTCTTTAGATCTTTATGAAACATTCCATCGTTTGCAGATCATAGTGCTTTATTAACAAATTCATGTGTTCTTTTCCCATCCCTTTAATACAAAAAAATTATTCATCAGTTATTTTCATCTGACATTTCACTAAGTACAGAATGCATAATGTCAACATTATTAGATCAGCCATTCAAGTGGGTCACATAAGTTTATCCTCATTGTGCCAAATACCCACTCAAAGGATAAGCTGAATAACAGATGCCTCCAGGTGTATACAACAACCTTAGTTTCTTGACTTGAACTAGTCCTGTTTAACAGGTCAAACTGCTAGTCTTTCTAAGTAAACTAAAAAAGACTCAAGTACACAGCTGTACATACATATCATCAGATGGTAAGTTCATTTCAACAAGAACCTCTATAACTAACTGTACATTTGTACAGTTTTCTGCTATCATTGCAAAAGCCCCTCTGAACAAACTTATAGTTTAGAATTTAAAACAATCCTGATGAGACAAAACGTACCAGGTGGCTTTTCTGTAGCAGAAATTAATTACAACCATTTTTCCTCAAGCAATTTTAAAGACAAACAAAGTTGAAAATAAATATGCAAGCATACAGTAAACAAAATGTCTATACTGAGAAATTCAGACACAAAGCACAGTGGAGTCTATAACTGTAGAAGTTAGAAATACAAACTAGCAATGAAGCAACAATCTCTTCCAAATAGCAGGAAACAAGTTCTCCAATACCATTATTTAGATAATTATTTAGTGATTTTGGAGTTTTTTTTTTAATCCCGTTTGCTGATTATGACATTTGACCAGAATCTCAAGAAATACCTTAAATCATACTGCATGAAATAAATGACCATTTAATTCCTGATTAGTTGAACTCCTTAATGACTTTTCAGTTTTGTATATAATAGAAAGGTTCAAGAACCTTTGTAGATTTGCTTACAATTGCTGCTGGTATTTATGAAAGCTTTTAAAAGTTATGTTATATTCTTCTGCATCTGTTGATTCCACATTAATGTAATTCTCAAGTATTTTATAAACAAGCCTTGGGTGTTAGAATGGTCTGTTTCAAATTTTCAGGCATGCTATTTCGACTTACTTACTGCAAGGTATCACCCCCCTTTCCTCCCCTCCACTATAAAAAAAAAAAAAAAAAAAGGTGGCAGAATGGAGACAAATTTCCAGATTTAAGTAAAAAGAAATTTAAGATTTTCCCAGGCTTGGATTACAATCCTTGGTGGACAGGAATGCCAAGTATATATGCCAATTGTTAAACGTTTTATGAAATTAAACATGAAACGAAAAGAAAATGAATTCCAGCTAAATCATATTAAGAAGGAACGAGACATGAGACATATTAATAAGATATGACACATTTATCATCCATAATCAAACAATTCAAATCCCTGACTGAAATTGGCTTGAAAAATGATACAAACTCTATGGCTGCTTTAAAGGACTGTAAGATAACATGTTTTTAAAGCCTATATAAACCACTGATGCACTTTTATATACTTTATATTCAAAACTAATCTATGGAGCTCATTCCATTCCATTTAAAATAGTAAGTCCTCACATATTTGTGGTTACTTTTACAGTGTTTTTAAAAAAGGAGTACTGCTAATAATTTAAGACATCCTAAAGACAGAATAGGTGTGAAGGCTTCTTTTTATATTTGGGGTGTTTTAGGTAATTTTTAAGAACTTAAAATTATTATTTGTTCCTCCTTAATATGAAACTCTTCCAAAATACCTTCTGACCAGTAAGTAAATGTTCCTTAGGCACTGTGAGGTGTATTAATGATGAAGCATGAACCCAGGCTGAGAAGTGTACAATTTGATTTTAACTACTGCCAAAACAGTTAACAAGCTCTGTCTTATCCACTGACAGCAGGAAATGTCTTTACCCCACTACTCCTGAGATTCTAAAAAGGGAAAACTAATTTCACAAACAACCTTTAAAAGAATCCATAGATGATTCTAAGAACAGCACATATTCAGGGTATTAGAAAAGATGTTTTCTTTTGTAAGGCATCAATGATTAAAATAATAGAACGCATATTTACTAACAAAAGATGGTTAACATTATCATAAAACCATTTATCTTTTTAAACTTCTCTAATTCCTGCTAATTTTGCCAGCTTAAATAAGAAATGAATGCCTCTTGGCCTAATCAACTATGGTTATAAAAAACTAAGACATCTGAAACTATTAGGCACATCAAAGGTACGGCTTATGTAATTCAAGGTTCCCTTCTTAAGGGGCAGGTGAGTTACCTGGCACATTATACATATGGAACTGTGAAGATCATCTACTAAATTCAACTTTCACATTTTTAGTCAAACTGAAAGACTTATAGTAAATATTCAAACATACCATATCTTCAGTTACAACCGAGTAAGTGTAACATTTTACCAGATAAAAACCTGGAACTTAAGTATGAGAAACCTTCATATACTGTGCTCGTATTGGTCTCTTCTTTTTAGATGAAAGCCAGTCATCAATACTTTCAACACAGCAGTTTAGAAGATAAACGTCCAAAACAGTTGACTTGGTTGTAGTCCATAATTTAGCAATTCAATGCCACTGGCATTACAGTGCTGTGGAGCGCAAGTGTATCTCTATATTTCAGTCAGATTTGTCTTTCTTCTTTCCTGTTAAGGGCACTTTGTTTACAACAGCAGACCCAACAGCTGTAACACCTCCAGCCACAGCAGAGACACCCCCTTTCACCAGCCCTATTCCCATGGAAGGCACAGTTGTAACAGCTGTTTTGGTCACTTCCAGACTCTTTCCACCAATCCAAGCCACACCACCAATGGTGGCACCAACAGCTCCCTTTGTAACACTGAAGATACCCCCAGTCACACGGGACAACATGCCTGGCTGCTGCTGTGGGTGATCTTTCATTGAACCTAATGAGAGAAAATATCATGAGACAATCAAATATAAGTCACAAGTCTTTAAAAGAGCAGTACACATCATTAAGTAACCTAAGACTTCCTCACAACAGGAGGTTGATTTGATAAGGCCAACCACACTGATTCAAAGACACTGAAGAGCTCTTCCTTCAGGGTATAGTTGTACATGTTTTTACAATATCTTGGTCCAATGCTAAGTCTTAGTATCTATGAGAAGAAATGCTTTAGAGACTAGACAACTTTTGTAAAACAGAATCCTATTTTAAATGTTTCCTTGGTTTACGGTTTTGTTAACAAATAACCTTTATTTTACATCCTAAAAGGAACATGAAAAAATAAAAAGATAACTACATTTGGCCTTCATTTCCTTGATAGGATTTAATCAGTCATTACCGAAACAATCTTCTTCGTAAAATGCAGTAGTTTTCAAGGTATGGTCTGGGACCACTACAGATGCCGAAGACCATTTCAGGGGGTCTACAAGGTAAAAACTATTTTCATAATATTATTAAAATATCATTTGTCTTTTCACTTTCTGTCATGAGTCTATAGCAGTTTTCCAGAAGCAGAATGATGTATAATACAACAGACTGAATGCAGAAGCAGCTGCAAGAATGTAGCTGTCTTGCATTAATCCAAACATTAAAGAGATTTGCTAAAATGTATAAACCAGTATCACCTTGCTCACAATTTCCACAATTTTTTTTGTTTTGAAAGAATTACTATTCATAAAAATATTTTAATTATGTTAATATGGGTTCTTTTAATGCATAAAATATTCAAATTTCTCAGTTTTTATTGCTAATATGGTAAATATTGACAAAGACACAGCTCTTTGGGGCCTCAATTTTTGACATTGTAAAGGCATCCTGAAACCAAAAAGTTTAAGAACCCCTATTAAGTAAATACATTTGGGTCTCTGCTCTATGTCTCCCTTACTGACGTATTTAAAGAGCTAATACTATGTAAAAGTAAAAAACTATTCATCATTTAAAATCGTGTTATCTACCTAAAAAATCATTTTTATTCAGACATAAGTAGGATAGAGAAACTATAGATATGGTTAACACTTAAAATTACTGCCTCAGTAATTCTTATGAAAGAGAGTGTGTGCTTTAAGTATCTAGTTTTTAAAAACTAGAGATATCCCCCATAAAAGGCAATAGCAATATGAAAAATTAAGCTCTAAGTCATGAGTTTATTTTCTTTGTTTTTTTTTTTTAAATAGAGCCACATATATTAGCATGTAAGCTCAAACTTAGGAATAAAATGACTAGCAGAAAGATTTCATAAAAATTTGCACTAGCTTAAAATGAACACAGTGAACACAGGTCTTTTCTCTTTAGTAATCTAATATTTTTTTTTTTTTTTTTGAGACAGAGTCTTGCTCTGTCACCCAGGCTGGAGTGCAGTGGCGTGATCTTGGCTCACTGCAAGCTCCGCCTCCTGGGTTCACGCCATTTTCCTGCCTCAGCCTCCTGAGTAGCTGGGATTACAGGTGCCCACCACCACACCCGGCTAATTTTTTGTATTTTTAGTAGAGACAGGGTTTCACCGTGTTAGTCAGGATGGTCTCAATCTCCTGACCTCGTGATCAACCCACCTCGGCCTCCCAAAGTGCTGGGATTACAGGCGTGAGCCACTGCGCCCGGCCTAGTAACCTAATAATTTAAGCAGCAACAACACATAAGCATTAGTGTTTTTCTAAACTTCATGGAAAAATATTTGGTACTTACACAATTCAAGCTTTACTTCTGAAAAAGAGGGGTAAATTACTGGGTACGTAAGTCCAACTAAGAGCACCAAAACTATTAGATTCTAGCAGAATCAAGTTCTCAGAGAAGGTATCATGGGGAAACTGACAATATTTGATGGAGAAAATAAAAAATTCTGAAAACTGAGCTTTCCAATGCACAAGGCACAAATTTACCTTGAGATAATTTTTCTTTTCATTGTCTGAAGATTTTACATTTTATCACAAGTGGGAAAATCTCACTGACTAGTCAAAATATCTTTGCAAAATAGTGCATAAATACAGATACAGCAATAGCTATAAACTTTAAAAACCAAATATTTTTATTAAAACTACTTAATAAGTATAGTTAATACAAATTTTTAATGACTGAAGTAAAAGACTTAATATATAGATGGGCATTTGAATATATTAGTTATAAAATTATGATGGAAAGGATTACATAATTGGTAATTCTGTAATCGAGGTCACTAGCCCTAAGAAAAAAGGCAAAATCCTGATTTGAGGCTACAACAGATAACTGCCTCATGCCAAATATCTCATTAGTAAAACTATCTTGCCATGCCAAATTTGGTACACATGCATTTAAAGAAGACAAATAATTGTTCTTAATCAAGTCAGATAAATAATTAATGCAGCTGATCTCTTTTATTACAGTATACTCTTAATTATCACCATATAAATTATCTGCTTTGCAGATTCCTCTTGTTTAGTGGTTGGCATAGAAAGACATTCTGCTTTGTTCTCTTCCTTGACAATCATGCCCCTGGATGGCCTTTATTTATCCCTTTTCTGATTTCTTTCTCACAAAGTCCTTGTTAACTTTCTCACTGAGCCCTAACTTTTCAAAACTCCATGGTTCCAGACCTAAAAATGTAAGGCATGGAAAAGACCTGAGTTAGTAATTTTCCAGGCTATTCCTCCACCAAACTAAACTAAACCTAATCAGCTAGTTCTTTTTTTTTTTTTTGAGACGGAGTCTCACTCTGTCGCCCAGGCTGAAGTTCAGTGGCACGATCTTAGCTCACTGCAATCTCCGATAGTTCTTTTGAATTCTTTATGGCTTAAGTGTAAACCCTTTGTTGCTATTTTCCTAGCAATTTCATTTTTGCCTACCAATAAAAGAAATATAGGAAGAAAATTTTAGACAATGGGTAACAGAACTAGGAAAAAATATATAATACCTAGAGTCACAACCTCCAGCCCTAGTAATCAACATGCAATTCTCCAAGGAGATCACTATTTGGATTAAGTTTAGTAACAGTCTATACCAAAAACATGCCTCTAGTCATTTTCTGTATGTACTCAGGACATTCAGGTGTGTTTCCAAGGGTTTCTGAAGAATTAAAATGATTCATGATAACACAATTTTCAAACTCAAAGAGAATTATGACTTAAAAAGACAAATGAAGCAGATCCCAAGATCATGTGTTAATAGAGGAGAGGTACCAATTACAATATAATGAATAATAGGAGTTTAACAACAGATCTCTAATGCCTCTTGCATTAGGCTGATTTTGTATGCAGGATATCAAAACTAAACACAGTCCATCCTTCCTCTGTATCCATCCTCACCCTTTACAAATGAAAGGATACTTATACTTCTAAAATGGTCTTAAAAGAAGAATGACAGCAAAATATTATGCCTTATATGGTAAAATTGTGTCCCTATTCACCACTATCTATGCTTTCTTATTAGAAGCTAAAAATGTTATCTTCAATTATTTTGGGGACATATTTACTGACAAGGTAAACAGGTTATATTTCTTTAATAAAAACAATCAGGGCTGGGAGTGGTGGCTCACGCCTATAATCCCAGCACTTTGGGAGGCCGAGGCAGGTGGATCAACTAAGGTCAGGAGTTCAAGACCACCCTGGCCAGCATGATGAAACCCCTGTCTCTACTAAAAATACAAAAAATTAGCCAGGTGTGGTGGCAGGTACCTGTAATCCCAGCTACTTGGGAGGCTGAGGCAGGAGAACTGCTTGAACCCAGGAAGCGGAGGTTGCAGTGGGCCAAGATCGTGCCATTGCACTCCAGCCTGGGTTGACAGAGTAAGACTCTGTCTCAAAAAAAAATAAAATAAAATAAGTAAAAAATAAAAACTATCAGAACTTTAATTCAGTATATTTTTCCATTCTTAGTGTTACAGATGCATACTTACCTTCTGGTGGTTCATCATTAAGGTATGATGGGATTTCTTGTTGATTTTTATCTGTCTGATTCATGATCTCCTAAAAAAAAAACATACAAACACATTTCATTTTAACCTCAACATGTGAGACTACCTCTTATCACATGCTAAATTGCGATTTCATCAACATTATTCAGATAAACAACATTTTGTACCCACTATACAACTAGTCTTCATCTTGTTTCTCTCCTACTTCAAACTGCGGCATTTAATAAATACTTTAAATTATACCAGTAGACAATATAAATCTTATGTGAAACACTCACCAAAGAGTGGCAGTCATAGTATAAGTTTTCCTATGTTGTTACTGTGGTGCTTCAACTACAACTGAAAATTACTCACTGAAAGAGAGCTGGAAGGTGGGGGTTAGCCGACAAAAATGTTGTTTCCTCCTACAGAATACTGGTTAATTTAATTGTAATTTATTTCACAATAGACTTAAAGAAAAAAGTATACCAGAACTAAAAAAGGTGTTCCCTAGACAGAATGGTTATTATTAAAAAGTCAAAATATAACAGATGCTGGCAAAGCTGCAGAAAAAAGAATGCTTATACACTGCTAATGGGAATGTTAATTAGTTCAGCCACTGTGGAAAACAGTTTGGAGATTTCTCAAAAGAACTCACAACTACCATTCAACCCAGCAATCCCATTTCTAGATATAACTCAAAGGAATATAAATCATTCTACCACACACGTGTTATGTTCATCACAGTACTATTCACAATAACAAAGACATGGAATCAACCTAGATGCCCATCAACAGTGGACTGGATAAAGAAAATGTGGTGCATATACATCATGGAACACTATGTAACCATAAAAAAGAATGAGATCATGTCCTTTGCAGCAACACAGGTGGAGCTGGGGGCCATGATCCTAAGTGAGCTAACACTGGAACAGAAAACCAAATACCGCATTTTCTCACTTATGAATGAGAGCTAAACACTGAGTATACATGGACACAAAGAAGGTAACAAGAGACACCAGGGCCTGCTTGTAGGTGGTGAGTGGAAAGAGAGTAAGGGTCAAAAAACTATCTATTGAGTACTATGCTTATTACCTGGGTGATGAAATCATCTGTACACCCAACCCCCACAACACACGATTTTACCCACGTAATGAATCTGCACATGTACTCCTGACCCTAAAATTTGAAAAAGTTAATAAATAAATACTAAGGTGTTCTATCTGAGAAAGTCCTTAAAAAAAAGACATCCCTCTCTTGTAATGATGACACCACCAATCTGAATCAGTAACAGATCAATTTTGATGACTTTTTGCTGTTCTTAAAGCTCTTATGAACAGAGGCAGTTAACAGAATTCAAAATTTACTATAAAATATATATATATGTATATATCAATACAGATGGAAAAAATCTCTGCCATCATGAAATGGATACTCCAATGGGGAAAGGCAATAAATAAATACAAAATAAATACAAAGAGAGGACTATATGTCAGTGGTATTTATATGCTATGGAGAAAAAGGGATGGATGAGAGGGTGTGATACTTTATTTTTGTGTGATTTTTTTTTTTTTTTTTGAGACAGAGTCTCACTCTGTCGCCCAGGCTGGAGTGCAGTGGTGCGATCTCAGCTCACTGCAACTCTGCCTCCCAGGTTCAAGTAATTCTTCTGCTTCAGCCTCCCGAGTAGCTGGGACTACAGTCGTGCATCACCATGCCTGGCTAATTTTTGTATTTTTAGTAGAGATGGGGTTTCACCATGTTGGCCAGGCTGGTCTTGAACTCCTGACCTCAGATGATCCGCCTACCTCGGCCTCCCAAAGTGCTGGGATTACAGGCATAAGCCACTGCGCCCGGCCAAGGATGGATGGGGAGAGGATATGATATTTTAGATAGGATAGTCTGTGAAGGCTTTACTGCGATGACACTCAAAGAAGGTAAGGATACAAGATATTTAGGTGAAGAGTCTTTGCGGAAGAAGAAATGGCAAGAGCAAAGGCCCTGATGTGGGAGCTTACCTGGATCAGCAAGAAGGAACAGCCAGTAAAGTGTGGCAGGGTCGCATCAAGGGCAGTAGGAGAGGAAGACAAAGAGTGAGGTCTGGATCAACATAGGCCCTTGAAGGTGATGATGGAGAGTGGCTTTTAACTGAGTGAGATGGGAAACTAGTAAAAGGCACTGGACAAAAGAGTAAGGTGATCTTTTAAAAGATCATTCTGGCTGCTGTAGGGAATACAAGCAATAGGTGAACAACAGCAGAGGCAGAAAGTCCCATTAGGAAACAACTTCAATAATCTAGGCCAAAAAATGTTGGTGGCTTGGATGAGGGTGGTAGAGGCAGAGGTTGCGAGAAATGGGAATTTTCAAAGGTGATTTTAACTTCATGGAATTCATCTTCTTATGACTTTAAAACGTAAATCCTACTTAAGATGACACTTCTCTGCACCCCTACTGAGTCCAGCAGCACATGTGTTTAATAAATAGCTTTCAATTGCTCTAGTGAAAATCCTGACTCAGGTCATTTATCAATGGCACCTAATCTTATCCTGGTTTGGTTTGAGAATTTAGCACATCATCCCAAACATAAGATTTAAAAAGTAATAGTAAAGCTAAGTAATCTCTCACAGAAAAACTAGTAAGAATTTCAGCTGATGCATTACTGGGAAAGGAGGTTCTTGATGGATGTGCCCTAATTTTAAAACTCCCCAACCACAAAGGTTCATTTATTACCATTCACATTTATGTTTTCTTTGATTTATCATCATGGTAAGATCATAACAAATTATACAGGATGGTGGTTAAGGCTTTGGGGTCAGAGTGCCTGAGTTTGAATCTCAGCTTGACCATAAACTGTATAGAAGAGGACAAATAACTTCATTAAATACTTGCTGTTTAGGATAGTTAAAATAAAAATCAAAGACAATTCTAGCCTTAACCCTAAGATGAGAATGCTATTTAACAAATTCCAAAATAAAACATGCAGAAATTCCTGGTAGAATATGTGTGTCCCTTCTGAGAAATGATGATTTTGAAGCCACTTACTTCCCTGCTGGACAATTAATTTCAAGAGGACAGACACCTTTGTCCAATTTGTTCATCATGGTAATCTCAGTACTATATATTAATACCATACACATAGACACAAATCCAGGAGATCACTTGGCTGGGCAATCAACAGAAGGTACCATACCCTATAGAGAAATATGGGAAATTACATATACCCATACATCTTACATATTTTAACTGGAGTTTAAAAATAGGTGTGATTATGACTGTAACCGCATATATTTCAAAACTGACTTTCTGGTGCCTACCCCATAAATCCCTACCAACAGTCTTACCTTTTATTTCTAATACAGTATCCCTTAAAAACAATTATTTTTCTATATCCTATCTTGTAATTAAGAAAAAGACAATTTTTAAAAATTAGTTCTGCTTTATGAGAGCATAAGATAGATGCAGTTTAATCTAAATAATATGAATTGACTTCATCCTTCTGTGGATAAGCATTAAGAACCCATGAGCAGAGTTATACTGTCATATCTGTGCCTTAAGACGCTAACTGAAGCAAGAAGAGATGGAAGGACAGAGAGATTAATACAGTAAGTGGCTACTTTAGTAGTCCAGTAAGATAGAATTTTCTGACAGTCTAAACTCTGCCAGATTTTCATGTCTAAATAAATGCTTTGGACAAAATGCCAGGGTCACCTTTGAATTCTGCTTTTTTTTACATTCCCATCTAATTATCGGTAAATTCTGTTGCCTAAATAAATCCAGAATATAACCACTTCTCATTACCTCTACTGTTACCACTTTAAGCCATCATAATCTCTTACTTGTACTACTGCAAAATCTCTGAATGGGTCTCCGAGCTTCCACCTTTGTTCTTCTTTCAGTCCAGTCGTGTCATACTCTGTTTAATATCCTCCAACTGCTTCCTATTTTGCTTAGAATAAAATTCAGAGTCCTTATACCTTTGCCTTTGAGGCCAAATACTTAACCGCCATCTCCACTATTCTACCTCTTGTTCATTCCAGTCTAGTAACACAGAGTTCCTTGTTTATCCTTTCCTCGAAGCCTTTTCCCCAGTATATGTACATGGCTCAGGTCCTTCTGCAAATGTCCCCTTATCAGAAGATGTCCCCTGACCACCTTATAATAGATGAGCACCCTCCACTCTTCTTATCATTTTCACCTAATCTGTTTACTTTGGGTCTCTCCCAATTAAAATGTAAGCTCCATGAGAACAAACGCTTGGTTTGTTCACTACTCTATCACCAGAGACTTAATCAATGATGCATGGTTGACACTCATATACTTGAATTTTTTGTCAGAAGTAGAATGTAACTTTGAGATGAAAGGGAGAATCTAATGTCATATTTCTAGTATAAGACAGAGATGATGAACACAGAGAATATCAGAAGAGAAACCTTTTGAGAGAAGATGAAGGACTTGTTTCTGAACAAGCTGTATTTGAAATGCCTTCAGGGCATCCACACTTGTTCAGCAGGCAATTGGATTTAAGGGGCCAGAAATTCAGCATAAAGTTGGAGTTAGAGTTGAGGTTCTAAGAGCGGTTTGAAGTGATAGCTGAAGCTCTGAGCAGTGGGTGATATGATCAAGGAAAAGAGTGATGAGAAGCCGACTGACAGCCTTAATTGGCCAGCTCATATTTAAGAGGTGAGCAAAAGAGAAGCCAGCAAAAACAAACAAAACACATCTGAAAATGAACAAATGAGTACAGCCTCATGGAACGCAAGAGAGGAATTTATAGGCTTCCAAAAGACATACATTATGCAGATGTGAAAATAATTTATGATCAAATACTACAGAAATATGCTAATGCTATATTTAGAGACTGTAAAAGGCATATATCATCATGCCCAATTTTTTAAAAAATGCATACAAAAAGACTGGAAGAAAGTATGCCGAAGTATTAATAAAGATTGCCAGGGGGCGGGGGGGGTTAGAAATACATAAGTTTTACATTTTACATACACATGCATGAAGTAGTATACATAGCATTTATATATTCACAGTATAATATAGTATTTGTATATAGTATTTTTATACCTACACATAGAAATATGCATAGTTAATTAACATCTATAAATTTTCTACCATAAAAATGTATTGCTTTTATAATTAAAGAAAAATACATATTTTCAAGTCTTGGAAATCAGTAATATTCATAAATATTTTTAAAGATTATGTAGTTCATCTAATCCTAATTATTCTAAGTTTTAGCCACAGATGAAGTTAATAATCTAAAAAACAACATACTTGAATCACATGATGCTTTAAGAAAATGGTATCACTGAGTTTTGTTCACAGTTATGTCTTGGGTAAGGAAATCCTGACAAACAGCCTTATGCAGGTTATTACTATATTAACTGTACAATACTGTTAAAGACATTACCCACTACAACACTTAATAGCTCTGATACGGAACTCCACATAAGAAATTTCTTCAGAGGTAACTATTTAGAAAATGTCTTGTTTCCCCCAAATATTTAGCCTGTTTTCTTAAAGATATAGGCATTTTTATATTTAAAAGATACAAAGGTATGATGTCTTCCTTCTCTTTGGCTTCCTGGAAGCTTAAAGCTAAAATCCCAGCTCAACTAGGTAGGCTCCTGTGGCCTGCACAGTTGTGTCCTATCTTCCTCCACACTTCCACACCTCCTCAAGATTGCTACTTGGATTGCTATTTCTCCCTGGTTTGCAATTTGAGTATCTTATTTACATATTTTTACCAATTTGTTGGTACATGTTTTTGTTGTAAGCTGCCAGATAGTATTTGTGGGATAAGTAGAATAAAAAGAAAATATTGTAATCCCAGCACTTTGGGAGGTTGAGGTTAGAGGACTGCTTGAGCTAAGGAAGTCAAGACCAGGAAAACATAATGAGACTCCGTCTCCACAAAAAAAAAAAAAAAAAAAAAAAAAAAAAAAAAAAATTGACTGGGCACGGTGGTGCACGCCTGTAGTCCCACATATTTGGAAGGATGAAGAGGAAGAACTGCTTAAGCCCAGGAGTTTAAAGCAGCTGCAGTGAGCCATGATCATGCCATTGCACTCCAGCCTCAGCCATAGAGCGAGACCCTGTCTCAAACGATAGGACAGGACAGGACAGGACAGGACAGGACGAAGAGAAGAGAGGAGAAAAGAAGCGAAGCGAAGAGAAGTATCCGCATATACTTTAAGCATCACAAGAAGAAATACCTACCAATATATGGCCCAAATTTGGGGTTTAAAAAAAAGAAAACTCTAAGCTAGAGACATGCTTTCCAAATGTACCTTTTTAAACATAGGCAGTGGTGTGCCTAGGACTTAAGAATACACAGGAGAGACATAATGCCTGCATTTAATCTAGAGTAATTTAAAATACTGTTTTATTTTTAAATTCACACACAGTAAAAAGTGAAATGAAAAGTGCTTTGAGCATTGTGTTTTTTTTAAAAGATAACTAGACTTTCAAGAGATTTCACTCTCGCCTGGGGCTGCTTCCGGGTATATTCTCAGACTTACCAGCTCTCCCTGCCAGTCCAACCACACTCCCACTCCCACGCCCACCATGAGTTCATTCTGGCCTAAAATTAGGAGTATTTCTGTAGAGGAGTGTGAAATGTAAAAAGCTAGATATTATTATATAGAAATATTCAATTGCATTTAAAATTTATTAGCAGTAGTTACCAATAGGATTATCAATAAACAAGAAAGCAGCAACTCTGGAGTCCTGCCATGCCAGGCATATCCTAGACTAGAGGAATTCACTATTTAGAAAGACTTGAAAGTCCTAAGTGCCACAAAGATTAGTTTCATTGGGACTAAAAAAAAAAAAAACAAGGGCCGGACATGGTGGCTCACACCTGTAATCCCACCACTTTGGGAGGCCAAGGCAGGTGGATCACCTGAGGTCAGGAGTTCGAGACCAGTCTGGCCAACATGGTGAAACCCCATCTCTACTAAAAATACAAAAATTAGCCGGGCATGGTGGCGCATGCCTGTAATCCTAGCTACTCAGGAGGCTGAGGCAGGAGAATTGCTTGAACCCAGGAGGCAGAGGTTGCAGTGAACCAAGATCTCACCACTGCACTCCAGCCTGGGTGACAGGGCAGAACTCCATCTCAAAAAAAAAAGATTAGTTTTGTTTTGATGTTTGGGCATCTTGTACATCACACCTTAATAGCCAGTATGTTGTATCAAAATTCCTCTAGAACTCTTAGAGTAATAAAAATTATTACTAATTTTTAATTAATTAAAAAGCCACAAGTATTTGAGATTTTTTTTCCTGAATTCCTAATTTGATCATAAGACACTGAGTTACCTTATAAAGGTATTTGCTAAAATCCTTAACTGTGTCATCTGTACTTTTCATTCACATAAACCATTCCAAAGTCCTGCACACAAATATGTGCCTAACTTTTAGTGATATTACCTCTTTATGGATATTGCCACTTCGTTACTAAAGAGAAATACTTCTTATATTACTATCCTGCTTATTATCACCATTGCAGGAGACCTGTTTCTCTTATAGTAGGAACTGTGAAGATAAATAGACCCCAATCTAAAACTCTGAAAGGTAAATAATCTACTAATAAAATTTTAGAGTATATATGTAGAGACAAGTATCAACTGACAGTAAAAATTTCAAAATGGGCCTGTAATCCCAGCACTTTGAAAGGCTGAGGCAGGCAGATGACCTGAGGTCAGGAGTTCCAGACCAGCCTGGCCAACATGCTGAAACCCCATCTCTACTAAAAATAGAAAAATCAGCAGGGTGTGGTGGCGGGTACCTGTAATCCCAGCTACCAGGGAGGCTGAGGCAGGAAAATCTCTTGAACCTGGGAGACGGATGTTGCAGTGAGTGGAGATCAAGCCACTGCACTCCAGCCTGGGCGACAGAGCAAGACTCCATATCAAAAAAGAAAAAATTCAAAATGACCATTTTTAAATGTTACCCTTAAGTAATACATTAAAATTATTAAATTCTATACAAACTATCTGCCCTGAACTCACTGAATCATTAATTCAACATATACTTGAGCCCTACTATGCGACAGGCACCCTGTTACACAATTAGGAGTTCAGTGTGATTAAGCACACACAGGCACTACTCTAAACCAGAGTTTACAATCCAGTGGGAATAGACTTTTCCGGCACTTGCCATTTAGTGAATCATTCAAGAAACAAATTATATATTCAAGAAACAAATATATCTGCTCTCTAGGACCTCATAATGCACAAGTTTCTATTAAAAACATACTTTCTGGCTGGGCATGTTGGCTCATGCCTGTAATCCCAGCACTTTGAAAGGTCGAGGCAGGAGGATCGCTTGAGCCCTGGGGTTTGAGAGCAGCCTGGGCAACACAGCAAGACCTCATCTCTACCAAAAAAACAAAACAACACATACTTTTCTAAGGAAAGTAGTAATGACAGACAATAGCTTTAGATAAGTACAAATGATTTAACTTATTCTACA
Organism: Homo sapiens; assembly: GCF_000001405.40. Lineage (NCBI taxonomy): Eukaryota > Metazoa > Chordata > Mammalia > Primates > Hominidae > Homo > Homo sapiens. Next base: position 106,958,699 of record NC_000012.12, on the reverse strand, counting down.
GACATAAATCAGTTCTACCTTTTGGTCCTGAAGTGTGAATAAACTATTACAATACCAACTAAACTGGTTATAAGTGGGTTTTTAAGAAATTGTGACATATGAAAGGCTTCTTTGTTGTAGACTGTATATCACGACTACAAATTCATCAGCAGTTACATTAAGCATTGTAGAGATGGGGAGAAATAATTCTTGCCCAGTACAATAGTATCACATAGATTTAGCAGCTGGCAAATACACTGAGCAAGGATTAACAACACAATTCCCTAAAGGGTAATTTATTCCAATAATAGAAATAAGTAAACAAACACCTCTTGGGAAACGTGTTTTCTTTGATGAATCAATCTTGTTTGTGGGTTTCAGTAATATTTCATATATAAAATTTTTATTCATAATAAAAAATTCCAAAAACAGTACATAAATTTTCCTCTGGGTACCACCCCTCTATACACCAAAGGAAGTTAAATAACACTAACACGTTATATAAAGCTTAACTACAAAATACAGTGCACAAGTTTATTGTCAAAGCCACTTAAAACCACCTGTTATTCAACAGTAGGTGCCAATTTCCCTATAATAGAAAAAGACGACTATAAATGAATTAGCTAAATTCTTCTACATATTCTACCTAAAAGAACTTTACCACATCCTCACTCCCATGTTTTAGCTTTTTTGCCAAATAACTGCAAAGAGATTCAAAAATATATGTATACAGAGCTTTACAACATATACACCAACAAGCAGAGTACATTAAAACTCCAGCTTACTGTTTTTATGTTTTTCTAGTTAAACCAACTATCAAGAAGAGTCTGCTTTTAAAGATGGCCCCTGCCCATTAAATCAACAGCAAATAGGCTACAAGAAATGCTCTCAATCTAGCAAGGAAGAAAAGGTCATCTGCCAGTAAAACTTGTAAGTGCCCACTTAGACGAGTAATAACTGACAGTGTCAAAATGGCAATTTTTAAGGGTTATCCTTAAATGAAACATTAAGCAGAATTACAATACTCTATTAAACCAGAGAACCAGTAAACCATCTTCACATTATTTCAACAGATATTTGCATTCCTACTATGTGTCAAACATTCTATTAGGCACTGAGGCATCCTTGTGAACAAGCATACAAAGGTCTTATTCTCAAGATGTTTATATATAATCCAGTGAGATATCTTCCGGAAATAGAAAAAGAGCAAATACCGAATAACTGAAACAAAGGTAAAGATTTTCCTGTAGTTAAAAAAAAAAAAATCAAACCCATGCACACACAAAGAAATCTGTATATTTGTCCAATGTAGCAACCGTTATAATTTCTAACGATGCTTTCTATAAATGGACAAATTTTTACTGAACTTGGTTTCTGGTACATCTGTTCTAACAAAGACTAAAGAAATGAAAGTGGAAAAAGCAAAACAGGATGCATATGGGTTTATCAAAGGCTACTTCTCCCTTTCTTTTTAAAAAGTTAAGCATGGGCGCGAGCGCGCACACACATACACACACACACACACACACACACACACACACACACACACACACACGGGCGCGCGCGTTTACCTGTTGGTGTTGTATCGATATTCCTGGGGAACCCCTGAGGGCACTCACACCAGCAGAAGTTTCAAAGGCTAAACAATAGCATACAGCAAATAATCACATATAGCAAATATTTTCATTTGGAATTAGCACAGTGTTCACAAGGACGCAAAAATCAAATTAAGAACCCTTCCCTTTTCTCTAGGTGTTTCTAAACCCTTCCGGGTGGCCCCTTCTCTCCCTACTGATCCCTTTAGGCACTAGCAAATCTTTTTTTTTTCTTTAGCAGTGAGTGACGTGGCAGGAGGCAGAAAATGACCCTGGAGGCGCCGTGGCTAGCACTGAGCTTGGCACCTCCTCCCTCCGCTCCACGTTGTACACCCAGCACTCCCCCCACTCCCGAAGGGCTCCAGAATTTCTATGTAAGAAGGGTTTAGGACAGGCGATCTGATTGGAAGTGGGAGCTGGGGGGTCGGTCTTGAAGCTGCGTGTGCAGAGCAGGCAGTTTTTATTTAGACTGGGAGGCAGTGACGGCACGGATGGGTGCTCCAGCCCTCCCTGTCACCCCTGGGCGCGGCCAGCACCCTCTCCATTCCCACTTTTACTTTAGGTTAGGCGTGGAGATACAGCCTTCCTACCCAGGAAGAGCTATGGGGGTGTCCACTGGGAAAAAGTCTTGTGTGCCTGAACCCAAAAGGGAGGTTTAGCAACAGGTCAGGAGTTGGCAGGGCGAGGAAGCCCGGTACCCAAGCCCCTCCGCTGCATCCCTCTCCCAGGCTGCTGATGCCCCTCACCTTCCTCCTCCGCCCCCAACCCCGAACCCCCAGATGCTAAGAAGTCAGGCGGAGGCTTTCCAGGGGTGCGCAAGCTCCAATCGCGGCGGGGCAGTCAGCGACGTATAAGGAGGAGTAGCCCCAGAAGCGAACCTCCATCCGCCCCCAACTTCGTCCCGCCCCTCCCCCTTTCCCGCTGGGGCCTCGCCAAGGCCCCGCTGGGCAGCCAGGCCGGGCACTGGGAGGTGAGGGGCAGGGGCGCCGACGGCAGAGGGCGACGGAGGAGGGCAGGAAGCCGGGACTGCGCCCCTGCCCTCGCATCCCGACTCACTCACCGCCGGGGTCGCGGCCAGCGCTAGGGCTGGGGCCGGGCGGAGTGAGCGGGCCGGCGCAGAGGAGAGCTGAGGCGGCCTGGGCGGCAGCGGCGGCCGGCACAACCCCGGGCAGTCGCGGCTCCAGAGGCGTCCTCTCAGGATGTGGAGCTGGAAGACTGTGGCGGCGGTGGTGGAGGCGGAGGCCTCTGGCTGCGGACGTGGCGCCCGACGCGACCCGCCCCCTCCGCCGCCTCCTCAGCTCCCGCCTCCTCCCGCGGCTCCAGTTCCGACGCGCACGCGCGCTCGTGCAGCCCGGGCCCCTCCCGCGCCCACCGGGCACACGCCCACCCGTTCTCGCAGGGTCCGGCCCTCCCAGCAGTCCCCAGCCGGCTGTGTCCCAATTGCGCACGCGCGACGCTCCGAGGCCCGCTCCCGCCCCTTCGCCCCCTGGACGCCTCCGTGGGAACCCCCGGCCGGCCTGCGCGCCCCTCCTCCGGGGGTCTCCCCGCCTTCTTCCCGCCACCATCCAATCAAATCGGGCGAGGGGCGCGAAGCCCGGGAGACGCGTAGGCCGCGGCCCCCAGGCCCGGTGTTTTGACGTCGGCGGTGCCCGCGTTCCGCGCCGAGTAACGGTCTTCGGAATTCAGAGCCTTCGCCTTAGGGAAGGTGGGACGGTCGCCAGTTTCTCCAGCACTTTCTTCGTCCAGGGACGTCAACCTCCCTTGCATGCTGTCCTCAGGGACTGACAGCGGGGCCTGCTCAGAAGTTCTCGTCGGGACTCTCTACAGGCCTTTGTGATTAAGTGCTAGGGGTGAGGAGAGACGTGGCTTATTTATGTGTTTTTCAGTTTGTTATGATTTTTTTTTTTTTAATTTTACTTCTCCCTGCCCTAGAATTGAGCTCCTTGAGAGTAAAAACCCGCCTGGGTCGCCATCACCCTAGGCTTGGTGCAGGGCCTGCCAGGCGCTCGAATTTGTTGAAGAGGTGGGTGTTCAGTATCGAAAGAGCCGCGGATTGTACATTAGAAAGCCTGGCTTTGCGCCGCGTCCTTGCCACTTGCTGACCAGGCCCCTCCACGTGGTCCCCGCCGGGGCAGCAGCTCTCCTCACCCGTCCAAAGGCACGGGGAGGCGCGTGGCGGCCCCGCCAGAGCTGAGCCCCCTGGGATGTGAGGCCGTCTCGCTCTGAGCTTCAGAGCAGGGTTGCAGGAGACACCTCAGAAGGTCGTTTTGAGGACGGGAGGAGATGAACTGCTCAAAGCCTGCTTAACTAGATAAATGGTATCGATTAACTTTTCTTTGACTCCCTTTCCACACCTATAAAATGAAGATGACGGGAAACTTGTCATACTTTTTTTGTGGTGGGTGGGAAAGGTCTTTATGAACTGTGAAGTCCTATGCAAACGTGAGATGTTTCCTTTCGCAATCTGATTAGCGAAGCAAAAACACGCGAGTCAAAAACATACACAGAAAGCAAAAAAAAAAAATTCACAAAATGGTTTATCAACTGCAGAATATTCAGGATGGTGGAACTGAATGGTAACTACTGACAACATAGCTCAGAAAGGACGTGCTAAAACATGCTGGATGAAGCTAACTTTGATCCAGGTCTTAAATGGAATGGACTATAGTTTATAGCTTCAACCTAATCATTAACTTATGAAATCAGAGAATTAAGGCCACTTAAGCCACTGTGCTCAGACTGTCAAGATATTTAGTTTCTCAAAGCAGAAAGAGGAAATTAAATACTCTTGTCAATTCAACATATGGGTTGGATGATTAGCAGGATCCGTGGATTGTTGTTTATCCAGTATGTGAAGAAACGGATATCCTCTGTTTTCTCGTTATTACACAAACTTCTATCCTTAATATGTGACCTTTCAAGGTTGAACTCTAGGTAAAATTATGAAGTGCACAATTACGTCTTGTTTCTTCTTCCCTTTGCACGTCGTTTTACAAGAGAATCTAATTATTATTAAAGTACAAATGACTGACAAGATTGTAGCCACTCCTGGGAGATTTTGCATTTTTACGGTTATTAAAAGCCATAACTCAAAGCAGCAGTTGAATCTGTTTCATAAACTAACTAAGATTTAAAAGAGCTCCTTTGGGAGGTCATGAGTTCATCAGAAACTTCTGGTGTAGGAGTTCAGCCTATAAAACAAACAAATACATGACTTGTAGTATTTCTTCGTTTTATAGTCTGAACTCCTCTAAGTTCTTGATTCCCATTCTGTGACCTCCCTTTCTTAGATTGTTAAAATAAAATACAGATGACTCACGCCTTTAATCCCAGCACCTCGGGAGGCTGAGTCGGGAAGATCACTTGAGCCTAGGAGTTTAAGACCAGCAAGGGCAACATGGGGAGATCCCATCTCTTAAAAAAATAATAATAATAATTGAGCATGGTGGCACCCTCCTGTAGTCCCAGCTATTTGGGATACTGAAGCAGGAGGATTGCTAGAGCCTGGGAGGTCAAAGCTGCACTGAGCCGTGGTCACACCACTGCATTCCAGCCTGGACAACAGAGTGAGACCCTGTTTCAAGAAAAATAAAATGAAACATTTATTTCTGGATGTTATTTTGAAAGATTTTGTCATGTCTTAATGAGCCCTGGCCACGTAATCACAGCATTTTGGGAGGCCAAGGTGGGAGGATTGCTTAAAGCCAGGAGTTTGAGACTAGCCGGGTCAATATAGTGAGACCCTGTTTCTACAAAAAATAAATAAATAAATAGCCAGGTGTGGTGGCACGCACCTGTAGTCCTAGCTACTTGGGAAGTTGAGGCAGGAAGGTCACTTGAGCCAGGATTTCAAGGCTGCAGTGAGCTATGATTGTGCCTCTGCTCTCCAGCCTGGGTGACAAAGTGAGACCCTCTCTCTTAAAATAACAATAATGATGAATTCTTAGTGCCTTCAGGCAATAAAATTCTTTTAACAAAATTCTTAATACACATATCAATTACCCAGCCTCTTAAGTGACTGAGTTTTCTTCTAGTTGGGTACACACACAGTCTTTTTGCCTTATTGAAAAACTTAGAAATTAGATGTGGCATTGCTTAACATGGTGGGGTGGTTCAAAGAGGACCAGAAAGAAGGCAGAAACCAGTAATGTTAAAGCAAGAAATTATTTCTAGGCTGATAGTACGCTGAAGTTTAAAAAGCTCCAGCCCAACCTTCTACCCAACATGTGAGTCTGTCTCCTGTTATGTGCACAATCATAGTTTTCATCATTATCAAACACTCTTCCCAGGGTTTCAGTATGGACTCATTTAAGTAAGAAGCCTACTTGTTGCAAGGTGCGCACGTTTTTCCTGTTTCACCATGTTTTCATGAGTGTAATGCATTATCCTTGCATTAAATTAACAGCTTTATAAAAGTTAGTTACCCCCCAGTGTAAATCATTATGCTTTCTATCCTCACTTTCTTCACTGCTCTTTGCCATTCCTGGCACAATCACCTGTGCTATTGGTTTTCCTTTGCCTGCACCAATATCCTTAATTTTTCCTATGATACGGCAGATTTATTTGACACAGCTCCTAACCTCGATCATCTGATTTCTCTCAATCCAATGAAGCAAGCACATTATATTCTAATATAGGAAATCCTATATTCATATGAGGAAACCGAGGCATAGAGAAGTTGGATAATTTACCCTGGGTCCCACAGGCTAGTGAAGAGCAGGCTTTAGAATCAAACCCAATTTTGTCTGACTCTAGAGCCCAAGTTCTTAATCACTATATTCCGAGAAAGAGAAAAGCAGTTTCTGACATGCAGTAGATGCTGGCACACTAGGCTTTGGTATTCTTGTTGAACAAAAATAATTTTAGAGAACATCAACATCAGACGAGGCCACTCCATGATCATGGTGGATCAGGACAAAAATAAGACTACTTCATAATCGTGTGTGAATGTAGACAAAAACACAAATGCTGTCCAACCCACCAAATGAAATACACAAAATGAAAATACCAAACTAGTCTACGTAGCTGTTGCCTCTTTGCCAATGACAGCTTAAGCCTCATTCCAGTCTTCCCTCTTTCTAGATAAGATTTATTAAGATACCCAATCATAGAATTACCCCCACTTCCTGACAATATCCTGTTTAGAGCATAGAGCAAAGTTCCACCACCTTAAACCCTCTATCAGATCACCTAACACAAACCCAATCTTACTAAAAGATTTTTTTGAACACCTTACCAGTATGCCACGTGGTTCCCCGTGATGTGTTCTTCCTTGCTGCAATGAGTAGTAAATTCGGCTTGTTCAACCACAGGTGTGTTCCTGGTGATCTTTGACTAGAAAGCATTGACAGTTCTTTCTGGACTATTCTATATCATGCATTTCTATGGAGTAGAAAGCATACTTATTAGGTATTTCTGCCAGTCAAAGGACTGGAAACTGCCCTTTCATCTCCAGCCATAGGATTGTCACACCAAAGCTAGAAGGTTCCCTTTCTTTTTGTGGATCATATATAGAGTGTCTGCTAAATTGAGCCTTATTAAAAGATAGTGAAAAGAAGCACATGTTGGAATAATTGGACATCATTTTTAAAACAAAAGCTTAACACCTATAAACTCATGCCTTTCACCATATGCAAAATAATTCAAAATGGATCATAGACCTAAATGTGAAAATATAAAACTTTTAGAAGAAAACATAGGAGAACATTTTTATGATCTTGAATTAGGCAGAGTTTTCTTAGGTACAACAAAAAACACAATCCATGAAAGAAAGAAATTTATAAAAACTTGCTGTTTGGATAACACTTGCTCTTTGGATGTCACTTAAGAAAACAAAAGAACAAGCAACAGACTGGGAGAAAATATTTGCAAAACATACCTTTTTTTTTTTTTTCTTTGAGACGGAGTCTCGCACTGTCACCCAGGCTGAAGTGCAGTGCACAATCTCGGCTCACTGCAAGCTCTGCCTCCTGGATTCACGCCATTCTCCTACCTTAGCCTCCCGAATAGCTGGGACTGCAGGCGCCTGCCACCATGCCCAGCTAATTTTCGTTTGTTTGTTTGTTTGTTTGTTTTTTAGTAGAGACGGGGTTTCACTATGTTAGCCAGGATGGTCTCCATCTCCCGACCTCATGATCCGCCTGCCTCAGCCTCCTAAAGTGCTGGGATTACAAGCGTGAGCCACCGCTCCCAGCCAAAACATACCTATTAAGTGACTGTATTCTGAATATGTGAAACAATCTTACAACTCAGAAGACAATCCAGTTTTAAAATGTGTGAATAATTGAACAATCACTTTACCAAAGGAGATACATGGATGGCAAATAAGCATATGAAAAGATGCGCAACCCCTCCCACCCCGAGGCAACCTCTCATCTGTTTTCTCTCCTTATGGTTTTGCCTTTTCCAGAATGTCATATAAATGGAATACAGTATGAAGCATTTTTAGTCTTGCATCTTTCACTTAGAATAATGGATTTGAGATGTATTTATGTTGTGTGTAGGAGTAGTTTGTTCCTTTTGTTGCTGTAGTCTATTTACTATAGTAGTCATTAGGGAAATGCAAATCAAAGCCACAGTGATCACTACTTGGTTGAAATAAAAATAATTTCAAAAGCTATTGATGATGGACAGAAACTAAAACTCTCAGATGTTGTTGGTGGGAATGCAGAGGGGTACATACACTTGGGAAATGGTTTGGGAGTTTCCTATAAAGTTATGCATACACTTGTGATATGACCTAGAAATCCTACTCCTAGATATTTACCCAAGAGAAATGAAAACATGTTCACACAAAAACCTGAACATATTTTATAATCATCTAAAACTAGAAACACCCTAAATGCCCTTTAATTTGTGAATGGATAAGCAAACCGTGGTACATATATACAATAGAATCTACTCAGCATATAAAAGGAACAAACTGCTCCTACACACAAATAAATCTCAAGTGCATTATTCTAAGTGAGAGATGCAAGATTAAAAAGTCTTCATACTGTATTCCATTTATATGACATTCTGGAAAAGGCAAAACCATAAAAAGAGAAAAGAGATCAGTGGTTGCCTGTGAGGTGAGAGGAGTTGACTATAAAGTGGAGCTTAAGAGAATTGGGGAGGGGTAATGGAACTGTTGGATATCTTGACTGTGATGTGTGTGGGTTACAGAATGTATGCATCTGCCAAAACTCATAGATTTGTACACTAAATAGAGCAGTTTTGCTGTGTGTAAATTATACCTTAATAATTTTGACTTGAAAAAGAAAGATGTTGGAATGGGAAAAAAGAGTTGTGATGAGGTAGAGCTACCTGACACCATGAATATGAAGACTGGCCCAAAGGTGAGCAGCCTCTTATACTCCTAATGGGCAGCACTTCACAGTAGTTTCAGTAATACAACCTGAGTTTAAAGATGTTCAATTTGTTCTTATGTTTTTGCCTAATTGCTTACCATACTTGACCACTGTTGGCTAGTTTCTTCTCTCAAGTGCCCTTACCTCTACAGTAACCAGTAGAGCAACTTCAGTACCCAGTTTGAGTCTGGTTTCTACCCTTGGTTCTATCCTTGATACAGTTTGGCTGTATCCCCACCCAAATCTCATCTTGAATTGTAGTTCCCATAATCTCTATGTGTTGTGGGAGGGACCTGGTGGGAGGTAATTGAATCATGGGGGCTGTTACCCCCATACTGTTCTTATGATAGTGAGTGAGTTCTCATGAGATCTGGTGGTTTTATAAAGGGACTTTTCCTCCTTTGCTCGGCACTTCTCCTTCCTGCCGCCATGTGAAGAGGGACATGTGCACATTAAGCATTTAAAGATCGTTAAAGGGTAATACAAATAAAGGCCAAATTGAGTAAAAAAAGAGGACTGAATGAGTGCAGAAAAGATAGATATGGATGTGGGCTGAAGAAAGCTTCTGCAGCAGGGAGAGGAGGGAAGTTATATTTTAATAAGAATTGAATACCTACTTTTTTAAGGACGTCAGCATGATACTTATAAATTATGAGAGCGGAATCATTACTATTTTCTACCTGCATCCAGTATAGATGTTAGGACTAGGGAGAGGACTAATGATAAGCTTCCATTTCACCTTGGAGCAAGGCACCCAAAGTGGTGGCAGAGCCCACACAGCATAATTTATGCCTTATCGATGGTAAAAAGTTAAATGGGGATTGGTGAAGATAGACAAGGTGGAGCTTTAAAAAGATAGAATAGAGCAGCCCAAAGCTGAACAATAGGGTCTTTATTGTCATCTGCAATAGCCAGGTTGAAAGAACATGTACATTTACCATGAGAAGGGAGATTTACCAAGTTGACATTTTCAACGTGACCCCAGAATGCAATATGGTTTGACTAGGATTTATGTGAATTACAGTAAGAGAGCCTCTCAACTTGGCCTGCTTTTGGAAACAATGGCCCACCCCATGGTTTAGGTAATGCTGTATGCATTCTGAGGGAGGTGGTCCGTCATTTACAGATGAAGAAAAGGCTGAGGGCATAAAAACATCTTAAGTCTTCTGCAACCAGGGTAGATGGAATTCTAACTTGAAACACTAATTTCAGTTTGCAAATGCAAATGAGTTCTAAGAGAGGGAGAAACTGTTTTAGGGGACCATTTGAAATCTGTCCTTCATATTCACATTGAATGTAAGGGAAATAGCCACCAATCCTCAGAGTGTGAAGGAGCCAACATTAATCTCTTCCTAGATCTAAAACTGCCAAATTAAAATTTGTATCAGTGACTACTTGACCCACTTTCCTTTCTTGCTTTCAGGGCACATCCTTACATGAGCCTAATCACTTATTTGCCAAGAGAATAATTAACGTTTTAGAGTCGCTGTGCTAGTTAATAGTGTAAGACAAAAATAAAATTCTTAGCCCCCTAACCATCTGAACAAACCCCTCCTCAGCCAAGGGCATTCCAAAGTTAACCTGAAAAACTAGTTCAGGCCAGGATGGGAAGTGGTTGTTGGACATGCCTCACACCTGACCAGCATTAACATCAACACAGAGATTTTCAGACTGACAGAAGAGACTCTTTAATAAGAAACATTTACAATCTATTACCTCTGAAGCCTGCTTCCTAGAGGCTTTATCTACATACTACAACCTGGTCTCCACAACTCCTTATCATAACCCAGACATTCCTTTCTATCAATACCAGGTCTTTAGACAATAATCAATTGCCAATCAGAAAATCTTTGAATCTGCCTATGACCTGGAAGTCCTCTCACCCCCCATACCTGCTTTCAGTTGTCCCGCCTTTGTGGCTGAAACAATGTACATCTTACATGTATTGATTGATGTCTTATGTCTCCCTGAAATGTATAAAACCAAGTTGTAGCCCAACCACTTTGGGCACATGTTCTCAGGATCTCCTGAGGGCTGTGTCATGGGCCATTGGTCACTCATTTGGCTCAGAATAAATCTCTTCAAATAATTTACAGAGTTTGGCTCTTTCACTTACAATAATTTGGCACCTAACATCAGGCCTCAGAGAAGACTCAGAGCCCTGAAGGAATTGGCTGAACTTGGAGCTAAGGTACCAGCAGGGGCCCAATGATAGTTCTCCCCAACTTTGAGCATTTCCTCCAGTGGAATTGTTAGGTCCTTCTGAGCACTGGACCTCCCATTTGGCTGATGGTCCTTGATTTATTCTTGAGTTTTTTTTTTTTTTCCTCCTAGAAAGTTATTTGGGATCCCTGTCTAGTTCGGAGGTGCATTCTAAAGGTGTTCTCCATTGCCTTTTTCTAAAGACAAGGAGAAGGACCCCTTTTTGGGCACCTCATTTGGTTTCCGGTTTGGAGGTGCATTCTAAGAAGTCTTCTCCGTTGCTTTTTCTTCCAAAATTAAGCTCAATTGGTTTGTCTGTGCATTTGTGTGAGGAACTGAACTGTTATTTTCATAGATAAATGAGACTGAGGTCCTCAGCTCTGAAGAAAAAGGGCATTTTGTTCCTCCCAGCTGAAAGGTGCTCCTGGGTGACTGGGGACGAAGTAAAAGTGTCTGGGGGTTGACTTCCTGAGACGTGCAATGGCCCTACAGGGAACCCCCAAGAAAATTAGTTTAGAAAGGCTCTTCCAGGAAACACATATAAGAGCTGATCACTTGGCATTTTGAGCCCTCTTGGAGGTAATAGAATTCCAGAGAGAGAAACAGACATCTAAGAGGGCAGAAACAATTCAGTGGTGGAACACTGTAGAGTCCTGCTCACAGTCAGCACACATCGAGCCACCACACACACAGAAAAACCCAAATGTCTTTCAAGTTTATGTGATACAAGTAAAATATTTAATAAATAAGCTGGCTTTCAAATTATTGGTAAAGTAATATTAGAAATGTCTTAAGAATTTTCAGCATTTTTTATATTTATTGATCAAGCAGTTCCATACTTATCCCTGCCAAATACTATAAGATGTCAACATATGGCATGAGGTTTATAAAACTATAAACCCAACCCAAAACAGAATGATCTTTGCTTGTGTAATTTTTTTTATTTTTTGAGATGGAATCTTGCACTGTCACCCAGGCTGGAGTGCAGTGGTGTGATCTCGGCTCACTGCAACCTGCACCTCCCAGGTTCAAGCGATTCACCTGCCTCAGCCTCCCAAGAAGCTGGGATTACAGGCTCCTGTCACCATGCCCAGCTAATTTTTTGTATTTTTAGTAGAGACGGAGTTTCACTATGTGGGCCATGCTGGTCTCGAATGCCTGACCTTGTGATCCACTCGCCTCAGCCGCCCAAAGTGCTGGGATTATAGGCATGAGCCACCGCACCCAGCCATGTAATATATATTTTTTTGAGGCGGAGTCTCAGTCACCCAGGCTGGAGTGCAGTGGCATGATCTCAGCTCACTGCAAGCTCCGCCTCCCAGGTTCATGCCATTCTCCTGCCTCAGCCTCCCGAGTAGCTGGGACTACAGGCGCCCACCACCACGCCCGGCTAATTTTTTGTATTTTTGGTAGAGACGGGGTTTCACCGTGTTAGTTAGGATGGTCTCAATCTCCTGACCTCGTGATCCGCCTGCCTCGGCCTCCCAAAGTGCTGGGATTACAGTAATTTTTTATAAAGATACTTATATTGTTGGTTTAATGAAAACAGCTAAATCCTGAGTTATTGGTAAAATACCAATATAGTTAGCCTTAAGTTTCTTACTCAGGTAAACACCTGAAATTCATAGGTTATAAACATGGTTAACAGGGAAATAACTTTAAATGATGAATATTGGTTTTCATAAATAATCTAGGTAAACTATTAAAAATAAATTAAACAAGTAAATGTAATGGAATAAATGCTTGTAAACAAATGTCATATAATTTCCAATCTAAAGTTGTATGAAATAATAGATATCCACTAAACATCTGGGTAATTTTCAATTTAAGATTCTAGGAAAACATTTCTTCTAAAAATGTGTTCTTATTAAAAGGTAAATAATTTTTGTCTAGTTTATATGTTAAAGGATATATGTAAAACAAGATAAAAGGAACCAGGAAATAAGAGACATAAAGAAAGTTACAGATATAAAGAGGTATTTTTGGTAAGAAAGATTAAAAGAAAAATGACTTTGTATGAGAGAGGATCTTGTATGTTAAATTTTTATCTTAAAATAAAATGACTGGTTGTTTAAGAAATAGGGATATTTAGGACAAGCCAGAAAGTCCAAGCATGTCATGAATGGTCTGTATAAGTTGTAATGAGGTTAGTAAAAAAGGAATTTATTTTTTAAAAAGTTATATAATTAAGTGGGCTGTAATTGAAAGGAAATTATAATAATCTTTCTAGGAATTGAACTTTGATATTAAAAATACACTAATACAAACGAAATAATTGGTTAAACAAGCTTTTATAAAAACTATTGACTTTTAAAGCAAGAAGTTTTTAATTTTTAAATTCTATAATCTGTTTCTTTTTGAAATTCTTCAGATATCTCAGAAGTGCAACTTCTGCTGTACCCTGCTGCTTCAGGTCTTTCTTCCTTTTGAGAAGCCTGGTATGGTAAATCTCTTCTTCAATTTTTGTTGGCTCCTGCAATTTTTTTAGTAAAGGGAGAGAATTTTTGAAAACAGACAGATAAGAAAATAGAGGATTTGCTTTTGTTTATATGTCTGTTATGTCTATATGTTTGAATGTGTAATGTGGAAGTGAAATTTCACTACCAAATTATATGGAAGAGCTCTAATCAATTGACTTAAAGAAAACCAAGTGTTTATCAGACTAATAGAAACTAGCTCAGATGCCTTTTAATTCACATGACTTTAGTAACATTTGGTAAGGTTAATTTCGTAAATTTACTCATAAAATTCTCTTCAGTAATTTAAAAATTTTAAACCATGTTATGTTAAAGTAAGCAATCCTTATTTTTTCACTGGGAATTTGGGTTACTAAGAGTTCAAATTATAGGAGAGTAAAATGTGTTACTCTTCACCAAAACCTTTTTTGGGGAAGTTTATAAAAACACAAGGATGTGGTGTTGGCTAAAGAAAATGTAATTTTTAACTGGGTGTGGTGGCAGGTGCCTGTAACCCCAGCTACTCAGGAGGCTGAGGCAGGAGAATTGCCTGAACCCAGGAGGCAGAGGTTGCAGTGAGCCGAGATCATGTAACAGAGTGAGACTCCATCTCAAAAAAAAAAAAAAAAAAAAAAAAAAAAAAAGGAAATGTAATTTTTTTTCTAATTTTGAGGCTATTTAGGGGACACATTAAAATAAAGAAGAAGTATATAAATAAAACTAAATGGATAGAGAGAAAAATAAAAGGCTGGTAAGGAAAAACCTTTGACTCCTTGGTGGTCGCGTGGTCACCCATGGTATGGAGCTGCAGCTGGGCTGCATTTAGTTACTAAAGGTAAAAGTTACCAGTGGAATTTAGAGATGGATGATACTCATACTCCCAGGAAGTTACTTCACTGAGTGCATAAGGAAATGCAAACTAATAAGAATAAAAACAAAATATCCAATCCCTTGGTTATTGCTATCTGTAATAGTTAAAATGAAATTAAAAGGCCAGGCATGGTGGCTCACACCTGTAATCCCAGCATTTGGGAGGCCAAAGCGGGTGGATCACCTGAGGTCAGGAGTTTGAGACGAGCCTGGCCAAGATGGCGAAAGCCTGTCTCTACTAAAAATACAAAAATTAGCCAGGCATGGTGGCAGGTGCCTGTAATCCCAGCTACTCGGGAGGCTGAGGCAGAAGAATTGCTTGAACCAGGGAGGCGGAGGTTACAGTGAGCCAAGATCGTGCCATTGCCCTCCAGCCTGGAAGACAAGAGCAAAGCTCTGTCTAAAAAAAAAAAAAAAAAAAAAAAAAAGACAGAAAAAGAAATTAAAGGAGAAGTCTGGGTTGAGCCTTGCTGCTAGACCAAGGTCTGATTTAAGTCAGTCTGAGCTTATGCCACCAGCCTCAAAGCTGCCCCCCAAAGGGCAAACTTATGCAGGGACAACAGAAAGTGCCTCTATGACTTGTGGTTACCAAGAAGATAGTCAATGTGGGGTAAGGCAAAACCAAGTAACTATTAAAACCAGAGCAGGCCGGGCGCGGTGGCTCACGCCTGTAATCCCAGCACTTTGGGAGGCCGAGGCGGGCGGATCACGAGGTCAGGAGATCGAGACCATCCTGGCTAACAAGGTGAAACCCCGTCTCTACTAAAAATACAAAAAATTAGCCGGGCGTGGTAGCGGGCGCCTGTAGTCCCAGCTACTCGGGAGGCTGAGGCAGGAGAATGGCGTGAACCCGGGAGGCGGAGCTTGCAGTGAGCCGAGATCACGCCACTGCACTCCAGCCTGGGCGACAGAGCGAGACTCCGTCTCAAAAAAAAAAAAAAAAAAAAAAAAAAAAACCAGAGCATATAACATAAAGGAATTGTTCCATTATTAATTGGTGTCATCAGCTTCCTCAAAACCTTGTAAGAGCAACTAATTTAAGGACAGCATCTTTAATTTTAAATGCCACATAATGAAAGAGCAAGTTTGGGTTGATACAGGACTCACAGCCCACTATTAAACACTCACTGATGAGTATATGTTATCCAGTTGCACAGGAGGTTATTCCTGAGGGTATATCCAGCCTGGTGAACCAGATAAAAGCCACTGTAAGGCTGATTACCCTGATAAGGGGACTGCCCAACTCTCCCTATTAAATGCTAAGTGGGACACCCCAGACAAAACAGCTGATAATGCTTCTTATGTGAGCCATGTGAGACTGGCTTTATGATGACCAGGATATTCTCCCACTTAATATGCCTATTACCCACATCGTGGTAAATGCTGTGGTTAAGAGGATCCCTTCTACATGGGCACTCTGGGTGACATTACTCTTGCAGAACCGAACAACTGTTTGAGGAGCCTTATCAAATTTGCTATCCTTCATGGGTCTTACAGATGCTTATAAAACATTAGGACATGTAACCAAAAATAAATGGGGAAGGCAAAAGGAAGTCAAAGGACTCATCCCAGAAGGGTGGAAATCTTTAGATGGTTATTAAGAAATGAAATGAAATGAAAATTGATGAGGTTAAAACAAAGGTCTTTACAACACTGTCAAAAGTTGGTTGGGTGGACCAAAGGGAGCCCCTGCTGGCCCCGCAACATTAAAAGGCCCCATACTAGTGTCCTACATTTCATACATTTCCTTAGGAGAAATCTAAGGAAAATTAAAAGGCAAAGGTTAAAATAAGAAAGCTGACATTGCCTAGGGCAATGTTGAGGCAAATTAAGATAAAGATTGATAAAAGAGGCTGAGTCCCTTGGCCCAGCTCGCTGTTGGGAACCCAAATTCTTTTTCACCAGAAAAGGCAAAATGGTCTAGGGGGTAGAGAAGTTCCTGGGATCAGAACATAAAAATGTAAAGGTTGACAGGATTATGAAATTTGAGATGTTTAAACAACTACCTTATGTAAGGTAGTTCTGAGTCCTTTACCTAAGTGTCTTATGAAAATGGGTATTGTGTCTGACTAGGGGATGTTTCCCCTATCTAGTACTGCAAAACTGAAGGCATGTAAATCTGTCCTTTGAGAAATGTTAACTGGACATGCTAAATGAGAACTAGTAAGATTCCCAGAATACAGGGTAGAAGTTGGAGTGCTGGTCAGGGCAAATCTTCCACTTGATAGCTCTTTGTGGCATGTTTATTGAGGCTTATGGCAAAAGCCGGTAAGCATTTCCCAATGACAACTACTGGGACTTTGGACTAGAGAGTTCCCACTTGAGAGACATGTGCTGCCTTGCTATGGGATGTTAGCTGAAACTATCCCTATGCTAATTGAAATAATGGTGCCCAAAAGAGTTCCATGATAAAATAAAAATTATTTATATAGGTTCTTGCTACCTGGGGATGCACGGAGGAGATACTTAGGAACAGGGAGCCTCTTTTTCCCTTAGGACTGACTCACTAGGTGAGGAGCTACTAGATTGTGCCGTGCCTGATGAACGTCTCTCATCTGACAAGAGCTGCTTCGGTTGTCAGTGGCACTTCCAAAATGAACAAATGACATCTTGTTTGGAAGACTGCTGCTCTGATTAGATAAGAGTCAAGGATATCTTTTGAGTTATTTATAGTTTAGAGCAATCGGGTAAAGTATGTTTTTGAGAGCATATTTTCCTTTCTGAGTTCTCCAAAATCCAGAAACTGTTCATGAGTATTTTGACTTTATGACAATATAGTTATTTGCAAAAATTCAGTAAAAAGCTTTATATTTTAAAACAGGACAATTGGAGACACTGGTTATTTTACCAAGGCTTTTACTAGAATAACACATTTTTAGGTAAAGTTCCAGAAAGCCAACTTGAAAAGAGCCTCTATGACCAGTCAATTCTTGCTGGACTTTATGTGAATAATCAGGCCAAATATAATAAGCCTGAAACTTATTTTGCACACAAATTGGTCTTACTATAGTTTCTCTTTAGCAGAAAAGGAGGGCTAGAGAAAGAAAGAAATTGTTTCAAGGGAAAACTATAACATCTGTTACTAGATTCCAGCCCTGACTTTTGTTTTTGAGTGCAGATTGACTCATGAATTATTTCTGGGCTTCAAAAATCCTCTAAAGAGTACCAGGTTATAATTTGCTTCATGTTTTAGTTGGTGCCCTGATGGAATATGTTCCTTTTTCTATTCTGACACACACATTATTTTTTTTATTGTCAAATTATTAATGTTATCTCTTATAGTTTTACTTCTTCTGGGAAAACTGGAATCATGATACTCTGAAAACTGAGATGATTTGACAAATCCTGCGAATCTCCCTCATTTGGAATCCCCCTGGGCCCAATCTGTTTTTCACTGTAAATACCCTGCTGCTAAAACTATATAAGCACCCTCCCTCTAGGCCCAGGGACTATCGTGGAAGAGGTGGGCACATTAGATTGTAAGGCCCAGTTTTGAGGGAAAGCATTATTTCAGATCCTCCCAATTAAGGAAGAGTACACAGACACCTAAATAGTTGGTAAAATAAGAGACTTTGCCTCCTGGGTTATTACATGTGTGGCACCTTTTTTATCCATCCCAGCCATAAAGAATTTCCTGCTTCCCATAGAATTAAAATAAAATTACTGAGAGAATATAAAAATACTTCATGACAAAGCCTCTTCAGTATAATACTCCCAGTTATGAGACTTATGTCAATAGATATATTTTTTTAAAAAAATTTATCGGCCACCTTAGGACAAATCACTAAAAGACCACAAAAAGCATGGCAGCACAACAAAAGTCTCCAAATTTCTTAGCTTAAAAGGTTTTAATAATGATTGTTTTGTATAATTCATTGCAATTCATCTGTAACTAAAACCAAGATCACAGTAGCTCAATACATAGAGGTTAAAGGTAGATAAGTCAATTTTGTAACCTCGCCTCTGGCTTTTCATTTGTTGGCTTTTATATTACCTTAAAAATTTTAAGGGTTAGTGAATGCCTGTTCACATTCATTCCCATCTGGCCTAGAACATTTAAATTGGCTGTAAGTCTTTTGACTCTTAAGTCCCTTGACCATAGGGGTCCCACCAAGGGACAGGAAAAGCCAGGGCAGCCAGCCATGCCACCTCAGCAATTGTTGTGGGACAAAATAAAAGTTTGGTGGCCATTGATGTTGCCTCTGGAAAATCTTAGCTAGAAGAGGGAGAATGTAAACCAAAAATAAAATTCTAAGCCCCCTAACCATATGAACAGACCCCTCCTCTTGGCCAAGGCCATTCCAAAGTTAACCTGAAAAACTAGTTCAGGCCATGATGGGAAGTGGATGGCCAGACGTGCGTCACAGCTGACCAGCATTAACATCAACACAGAGACCTTAAGACTGACAGAACAGACTCTCTAAGTCTGATAAGAAACATTTACAGGCCAGTAGCAGTGGCTCATGCCTGTAATCCCAGCATTTTAGAAGGCCAAGGTAGGCGGATCATGAGATCAGGAGTTCGAGACCAGCCTGGCCAACATGGTGAAACTCCTCTCTACTAAAAATAGAAAAATCAGCAGGGCATGGTGGCAGGCACCTGTAGTCCTAGCTACTTAGGAGGCTGAGGCAGGAGAATCGCTTGAATCCAGAAGGTGGAGGTTGCAGTGAGCCCAGATCGTGCCACTGCACTCCAGCCTGGGTGACAGTGCGAGACTGTCTCAAAAAAAAAAAGAAAAGGAAAAAAAAGAAACATTTACAATCTATTCTCTCTGAAGCCTGCTACCTGGAAGCTTCATCTACATGATAAAACCTTAGTCTCCACAACCCTTATCATAATCCAGACATTCCTTTCTATTGATTGCAGGTCTTTAGATAATAATCAATTGCCAGTCAGAAAATCTTTGAATCTGCCTATGACCTGGAAGTCCTCTCACCCCCTAATCCCCCCACTTCTAGTTGTCCCACCTTTGCAGACGAACCAATGTACATCTTACATGTGTTGATTGACATCTTATCTCTCCCTGAAATGTATAAAACCAAGTTGTAGCTCAGCCACCTTGGGCACATGTTTTCAAGACCTCCTGAGGGCAGTATCATGGGCCATTGGTCACTCACATTCGGCTCAGAATAAATCTCTTAAAATATTTTACAGAGTATGACTCCTTTTGTTGACAGTAGTCCCAAAATATACCACTAGTCCCATTGCTGGTTGCTTCTGAGAAGGGCAGATTATAGGAGTGACAGAATTTGAACAAGAATGTATCTGTCCGTGCCTTTATGCTTATGAAAGATGTCACCTCCAACTCCCTTGGCTTAGTTGGTCTCTGGTGGGTTGTCTTAACCATGTCCCTTCTCCTCCTCTCAAGATTTATGAAAGCTTGAGTAGATGAAACCTGAGTTTCAATGTGACACGACTGGACAATATGGTGTGGTGACTCATAGTCCAGGTGCTATAGCTAAATAGATTTTAATGAGGACTCTGCTACTTTGATCAAGTACCTTAACTTGACTGGGCCTTTTTCCCCCCAAAAAATGTAGACTAATAGTCCCCATCTGCTAAAATTGTGTTTATTGAGTAACATAATGTATTATCCTGTTCATTCGCAGAGTGAGTACTCAATACATGGTAGCTGATAGCTGTTTGTATTGTGATAGACAATTGAAGGTATATCTGCCTTTAGGCTTTTTAGCCTGGAAATTGATTGGATTGGCTGGGGTTGTTAGAACCTCATGGAGGTGAAGGAACATGAAAGTCTTTGATCAAATTGTTGCTCCATGTAGCAGAATCTAAATTTTGCACACTATACCCAAATGTATAAAACATACAGCACTCTTTATTTTCTGTAACTTGTCTTGATGCTCCCATTCCTGCTGATGGCAGGGAAAAGTCGTAAATTTTCCAATTATTAAGCATAACTCAATAACCTTCCACTATAAGGAGTTGGATTTTTTTGTTTGTTTTTTGTTTTGAGACAGTCTCACTCTGTCACCCAGGCTGGAGTGCAGTGGTGTGATCTCGGCTCACTGCAACCTCCACCTCCTGGGCTCAAGTAATTCTTCTGCCTCAGCCCCCCAAGTAGCTTGGATTACAGGCACCCACCACCATGCCCAGTGAATTTTTGTGTTTTTAGTAGAGACAGGGTTTCACCATGTTGGCCAGGCTGGTCTCAAACTCCTGACCTCAGGCAATCTGCCCACCTCAGCCCCCCAAAGTGCTGGGATTACAGACGTGAGCAACCCCACCTGGCCAAAAGGAGTCTTTTTAGGGTCAACTTAGCCTCTTCATAAATATTCCCATTACTCATCAAACTTTCAGTGAATTCATTGACTTATTTAAGTCAATATGGACCCACAGATTTCTGTTTCATTCAATGGGTTATAATTCATTACTGTCATTATTTTGATGCTCAAGTTGCCCCAGATTTGGCTAGTGAGAGCCTTATTCAAGTTGACTTCTGTGTCCTTTTGACATATCCCCATAATTCTGAGCAGTTTCTAACTTTCTAACACCAGGCGTTCCGGTTTTGTTTTGCGTTTTCCCTGCCCCAGCCTTGAATCATCCATTTCATCAAGGAAAGTTCTGAGGAAAAGTCCTTTTAGTGGAGAATGGTATCTAGAAACCAAGGTTTGATGCTGCATAGGCTCATTGCTATAAATTATACACACACACACACACACACACACACACACACACACACACACACACCATATTTCTACATGTCTGTATGTTGACAACCATGAATTCACACCAGAATCTCTAATTTCAAATTAATAACACAGGGTTCATTTTTGCTTTCTCCCTTTCCATATTTGTCTGCCCCTTCTCTGACAGACACCTGGTTCCCATTATCTTTAATGTAAAGTGTTAACTTATTTGATTAATCCCACTCTGTGTAATCAATCTCATCACTACTGCAGCTCCTTCTTCCACATGGGTACCCTCCTTGGGCTTTGGTACTGCAGGAGGAGGCCACTCTCCTGCACTGACTTCCTCTTCATTCCATTTGGGCTCTGAAATTCCATACCACCCTCGCCCCACATGGATATCCTCCTCCAACTCTGTCTTTCTACCCTGCCGTGGAAGCCCACCTGGCCAGTTTTTTTAATGGCCTTGGATTGAATTGCCCACAAAGAGAAGAAAAGGGGAAACAGTAGAGAGAAGGGGAAGAGGAAGAAGAGGGAACATATTTTTTTAAGCTATGAAAATATTTAAAAAAATTTTTTAGGCCAGGCGCGGTGGTTCACACCTGTAATCCCAGCACTTAGGGAGGCCAAGGCAGGTGGATCACAAGGTCAAGAGATCGAGACCATCCTGGCCGACATGGTGAAACCCCGTCTCTACTAAAAATACAAAAATTTGCTGAGTGTGGTGGCGCCCTGCTGAGGCACAAGAATCGCTTGAACCCAGGAGGTAGAGGTTGCAGTGAGCCGAGATCACACCACTGCACTCCAGCCTGGGCGGCAAAGTGAGACTGTCTCAAAAAAAAAAAAAAAAAAAAAAAAATCAAGTATTGGCTTGGCACAGTAGCTTGTGCCTGTAATGCCAGCACTTTGGGAGGCCAAGGTGGGAGGATCGCTTAAGGCCAGGAGTTTGAGACCAACCTTGATGGTCACTTTTTGTAGAGACCATCTCTTAAAAAAAAATTCTAAAAATTAGCCAGGCATGGTAGCGCATACCTGTAGTCCCAGCCACTCAGGGGACTGAGACTGGAGAATCACTTGAGCCCAGGAGTTAAAGGGATGCGGTGGGCTATGATTGTGCCACTGTACTCCAGCTTGGGCAACAGAGCGAGACCCTGTCTCAAAAAAATCAAGTATCAAATACATATTCTATTCACAATTATAATTACTTATTAAAGCAACATTTATCTTTGTATACAAATACAATATCAGGTGAGAAAACCTAACATCTCAGATTGCTTACTGTTCATAATGCAAACAAAATATATGTCTCAAGTCAGATTTTTAGGAGATTAACTTAAAATGAATAGGCAATTACATACATTAAATTTGTCATTAAAATGTTAATTAAAATCACAATTTCAATTATTTTTCACTGAAATAATTTTTTTTTTTTGAGACAGAGTGCTGCTCTGTCACCCAGGCTGACTGCAGTGGTGCAATCTCAGCCCACTGCAACCTCCGCCTCCCGGGTTCAAGTGATTCTCATGCCTCAGCCTTTTGAGTAGCTGGGACTAGAGGTGTATGCCACCATGCCTGGCTAATTTTTATATTTTTAGTAGAGATGGGGTTTCACCATGTTTGCCAGGCTGGTCTCGAACTCCTGACCTCAGGTGATCCACCTGCCTTGGCCTTCCAAAGTGCAGGGATTACAGGTGTGAGCCACCATGCCTGGCCTCACTGAAACAATTTAAGTGTACAAAGTAATGATATGTTTTCCTCTCACTTTTTTGATAGATGAAGGCACTATCACTGCTTGTCACTGAAGAGCACATACTGATTTGTTGCCATTAAGTAAACTTGACTGTTACATTAGATAATGTATCTAAAGGCAGAGTTGGCAACTTATTCCAATGTAGGACAACCATGATTTACATGTGTATTGACCTGGATTTTTATTTTAATGTTAGCTTCCATAAATAATAGGTTTTAGAGCTGTGTGACCCACTTAGCTAAAAATAAGACAAATTAGGTAGAACTTAAAAAAAGGAAAAGCTTTACTAATCAATGCTCAAGAATTAAAATGAGGGGGAGGATGGAAGGGGGGTAAGGAATGAAAATTTACCTACTGGGTACAATGTACACTGTTTGGGTGACTGGTATACTAAAAGTCCAGATTTCACCACTATAGAGTTCATCCATGTAACCAAAAACTACCGATACCCCTAAAGCTATTGAGATTTAAAAATAAATTTTTAAATAATTAAAATGAACACTGGCTAATGAGCTGAACACCAGACAGTTTTTACTGACAGTTTTTAAATGTATACTCCAAAATATAACCTCAAGAGGACCATGTTTGTTTATCCTATAAACAGAGAAATCATTTGTTTAAAGTATGGCACATGATTGTTTTCAAAAGTATGTTTATTTAGGGAAATGGTTATTATAGAAAAATAATTTGCCAATAAAGTTGTAGATTCTAATAATCTACATCATTTTAGATTTTTAAGTATGTGGTTTCATAAATTATATCAAAGAACTATTCAATATAATTAAAATATTCACCATAACTTTCCATAAAAAGCAAACAAAAATCATATTTGCATTTTTATCTGAATGTTCTAAATATATATCCAAGTTCAAGAGGCACATAGCTACTCTGAGAGGTGCAAGAATTGTTTTCATAAATGCCTTCTAAGAATACTAAAACCAGCATTTTAATATATGCATTCATGGGTACACACACACACACACACGCGCACACACTATACACAGGCATACCTTTTAAGATATCGCAGGTTCAGTTCCAGATCACCACAATAAAGCAAGTATCATAATAAAGCAAATCACACATTTTTTTGTTTTCCTGTCCATATAAAAGTTATGTTTATATACCGTACTATATAGTCTGTTATGTGCAATAGCATTATGTCTAAAAAACACAATGTACATACCTCAATTTAAAAATACTGCCAAAAAATGCTAACAATCACGTGAGGCTTCAGCAAGTCACAATATTTTGCTGGTGGAGTGTCAGGCCTCCATGTTGATGGCTACTGACTGACCAGGGTGGTGGTTGGTGAAGGTTGGGTGGCTATGGCTATTTCTTTTCTTTTTCTCTTTCTTTTTTTCTTTCTTTCTTTTTTTCTTTTTTTTCCTTCTTTCCTTCCTTCCTTCCTTCTTTCTTTTTCTTTCTTTTTTTTTTTTTCAGGGTCTCTCTCTGTTGCCCAGGCTTGAGTGCAGTGGCACAGTCATGGCTCACTGAAGCCTCAACCTTTCGGGCTCAAGCGATCCTCCTACTTCAGTGTTCCTGAGTAGCTGGGACTACAGGTGTGTGCTACCATGCCCAGTATTTTTTTTTTTTTTTTTTGCAATTTCTCAAAATGAGACAATAATGAAGTTTGCCACATCAGTTGACTCTTTCACAGAAGATTTCTCTGTAGTATGCAATGCTGTTTAATAGCGGCTTACCCACAGTATAACTTTCAAAATGGGAGTCAATCCTATCAAACCCTGCTGTTACTTTATCAACTAAGTTTATGTAATATTCTAAATTTTTTGTTGTCATTTCAGTAATGTTCATAGCATCTTCACCAGAGACAGACTTCATCTCAAGAAACCACTTTCTTTGCTCATCGATAAAAAGTATCTCCTCATCTGCTCAAGTTTTATAATGAGATTGCAGCAATTTGGTCATATTTTCAGTATCCACTTTTTATTCTAGTTATCTTGCCATTTCTACCACATCTGCAGTTACTTCCCCCACTGAAGTTTTGAACTCGAAGTCATCCATGAGAGTTGGAATCAACTCCTTCCTAATACCACTTATTGTTGATATTTTCACCTCCTCCCTTGACTCACAAATATTTTTAATGGCATCTAAATGTATAGATCCTTGCCAGAGGTTTTCCATTTACTTTGATCAGATCCATTGGAGAAATCACTGTCTATGGTAGCAATAGCCTTACAAAACATAATTCTTAAATAGTAAGACTTGAAAGTCAGAATTACTCCTTGATCCATGGACTACAAAATGGATGTTATGTTAGCAGGCATGAAAATATTAATCTCCTTGTGCTTTTCCATTAGAGCTCTTGGGTGACCAGGTGCATTATCAATGAGCAATAATATTTTGAAAGGAATCTTTTCTTCTGAGTAGTAGGTCCCAATGGAGGGCTTAAAATATTCAGTTAACCATGTTGTAAACACATGTGCAGTCATTCAGGCTTTGTTGTTTCATGTATAGAACACAAGCAGAGTAGATTTAGCATAATTCTTAGGGGCCCTGGGATTTTCAGAATGGTCAATGAGTATTGGCTTCAACTTAAAGTCATCAGCTACCTTAGCCCCTTACAAGAGAGTCAGCCTGTCCTTTGAAGCTTTGAAGCCAGGCATTGACTTCTCCTCTCTAGCTATGAAAGGCCTAGATGGTGTATTCTTCCAATAGAGTGCTGTTTGGTCTACAATCTTTTGTTTAGTGTAGCCACCTTCATTCATGATCTTAGCTGGATAACTTGCTGCAGCTTCTCCACCCAGCACTTGATGTTTCACCTTGTATTTTTATGTTATGAAGATGGCTTCTTTGCTTAAACCTCATGAACCAACTTCTGCTAGCTTCCAGCTTTTCTTCTGCAGCTTCCTCACTTCTCTCAGCCTTCATAGAATTGGAAGGGAGTTAGGGCCTTGCTGTGGATTAGGCTTTAGCTTAAGGAAATGTTGTATCTGGCTTTCTTCTATCCAGACCACTTAAACTCTCTCCATATCAACAATAAGGCTATTTCACTTTCTTATCATTTATGTATTCACTGGAGTATCACTTTTAATTTCCTTCAAGAGTTTTCTTTTGCACTCACACCTTTGCTAATTGTTTGGCACAAGAGGCCTAGCTTTTGCCCTGTCTCAGCTTTTGCCATGCCTTTCTCATTATGCTTCATCATTTCTAGCTTTTGATTAAAAGTGAGAGACTTGCAACTATTCCTTTCTCTTGAACACGTAGAGGCCATCATAAGGTTATTAATTGGTTTATTTGGCCTATTAATTGGCCTACTATATACAAATGTAGTATATAAGTATATACATATGTTACATATATATACTACATATACTGTGTATATACGCATCCAGTATATATACAGGCATAACTCATTTTATTGCACTTTATTGCAATTCACAGATACTGCCTTTTTTTTTTAACAAATGAAAGGTTTGCCTGTGAAATGAAAAGACAGCCTATAGTATATACACTATATATATATATATATATATATATATATATATATATATATATATATATACAGTGTGTGTGCTTTCAAAAGCAAAATGCTATCCCTTTATCCATTTTTAACTTAATGGTAAGAATGGGTAAGAATGAGGCTACCAGGCAGAAGGTCCCAAAGGAACTTGAAAAGAATTACGATGAATAGGATAGAGACTTGTGTGGGATATAGTCTGTGGTACTGGTGGTCTACATAGGACAGAGCCCCACTGGGAAAGATGACACTGCCCTGGTGCCGGGGAGGAGGATGAGTAAGATATGGCTCTAGATGTACATGTGGCATGTTTAGAGTAGGATGCTGCCTTCTCATTTCTGGTGCCCATGGTTCGGAAACGTGGATTTTCATGGACCTAAAATACCAGTTGCAGCACGACTTGTGAGACCTGTGAAAGCACCATATGGTCTGGGAAGCTCTAGAAAGGGCATTTTTGGCATAGGATATGGCCTGTGGGGTCCAGGTGCATCACAGTTGAAGTTGGGTAAGGACCATTAGTTGGGGAGCAGGATGGTCCAGAAAGAGGAAGAGTTCTTGGGTTCCCAGAGGCAGTCCAGTGGGAGGCACAGAGGGATGCAATCCTGTTAGCAAAGGTCCGAAAGGTACAATGAAGAGTGTTGCACTTGGCGGGAGTCCAGATGGCATAGAAGGCACAGCACATGGGTTCTTCCAAGGTTTGGAATCTGGCCGGCCTTAAGGAGGTTGACTAGATTTCTATTAATCACAGCAGGACCTGGTCAGGGAAGTGTTCAGGTAGAGCATTTGCCATAGAAAATTCATCAGACATTTTCCTGGCAAGATCCTAGTCTTCAGTAGAAGTGGCAAAGGGTTTGAGACAACTGGGTGCTGAAGAATCAAAAGCAGCCTGACAGCACTAATACCAACAGCACATGGCGCCTCCTCCATCCAACTTTTTTCTGAGACAGAGTCTCACTCTATTGCCCAGGCTGGAGTGCAGTGGTGCAGTCATAGCTTACTGCAGCCTTGAACTCCTGGGCTCAAGCAATCCTCCTGCCTCAGCCTCCAAGTAGCTAGGACTACAACTCTGCATCACCATGCCTGGCTAATTTTTTTTTTTTTTTAAAGAGATGAGGGTCTTGCTATGTTGCCCATGTTGGTCTTGAACTTCTAGGATCAAGCAATCCTCCCACCTCAGCCTCCCAAAGTGCTAGAATTACAGGTGTGAGCCACCATGCCCAGCCAACTTTTGTTTTTTAATAACAGCTTTATGGAGATATAATTGACATACCAAAAGATCTATCCATTGAAAGTGTACAGTTCAGTGCTTTTTAGTATACTGTATTTACAGAGTTGTGCAAACATCACCACTATCTAATTTTAGAACATTTCTTCTCAACAAAAAGAAATCTATGCCCCTAAACAGTCACTCTGCATCCTCACTTGTATTTGTTATTTTTTGTGTTTTTGATAATACCCGTCCTAACTGGGGTGAGATGATACCTCATTGTGGTTTTGATTTGCATTTCTCTGATGATTAGTGATGTTGAGTATGTTTTCATACATTTGTTGACCATTTGTGTATCTTCTTTTGAGAAATGTTTATTCAGATCATTTGCCTATTTTAAAATCAGATTGTTTATTTTTTGCTGTTGAAATGTTTGAACTCCTTGTCTATTCTGGCTATTAACCCCTGTCATATGAATAATTTGCAAATATTTTCTCCCATTCTGTAGGTTGTTTTTTCACTCTGCTGATTGTTTCCTTTGCTGTACAGAAGATTGTTAGTTTGATATAATCCCATTTGTTTGTTTTTGCTTTTGTTGCCTATGCTTTTGGGGTCTTATTAGCAAAATCTGTTTCTAGACCAATGTCCTGAAGTTCCTCCCCTATGTTTTCTTCCTGTAGTTTTATAATTTTGGGTCTTATATTTAGGTCTGATCCATTTTGAGTTGATTTTTGTATATGGTGAGAGATAGGAGTCTAGTTTCATTCTGCATATGGATATTCAGTTTTTCCAGCACCATTAGTTGAAGACATTGGCCTTTCCCCAATGAGTGTTCTCAGTGCCTTTGTCAAAAATAAGTTGGCTATAGATACTTTAATTAATTTACCTGTCCTCTATTCTTTTCTATTGGTCTATGTGTCTGTTTTTATGCGAGTACTTTGCTGTTTTGGTAACCATGGCTTTGTAGTATATTTTGGAGTCTGGTAGTGTGTGATGCCTCCAGGTTTGTTCTTTTTGCTCAGGATTGCTTTGGCTATCTGGAGTCTTTTGTTCTATATAAATTTTACACTTCTTTTTCCGTTTCTGTAAACAATATCATTGGTATTTTGATAGAGATTGCATTGAATCTGTATTTTGCTTTGCGTAGTACCAAACTGCTTTTATGAAGTGCATATAACAATACCAAAACCTGGCAAAGTGAGAAGTACAGATTAATATTAATTATAAATATCAATGAAAAAAATCTCAAATAAAATAGAATCAAAGAGCATCTGGTAGCCTATTAAAAAATAATACATCATGACCAAGTAGCACTTATTTTAGGAATGCAAGTAGGATTTACATTTGAAGAATCAATAATAAAATAAAGAGGTTAGGGAGAAAAAATCATATAATCATCTTCAAGATGCTGAAAAGATATCTGAGAAAATTTGACACTTATTGTTGATTTTAAAAGCCATTAAAGTAGAAATAGATACATGCTTGACCTGGTCAAAATACACTTGCATGTGCACACACACACACGTTGCAAAAAAAAAAACCTTCAAACCTTTTATCTATTGAGGGCATTTCCTCAATAGATATCATCAAAATGATCTATCATCACAATAAGTCAAAGAATGCCACCATACTGAAAAAAGGTATTTGTGAATGCAAGAAAACAAGAGGACAAAATTAGCGATGTAAAACTTGGAAAGGAAGAAGTACGACTCATACCATTTGCAAATATGAATACTTATAACTCCAGGAAACCAAAGAGAGTCAGCTGAAGAGATACCATAAACAAGAAGAGAATTCAGTAAGACTTCAGATAGCAACAGCCTTCACATACACAAGCAACAGCTAGTATTAATAGAAGGTATGATGGCAAATATCCCATTTATCATAGTGTAAATGAATGGATGAACAAATGAATTAATAGGGAATAAATAACAGGGAATGTTCCTATATGAAGAAAACTATACTAAACACTTTTGAAAGACATAAGACAAATAGAGAGACATACAATGAATTTGTATAGGAAGACTCAATGTTATAAAGATATCATTACTCCTTAAATTAATATATAAAATAATCACAATCTCAATAAAACTACCATCAGATTCTTTTTGCTGGAACTAGACAGGTTGATAATAAAGTTCATATGAAAGACCAAATAAGAACAAATAGGAAAATCCAGAAAAGAAGAGCAGTAACAAGTTTAATCTTATCAGATATTAAAACAAATATTATAAATCATGTATAAGTAAACTAGTAGGGTAATGGTGCATTAACAGACAGATCAACCAATGGAACAGAATGGAAAAGCCAGAAAAAGAGGCAATTGCATATGAAAATCTAGTGTATGATAAAGATGGCATCTCAAAGCAGTGGGAGAAAAATAGACTTTATGGTTTTTTAATTTTTAATTTTTGGGGTAGATAGTGACTGGCTCTGTCATCCAAGGGTGCAGTCATGCTATTATAGCTCACTGCAGCCTTGAACTCCTGGGCTCAAGTGATTTCCCTGCCTCAACCTCCTGAGTAGCTGAGACTACAGATGTGCACCACTACACCCAATTTTTAAAACATTTTTTGTAGAGATGGGGTCTATGTTGCCCAGTTTAGTATAGAACTCCTGGGCTCAAGTGAGCCTCCTGCCTCAGTCTACCAAAGTGCTAGGATTATAGACATGAGCCACTGTGTCCAGCCTGGACTTCTTAATAAATGCTGTTGGAATAATTGGTTAGCCATATGAATAAAGGTAAAATTAGACCCATTCTTCGCACTATGTACCAGGATAAGTTCCAAATGGACCAAATATTAAAATGTGAAAAATGGCATCCAGTGCTTATTTCTAAGTCCATTCTTCAAGAAAAGGATCTAGGGCTTGGAGAAGTGGCTGATTTTAGGGTTAGGGCAGGGAACATACAAAATGAGCCTGAAACATCTGTTAGTCCCAGGAAATCGAGATGTGCTCAGAGCAAAAGGATGGAGGCATGTCAAAAAGACATAGGAGCCAACACAAAAGAGCTTCCAATAGCCAAACCTGGAAGAATTTGAGCAACAAAATAAATAACATAGTATTACAATAGACCTCAAAGTATAAAATACATATCCATGCATCTATCTACAATTAATAAAGGAATAAATAAATAAATAAATAGGGAAGAAGAAACAAATGTGCCATACAGAAGAATGCCAAATAATTTAAATACGTACTTCTCCCTCAAGGAGATAGAGCTTAATTCCCTTCCCACACTTGAATATGTTCTGGGCTTCCAAACACAGGGCATGAAAAGGGGAGGAAAAATGTAACTTTATGGTGGAGAAACCTGGTAAACTCTACCTCAGCCAGATCATCAAAGTTAACATCATCAATGATAAGTCATGTTGATATCATGTGCCCTTGATGTGATTGTGATGAGAATAAAACTTGTCTCTGTGGTCTTTCAGTAGTCTGTAACCCCAGTCTGTATGTGAGAAAAACACCAAACACCAATGGAGGGATATTCTACAAAATTCATGGCCAGTATTCCTATAACTTGTCAGGGCCATCAAAAACGAGGAAAGTCTGAGAAACTGTCACAACCTGGAGGCAACTGAGGAGACATGACAAATAAATGTAATGTGGCATCTTGGATGAGATATCAGAAAAAACCTAGTGAGGCTGGGCATGGTGGCTCATGCCTGTAATCCCAACACTTTGGGATGCTGAGGTCGGGGGGATTGCTTGAGCTCAGCAATTTGAAACCAGCCTGGGGAACATGGTGAAATCCCATCTCTGCAAAAAAATTTTATTTTATTTATTTATTTTTTGAGACAGAGTCTCACTCTGTCATCCAGGCTGGAGTGCAGTGGTGTGATCTCGGCTCACTGCAGCCTCTGCCTCCTGGATTCAAGCCATTCTCCTGCCTCAGTCTCCTGGGTACCTGGGACTGCAGGCACGCACCACCACGCCCAGCTAATTTTTGTATTTTTAGTAGAGATGGGGTTTCACCATGTTGGCCACGCTGGTCTCAAACTCCTGACTTCAGGTGATCCACCTGCCTCGGCCTTCCAAAATGCTAGGATTATAGGCATGAGCCACCATGCCCAGCCAAGAAATTATTTTTTTAATTAACTGGGCTTGGTGGTGCATGCCTGTAGTCCTAGCTACTTAGGGAGGCTAAGGTGAGAGGATCACTTGAGCCCAGGAGATCAAGGCTGCAGCAGTGAGCAGTGATCGCATCATTGCACTCCAGCCTGGGGGACAGAGTGAAACCCAGAAAGAAAGAAAGAGAGAGAGAGAGAAAGAGAAAAAGAAAGGAAGGAAGGAAGGAAAGAAGAAAGGAAAGAAAAAGAAAAGAAAGAGAAAGAAAGAGAAAGAGAGGAAGGAAGGAAGGAAGAAGGGAAGGAAGGAGAAAAGGAAAAACCTAGTGAAATCCAAATAAAGTGCAGAGCTTAGTAGCCAGGTATCAATGTTGGTTCCTTGGTTTTCACAAATGTACCACAGCAAAATAAAATGTTAACAATAGGGTAAACTGAGTGAGGGGTATACAAAAATGCTCTGTACTATCTTTACAACTTTTCTGTAAATTTAAAACTTTTATAAAGTTAAAAATTTCTTGGGGAAAAATGAAATGGTGCAAATACTAGAAGAAAGCAAAGGTGAATTTCTCTATTGGGATTAGAGGACATTTCTTTGCTATTCCTCAAAACCTAAAAGTGGCCAGGTGTAGTGGCTCACACCTGTAATTCCAGCACTTTGGGAGGCCGAGGCCGGAGGATTGCTTGAGCTCAGGAGTTTGAGACCAGCCTGGACAACATGGTAAAACCCTGTCTCTACAAAAAATACAAAAATTATCCAGGTATGGTGATGTGGGCCTGTAGTGCCAGCTACCAGGAGGCTGAGGTGGGAGGGTCCCTTGAGGCCAGGAGGTTGAGGCTACAGTGAGCTGAGATTGTGCCACTGCACTCCAGCCTGGGCAACAGAGTGAGATCATGTCTCGAAAACAAACAAAACACCCAAGAAAACCAAAAACCTAGAAGCAATAAGGGAAAAAGATTAATAAATCTGATAAGACAAAAAGTTGTGTATTAGTTTGCTAGGTTTACTACAACAATCACAGGCTGGGTGGCTTAAACCAGGGGTTCCCAACCCCCAGGCCGTGGACTGGTACCAGTCCGTGGCCTGTTAGGAATGGGGACACACAGTGGGAGGTGAGCAGCAAGTGAGCATTACTGCCTAAGTTCTGCCTCCTGTCAGATCAACAGCAGCATTAGTTTCCCATAGGAGTGCGAAACCTATTGTGAACTGCACATCCGAAGCATGTAGGTTGCACACTCCTTATGAGAGAATCTAATGACTATTGAACTGAAGAGTTTCGTCCTGAAATCATCCCCCGCCCAAGTCCATGGAAAAATTGTCCTCCAAACTGGTCCTTGGTGCCAAAAAGTTTGGGGACTGCTGAGTTAAACAACAGAAATTCACTTTCTCGTGATTTTGGAGGCTACAAGTTTGAAATCAAGGCATCATCAGGGTTGGTTTCTTCTGATGCCTTTCTCCTTGGTTTGTGGATGGCTGCCTTCTCTTTGTCTTCTCATGGTCTTTCCCCTGTGTCTGTGTCCTAATCTCTTATAAGAGGACATAAGGCCGGGCATGGTGGCTCACGCCTGCAATCCTAACACTTTGGGAAGCCGAGGTGGGTGGATCACCTGAGATCAGGAGTTCAAGACCAGCCTGGCCAACATGGTGAAACCTCGTCTCTACTAAAAATACAAAAATTAGCCAGGCATGGTGGCAGGCACCTGTAATCCCAGCTACTTGGGAGGCCGAGGCAGGAGAATCACTTGAAACCGGGAGGCAGAGGTTGCAGTGAGCCAAGTTCTGTCCACTGCACTCCAGCCTGGGAGAAAGAGAGACTCCACCTCACAAAAAAAAAAAAAAGTTAGAGCCTACCAATAAGACCTCATTTTACATGCAACTTACATCACAAAAGGTTAATGTTCTTAACATATAAATAATTTCTAGGCCGGATGTGGTGGCTCACACCTGTAATCCCAATACTTTGGGAGGCTGAGGTGAGTGGATCAGTTGAGGTCAGGAGTTGGAGACCAGCCTGGCCAACATGGTGAACCCCCATCTCTACTAAAAATAAAAAATAAAAAAATTAGCCAGGTGTGGTGGCACATGCTACTCTCTTATAAGAGGACGTAAGGGCCAGGCCCAGCTACTCGGGAGGCTGAGGCAGGAGAATCACTTGAACCCAGAAGATGGAGATTGCTGTGAGCTGAGATCATACCACTGCACTCCAGCTTGGGCAACAGAGCGAGACTCTATCTCAAAAAAATTTTTTTCTAAAAATGGAAAAGAGAAAGGCCAAGAATTGTATTTTTAAATGAGAAGATATTTTACACACAAAAAATGCAAAGACATTGGAAAATATACTTAACTTGGCTCATCATAAATTCTCACTTTCCACCTATCAGATTGGCAAAACTCCAAAGTTCACAAGTATACTTCATTACCAGGCTTCGGTTAACAGGCACTTTTACACATTGCTGATAGGAATACAAAAATAGTACAAGCCTCGTGGAGAATAACTTAGCACTACATAGCAAAATGACATATGCAAATGCTCTTTGACTCAGAAACCTAACTTCCAGGAAGATATCCCAAGGATTCACTGGCAAAAATATGAAGAAAATATACA
The DNA here is from genome assembly GCF_000001405.40 of Homo sapiens. Classification (NCBI taxonomy): domain Eukaryota; kingdom Metazoa; phylum Chordata; class Mammalia; order Primates; family Hominidae; genus Homo; species Homo sapiens. Next base: position 106,924,493 of record NC_000012.12, on the reverse strand, counting down.
CACAAGGTTGGTCACTGCAGCACTATTTGTAATAGCAAAAGACTGGAAACAGTCCAGATATTCAGTAGGAGACTAGTTGAATAAACTGTGGTATTTCCTCACAGTAGAATCATAGGCACCCATGCAAAGGAATGAGGAACATCTCTGTATACTACCATGGAGTGATTTCTAGAATATACCATTAAGTGGAAAAGCAAGGTAGACGAAAGTGTACACTTTAATATGTTACTGTTTGCGGGAGGAAGGAGGTGAAAAAATTTTCAAAGTTGGTAAGAATCCTGTCAAAGGACTCAGGAGGCAGATCAAAGAGTCTTCCACTGGCCAAAAAACAAAAACAAAAACAAAAACAAAAACAAAACAATTTGAGCATCATTAAAAATGACCACTACAGTGAAGTGAAACACATCAAATATCATTAAATCAATGAGTTTGCAATGTTATTCAAACCCAAAAACTCATAGTCATTTCTGGAGGTCTCTAGAGAACCAACTAATCTTTCTGAAAATTAGTAAATGATGTAGTTTGTCTGTGTCCCCACCCAAATCTCATCTTGAATTGTAGCTCCCATAATCCCCATGTGTCATGGGAGGGACCTGGTGGGAGGTAATTGAATCATGGGGGTGGGTTTTCCCATGCTGTTCTTATGATAGAGAAGAAGTCTCACGAAATCTGATGGTTTTATAAAGGGCAGTTCCCCTACACACACTGTCTTGCCTGCCGCCATGTAAGATGTGCCTTTGCTCCTCCTTCACCTTCTGCCTTGAGGCCTCCCCAGTCATGTGGAACTGTGAGTCCATTAAACCTCTTTTTCTTTATAAATTGCCCAGTCTTGGGTATGTCATTATTGGCAGCATGAGAACAGACTAATACAGTAAATAAAGAGAAAGAATCAAGCACTTGACCTGCTTTTCTTATATGAACTATAGCTGAGGACAATCAAATAGTTGATGAAAGAAAAGCTTCTCCTTATAGAAGTATCCTGGCTAATATAAGACGGATTGATAAAATTAGAATATCACCATTCTGCAAACCATTAATGAAATGATAGGTGTACCAACCATGGATGATCGTCAGTGGCCACTAACATCACAGAAAAAGACAAGCAAGTATTATTAATAAATGCCTCCCGATGGAAGTACATACCTCTCCCTATGAAAGAGAATTTCAAACTGGTCTGATCAAACCTCCGGATCTTGTAAGACTACAGAGACAGAGAAACATGTTAAACAACAGCACAAGGAAGCAATCAACAAGTCCAAACTGTGGAAGTTCTATGGGGAAAATGACCCATTTAGCCAACAAATAAACTTCAAGGAAAACAAGGAAATGGAATGGGAATCTATAGATTAAAAGGGATTTCAAAAATTTCAAAACTTTTCTCCATTTACCTGTTTAACAAATCTGTACATCCTGCACATGTACTCTGGAACTTAGAAAAAAGAGAGATTTAAGCGTCAACCAAATGAATTTATGGACCCTGTTTGCATCCCATTTTGAACAAATCACTGTTAAAAAGAATTTTAAGACACTAAGGGAAATTTGAACACTCACTGGATATTTAATGATACTAAGGAATTATTATTTTTTTAGTGTGACAGTGATATTGTGGCTATGATTTAAAGAGTCCATATAATTTAGTACCTACTGTAATGTTGATGAATTAAATAATATTATATCTGGGATTTGCCTAAAAATAATCTATGGGTGGGGGAGAGAGAAAGTAGGGGCATAAATTATACAAGATTGGCTGTTAATTGATAATCATAAAGCTGCGTTTGGAAGCAACCCAAGTGTCCATCAATAGATGAATGGATAAAGAAGATATGGTACATATACACAATGGAGTACTATTCTGCCATAAAAAAAGAATGAGACCTTGTCATTTGCAACAACATGGGTGGAACTGGAGGTCGTTATGTTAAGTGAAATAAGCCAGGCACAGAAAGACAAACATTGCATGTTCTCACTTATTTGTGGGATGTAAAAATCAAACAATTGAACTCATGGACATAGAGAGTAGAAGGATGTTATCAGAGGGTGGGAAGGGCAGTGGGGGGCTGGAGTGAGGGAGGTGGGGTTGGTTAATGGGTACAGAGAGCAAATAGAATGAATAATACCTATTATTTGATAGCACAATGGGGAGACTATAGTCAATAATAATTGGACATTAAAAATAGCTAAAAGAGTGTAATTGGATTGTTTGTAACACAAAGGATAAATGCTGGAAGGGATGGATACCCCATTCTCCATGATGTGATTATTTCACATTGCATGCCTTTATCAAAACATCACATGTACCCTATAAATATATACACCACTATGTATCCACAAAAATTTAAAAATTTTAGCTGGTTGCGGTGACTCATGCCTGTAATCCTAGCACTTTGGGAGGCCAAGGCAGGTGGATCACTTGAGGTCAGGAGTTTGAGACCAGCCTGGCCAACATGGTGAAACCCTGTCTGTACTAAAAATACAAAGAAATTAGCCGGGTGTGGTGGCAGGTGCCTGTAATCCCAGCTATTCGGGAGGCTGAGGCAGGAGAATCGCTTGAAACCAGGAGGTGGAGGTTGCGCCACTGCCCTCCAGCCTGGGTGACAGAGCAAGACTCCATCTCAGAACAACAACAACAACAAAAAATTTAAAAAGCAAGAATGAAAAATAAAAGCTGAGTGATGTGTACATGGGGGAAGGGGGTGGAATTGGGAAAGAAAGCAAAGGAAAAGTATCAGCAAATCCAAGTTATTGATAAAAATGTTACTGAAACTAGTTTATTTAGGGATATGCTGAAAGTTTCGAGTTAATAGCATTATTTTAACTATTCTTGGGAAGACCGACTTTGTAGCCCACTATAGGATAGATTAAGTGAGGAGAAACTGGAAGAAGAGAGGCTGATTAGGCTATCATCAATTAGTTCGGACTGAGAACTTGTGGTGCAATTGCTGAGGGGCCTTTTTTGGTTGCTCAGAAATTGACACTGGGATCTCAGTTGAAACCTGTAGGAGCTAGTTCTCCCCCACAGGAGGCAAGCACCAACACCTGAGGCTAGACACCTAGATCCTCTACTGTTGAAGGTGAAGGTGCAGTGTTTGGGGTGAGAAGTTTTCCTCTCCCTTAGGCCAAGAGAGAGAAGGTCCCCAAAGAATCACTGGTAAGTATTGGAGTGCCCACAATACGAGAAGAATAACGTCTTACTCCCACTCTTTCATCTGCTTAGGCAAGGGCTAACTGATCTGTCTCTGTGCCTACCTGAGCACTGGAAAGAGAATGAAGAGGGCAGGCCTTTCCCTCCTTGAAGCAAAGAATTGCTTGGAAAGTTAGTTGTGAGGTGGGGGAAAGGGGTACCTGAACCATCCAAATCTTTCCAAGCATCACCTCCTCAGGGAAGCCTTGTGTTCCCCCTGTGCAAACTAACTTCCCTTCTTACCTGTTCTCCCGGAACTATTTTTCCTTTAGAACATTTATTTATCTCATCCAGGAGTGCCAAGGGACAGAATACAGTCATGGGTTCTTAGTTTTTGCTTCTGGTTGGGCCAGTAAAGCCCCTTCCTCTTGCCTCTTTTCTGCTTATCACTAGAGACAGAAACAAAAAACCATGGTTTCAGGCTGCTAAAAGCCTAAAGCAAAACAAAACAGAACAGCAACAACAACAAAATAAGGCAGGTTGGACAAGCTTATATAATGTCTTTAAAAAAAAATCCCATCCATTGTATCTCCACCTGGTACAAATTAAGCATTTGTTAAATTTAATCGGAGAAATGAATGAATGGAGAAATGAATGAATCAAAAAAAAGGGAACTCTTGTTTTAACCAACAATTATAATCATATTTAAAAGTACAAATGTATACATGACATAAGCACTAAAATACTGGATAGATATGCACAGAATGTTAACATTGATTTTATTTTAGTGGTGGGATTTCAATTTATTTTTTTCTTTGTAATTTAAGAAATTTCTACAATGATGTTAATTTCTTTTCAAATCAGAAGCAAGAAAACACTACAGAATACACTATGCTAAGTGCATCGTTGTTAAGGAACCAGGTTATGTCTCTGCTACTTACCACCCATGTGACCTGGGGGAAGTCATTGCCTCACTGACTATCAGTTTCCTCATCTGTAAAGTGGGGATAATCAAAGAACTGGGTGGCTGTGAGGATTAAGTGGGAGAATTCACGTAGGGCTTGGTACTGAAAGACTCTGGTCTTTAAATGTCAACTATTATTTTTGCCTTTGGGGAAAACATTTCTTGCCCTTGGCACTGTGATACATTTCTACTGTAAATATGTATGTAAATTCATTTGGTCATAGTGAATACTATTTATTAATAAATGCTAAACCTCAGTTTTGCTTAGAATTTAAAATAATTCAATGCATCACCAACAGGTGGCAGCATATCACAGCTTCTTTACAACAGTTGAGCCCACGGTGTCATTGTACAATTTTCCCTATAAGAACCTGTTTTTAAAGGGAAGAAGCTTTAGAGTTTAAAAGGGAAAAGACCTTAGGGTTAATTTAATTCAACTCCTTCAGTGTACATATATGGAAACCTGGAGATGCGGTAAAAACAAAGAACAGGTCCTGTTCTTCTGCTAGGAAAGGGCAGGGTTGCGGGAAGAGGTGGAGAGAAAAATCCCTGAGTGTACTTCAGGCCTGAATTTGCAGTATTTCTGCAATATACACTTTAATCAAGAAAACTTAGAATACATGGCAGAAAACATTTTCTATGGAAATATCAATTTGGGGAGTGAAGAATATATCTCATTGTCATGCACAGTAGGTGGTTGATGAGCCTCAAAATACGGAGATTCCCCCACCCCACCTCTTTTTTAAAGCTTTTTCCAGCTGACAGAGGCATTGCCCCTTGTCATAGCACTGGATCCTCACAATCAGGGGCAAGGGTTGTCATTGCTATTGTGCCAATGAGGAAATGAAGAAGAAAATGCCTTCATAAACAGGGGACATGAATTCAAATCCAGATTATTTCTTCCTTCCTTCCTTCCTGCATTCATTGAAAACATGCATTTATTAACTTCCTGTTGTGTGCCAGTGCTCTGCTAGCTGTTGGAGATGCATGGCTTATTGGGAATACACCTCCGAAAGGTCACAGTTCTCTGTCCTTAAAGAGTTAGGGTGTCTGAACTGCATGATACCAAATTCCTGTCTCTTTCTACCACACACACACCTGCACAGTCCTCTGCATGCATAGTGGGTACCCAACAAATATCTGCTGTACTGGGCAGTCTGGGCACATCACCAAAGGCCCTTGAGACCACTGAATTGCAATGATGGTATAATGTTTGACTGCAGTAGTCAAATATTACAATAGTCAAACATTACAGGCTCAGAACAACTTTTTAAATGTCTAAGATTTGTTTATATATGTATACTCTCTCCCACTCAGAAAGCACTTAGGGGCTGTAGGATCTTTGCATATTCAATGAAGTTTTTGTGTTTTGAATAATAGCCCCCTGATGTCTTTCAAAATACCTGAGGAAAGCTAAATCCATGCAGCCCTAGTTGGACTGCTAGATGGCAGTAGCAGCACATGCTGTTTTTAGACTCTAGTCATTCAATCTCATAGAGAGGAAGGGGCCTTCAGGAGCAGCTGGTCTATACCCTTTCATAGACGGGAAGGCTGAGGACCCGAAAGGGAAGGGCACCAACTAAGGCGAGGTAACTAGTTAGCCAAACAACCTACAATTGGCTGAATTATATACAGGTTGCTGACTTTTATGATTTAATATTTGCATGAAAAGTTTCTTTATGGATACACTCAAAAACTATTTTAAATGTTTTTGTATAAAATTGTTTTGGAAAACAAAAAGAAAAAAGCAAACAAAAGAATGGAAAATGAGGTTAAAAGTAAATCTCTCTCCCACCCCACCTTAGATCTCCTCCCCGGAGGAGGAACTTGCTACCAAGTTTTTGAATAACTATTCAGAGATATATTTAATTAAGTACACACACACAACTGCATACGCATACACACACTTGGCTATGGTGCATTCATAATATCTAAACTCTGTGTGTGTGTGTGTGTGTGTGAGATCAGATGGATATAATGCATATATGAAATACAAAATAATATGAACAAAAGCGTGAAAGCCGTGGCCCCAGGAAAATGTCTCCTTCACCTTCCCAGCCTCCACTAAAAAAAAAGAAGAAAAAGTCTATAAAGTAGTTTTCCAAACTCTGGAGTGGCTTTATTTTATTTTATTATTATTATTATTATTATTATTTTTTTTTTTTTACCATTTCTCTGTTGATTTAACAGATCAAAACTCTGCCAGTGGCACCCATAGTATCAATCTTGGTAAATCCTGCCTTCTGAAGCTCTCCCTGCCATAATTAAATTACTGTAAATACAATTAGAAGGTCCCTCTAGGTGGTCTGTGTGACACCAACCCCAAAGGAATTGTCTTGAGATATTTGAACCAAAAGTAAAGAGCAAAGTGGCGGAATCCCCTTAATCTTTGGGGCCAGTTCTTTGAGGATTTGTGGCCATGAAATAACAGGCAGTCGGTTTTAGGCAGAGCAAGCGGCACTTTCAGGAGTTATTTTTCTCAACCATCACTGGCCTTTAGGGTCAGCATGGGGGATCCGGTCTCCACTGCCAGCTTCCTGCCCTCCTCCTCCGCACTGCCCAGTAATTTGCAAATTCTGCTTCCAATCTGGAATAGCACAGTCTAGGGTAGTTAGTACTTTGCATCTAACACTTTTGCATAGTGTTGGGAGCTGTTGCTATGTGGTCCACGTGTGTTACTCAACAAGCTTAAACTTTGCATAGCCCATGCTAAACTAATTTGCGTCAATTTGTCTACATCATGCCAACAATCGTCCTGAGAGTCCTGAATAGAACATACAAGGCTACTGATAAAGGCCCTCAGCACAGATGCCGCCAGCCATTCTGCGGGGCCCCACTGTTGCTAGTTCTTCACCATGGTTTCTTCATATCCTAGTGACAATGTTAGTTTTTCCACTGTGGAGTTAAAACTTTTTTTTTTTGGTAACAAAAGGCAGTGCCTATACAACTGGCACTCCAACTGATTTTTTTTTTTAAGAAAGACACGGCTGAATTCTAGTCCTGGTGTTTCCTAACAACTTTTTTTTTTTTTTTTTTTGCAAGTTTCAGAGAAAGCAACTGGAGTTAAATTTTTTAGAAAGTGTTTGTGCAACAGTGACAAGATGCTTGTCTAACTGTCATTATGTTGGACTAAAACTTTAAGCCTAAAAACTCATTACTTTTTATGGAAAGATCTATTTTTCTAAGTAAGAACATAATTAACATTTAGGACCAAAGATAGCAGAAGCAATATGAGAAAACCAAAGTAATTTGTGCTATATGAACTCTAGGAAATAATCTCCTATTTAGGAGAAATTTCTATTTATTTTCAAAGCCAGATCTGGAAATACATTGATCCTGACAGTTTAGAGAAAGCATCAGAAAGCCTGGGGAGCTAATTTAACTGAATCGCTATAGGAAATTGTCCAGGCTGGAGTGCGGTGGCACAATCATGGCTCATTGCAGCCTTGAACTCCTGGGATTGAGCGATCCTCCCACCTCAGCCTCCTGAGTAGCTAGGACTATAGGCACATCCCACAATGCCTGGATAATTTCTTAATTTTTTGTTGACCTGGCTGTTCTCAAACTCCTGGCCTCAAGCAATCCTTCTGCCTCAGTCTCCCAAAGTGCTGGGATTACAGGTATGAGCGACCACACCCAGCTCATTTTTCTAAGGATCTAAAAACCATCCTGAGAAAACTGATATATGTCCAAATGTTTACATGTAAGCGTTATGCCTATATGTCTAGGTAGGAGGAACTAATTAAAATGTATTCAATTAAATGGGTTGGAGGAAGGGAGATGAAGTGAGGTTGGGTACATTGATGGGTACAAACATACAGTTAGATAGAAGGAATAAGTTATGTTTGCTAGTATAGTCGGGTGACTATAGTTAACAACAGCGTGTTGTATTTTTCAAAATAACTGTAAGAGGCTGGGCACGGTGGCTCATGCCTGTAATCCCAACACTTTAGGAGGCCAAAGTGGGAGAATTGCTTGAGGCCAGGAGTTCAAGACCAGCCTGGGCAACACAGTGAGACCCCATCTACAAAAAATTTAAAAATTAGCCGGACATGGTCGTGGGTCCCTGTAGTCCCAGCTACTCAGGAGACTGAGGCAGAAGGACTGCTTGAGCCCAGGAGCTTGAGGTTACAGTGAGCCACTGTATTTTAGCCTGTGTGACAGAGCAAGACCCTATCTCAAAAAAAAAAAAAAAAAAAAAAAGGACTTGAAATGTAGAACATATAGAAATGATAAATACATATGGAAATGATAAATGCCCTGAGTTGATCATTACACACCCTATGCATGTCACAAACTTCTACATGTACCCCATTAGTATGTATAAATATCACGTATTAAAAAGGAATTTATTCAACAAGTGATTATTGAGTTACTGAGTGCCTACTACGTGCCAGGCACCCTTGCAGGCACTTAAGATATAGAAGTGAACAAACAGTCACAATCTTTGCTTTTGTGGCACCTAGGAGAGACACGATACGTAAACAAACCAGTAAACACATAACAGGCAATGGGAATGCCAGGTCATGGGAGGTGCGAAGAAAAAAAACTAAGGGGAGAAGTAGTCAAAGTGCTACTCTAGATACAGAGGTCACAGAAGGTGTCACTGCTGAGATGTCATTGAGCAGAAACTCCAGGGAGAGTGGGCAGAGCCTTGTCATGTCAGTGGTCCCAGCAGACAGAGGAGTAGGAGCAACAGTCCCAGAGGCGGGAATGGCCTTGTATGTTCCTGGCCAGCACAACTGGAGAGCAGGGAGCTGGGGGGCCAGAAGGTAGGAGAGGCAGTCCTAAAGAGATGAAACAGGAGTGACTAATGCTGTACCAGCATGGTCTCTCCACTATTCTGTCATAGCAACTCTAGATATCAGCACACTGGTTCTAGTCTCTCCCAGCTATCCTTGCAGAGAACCCTAGAGAAAGATGGGCAGGCTGATACTACATAGGAGGATGTGGAGATAATTGAAGCTAACAGGCATACGATAAGATGCTCAAAGTCATTAGTAATTTAAAAATTGCAAATTGGAGCAACAAATATAACTTCTATTGCTGATCTGGCACAAATTAGAAAACTAAATCATGACAGGTGTTTGCAGAAGTGTGGGGGTGGTGGCGCCCTCATGCACAGTTGGTGTGACAGTAGACAGGTGCAGCCATTCTAAAGAACAATCTAGAATTACTTAGGCAAATTAGTATCTGAGATACCCTATGACCCAGCAGTCCTGTTCCTAGTATTCATGTATTCCATGGAAATTCTGTTGTGAAAATGAAAAAGACCATAGCCTTGGAATTTAAAAACAGGACTTTGTAAGAAGTGTACTGCAGGAAGAAAGAAAGGAGGTACTTACCAACCAGGGCTTGGGGACGCCACATCCTGTTTCCATAATACATCAGCACTTTGTGAATTCTTTTTGACCATAAGTATAGTTTGTGACTCCCACTAGCAACTGCCAGTGCTGCTCTTATACAGACTGGAGGGCTGGGCCACTTGCCTTCCCACAGCAAGGCTGACTACCACCTTGCCTTCTCTGAGATCCACAGGGGTCAACACTGAGGCCAGTTCCCTCCATTCCTTTCTGGGAGACCTGAGGGGCCTTTTCACAAGTCAGGGACCATGAAGCCTCCACCTACAGGGGCCAAAGCTGAAAAGCAGATGTCCCCACAACATTCAGAGCCAAGGCAAGGGTCCAAATGGACGCCCACATCCCATATCTAAATATTTAAAATTGGCCGGGCGCGGTGGCTCACGCCTGTAATCCCAGCACTTTGGGAGGCCGAGGCAGGCGGATCACGAGGTCAGGAGATCAAGACCATCCTGGCTAACACGGTGAAACCCTGTCTCTACTAAAAATACAAAAAATTAGCCGGGCGTGGTGGTGGGCTCCTGTAGTCCCAGCTACTCGGGAGGCTGAGGCAGGAGAATGGCGTGAACCCAGGAGGCGGAGCTTGCAGTGAGCCGAGATCGCGCCACTGCACTCCAGCCTGGCCCATTAGGGAATCATGATAGGTTTAAAGCAGATCTTTAAGGAAATAAAACCAGAGATGATAGAAACAGAACCATTTTGAGATAATTAGAAGTCAAACTGCCCAAAATACTAAAAGGTAGCACTTACTAGCCATGAGCCTTGAGTCTACTTAACCTCTCTGGGCCTCAGTGTTTGCAGCTGTAAGCAGGTGGGTTAGACGAGATTAACAACCTCAAAGGCCCTCTTCTAGGGACCTCCATTCTTCCATGTGTAAGACAGGTTCTGGGTTGTACATGATTAGGGATTCTCAATTTGGACTCCCCTGAGGGTTCTCCCTCCCACCCCACTGCCCACTCCCCACCCCCCATTTAAATCAGAATCTCATTTTTTAAAGTTCCCCAAGATGATTCTAAGCGCAGCTAGGGCTGAGGTCTGCCAGACCCAATGATGTTTTCCAAGATCCTTCTCCCGCCTCCACTGGAGTTCCTCCCTATGAAAGGAGCACATAGGGCGGGATCATCCATCTCTTGGCTTCTCTTATTTCTAGGACTGGCGACTCTCTGAGACTCAGCGTTTCCAACAAGCGGGGCTTTGTCAGAAGAACTGTGGGCTCCGAGGGAGGCCCTGGTCATGGGGTCACCTGCATTTGTGCGAAGCAGCAGGGGTGGGAGATGGGGTTTGAGGCCTGGGCAGACAGGTGCTGTGAATGAGAACCAGGCCCTGCGATGGAGCTGCCAAGGCTGGACTTGGCACAGAGAAGACCACTTCTCAACCAGCATGAATGGGCTGATGCCTTCTGGCAGCTCCTCCACCTCCACCAGGCACCTGCGGGCCGGGGCTTCTTGGCAGGTGAGAAGCAGCGAGGAGAATGGGGCTTTTCTCAGACTGTTCCCTGGAACAACATCTCTTGACATCTGGGGAGATGAGAAGCGGAAAAGACAAGGCATTGCGTGTTCATCTGGGTCCATAAGCGTCTCGGTGGTGGAGAGGCAGAAAGGGAGCTCATGTGGAAGCGCTACTTACCAGCCTTACATCCGGAGCTTAACATATTCCAGACACTGTGAATGAGATTGGCTGATGCTTTGTATCAAATGTAAAGTGGCCTCTTTTTGCACAGCTGGCACTAGAGGCTGATGACCAGGATCCAGAGCTCTCCAGGAGCCTGGCAGGGCCAAGCATGGGGCCTGATTGCGGCTCTGTGGGGGCAGCAGGGACAGTGCCGCCTGCTTAGGTGTCATTGTCAACCAGGACTAGGAGCCTGGGAGTGATGAAATTCCCCTGTCAGGGACAATCGAGCAGGCTTTGCCACCGCCCACCCCTTCTGAGGCCCAGGTCTTAAGTGCAAAGACCACAGATTCCAAACCAGACTCTAGAGCATAAGGTGTTGGTTTGGGAGATGCCTTTTGGATACTAAAATATCAGAAAGTCCAGGATAATTCCATTCCAGGTTTACGTGAACAACAGGAGAGAACACTGTCATAAAGACAGTCCCTGAAAATCAGGGGTTAAAATCAAAGTAACATTTGTCATTTATTGATGTCTTCTCTGTGCTCAATGTTTTACAGACTTCATTTTCTGAGATCTTTAAAACAACCAGGTGACGGAGATGCTGTTATTCCTATTTGGCAGTTGAGAAGATGCTGAAGCTCTGGGAAGTGAAGCTGCTTACTCAAGTTGGTAGAGCCGGGATTCAAACTCTGCTCTGATTTCCAAACCTAAGCGTCTCCCACTAGGCTGTGCTTCCTGTAAATCCAGGAGGCAGCTGGGAGAAAGTGTGGCATGCACATGGCAGAGGTTGTTATTAAAGGAAGACAATGGGGAAGACCCCAGATGCACTGCCACATGACCCAGCCATGCAGACATTCCTGGTGTCTGAGACTTCATAAATGTCATTATTGAAGTTTTCAGGAACGTTTTGAAAAGTGAGCAATAAAAGAACTGGATTTAAGCTGGGCATGGTGGCTCACACCTGTAATCCCAGCACTTTGGGAGGCCGAGGCAGGCAAATCACTTGAGGCCAGGAGTTTGAAACCAGCCTGGGCAATGTGGCGAAATCCCATCTTTACTAAAAATACAAAAATTAGCCAGATGTGGTGGTGCACGCCTGTAATCCCAGCTACTCCAAAACTGAAGCAGGAGAATCACTTGAACCCAAGAGGCAGAGGTTGCAGTGAGCCAAGATTGCGCCACTGCCCTCCAGCCTGGGCGACACAGCAAGACTCCACCTCAAAACAAAACAAAAAGAACTGGATTGATTTATTTCTGTGTTAATCAGGGTTCATGTGATTTTAAGAAGCAAAAACCAGCCAGGCATGGTGGCTTGCTCCTGTAATCCCAGTGCTTTGGGAGGCTGAGGCAGGAGGATCACTTGAGGCCAGGAGTTCAAGACCAGCCTGGGCAACATAGCGAGACCCCGTCTCTACAAAAAATTTAAAACTTCACCAGGTATGGTGGTGTGCACCTGTAGTCCCAGCTACTTGGGAGGCTGAGCAGGACGATCACTTGAGCCCAGGAGTACAAGGCTGCAGTGAGCCGTGATCACACCATTGCACTCCAGCCTGGCAACAGAGTGAGGCACTGTCTCGAAGAAAAAGAAAGGAAAAAAGAAGCAAAAACCTATTCTCCCTATTGAATCAGAAAAGGTCAACGTATGGGAAGAACATGGGGGTGTCCCATGGCCTCCAAGGACAGGAAATGAAGTCAAACTCAAGAAGGAACCAGAACCAGCAACTGCCTGAGCCCCTCCCCCAGCCTGCATTTAGTAGATGGATGCCCAGGCTTTTATGGGGCGACTCTCCAATTCGCTGTTGACTAGGAGGTTTGTGAAATTTCCTACTGGGAGAGAATGGGATTCCCTGGTCTGGCAGTATGGAATCTTAACCGACAATAAGGAAAGTGACGTTTCTGAAACAGAGCTACAGAGTGGATAGCACACAGCTTCTGGAGCCAGATCAGACTTAGGTTTGCAGGCAGACTCTGAGACCCCTAGCTAAGTTATCCTGGGAAAGCTTTATTGCTCTGAGACTTAGTTTCCCTGATTGAAAAATGAGGATCATAAATCCTGCATTGGATGTGTCAAAGCAGCATAGAGCCTGGTACTCAGTAAGTGTCCAGTGTAACTTCCCCCCCATCACTTCCTGAGATGGAGGTGGCATCTGATAGAGAACCCCTCTGAGGTTATCATCACCCAGGAGTTCTCAGTGTGTGACACTGAGAACAGAGGAAACGGGAAGATTCCAACTGTCTCTTGCAATGGTGACATGAACTCTTTAAAAAAAAAAAAACCAAAAAACAAGTTCTGGGCAAGTTTTATTAAACAAAATTTTGTATGGTTTACTTTTCACCAGTCTTCTCTGCCATGCTTCTAATGAACTCAGAATCACCGAGATCAATGATAGACAATGTACAGACTCTAGTATTTTCTGCATGCTGTGCCTAATTCAATATTCTTGCCATTGTAGTGGCAATAATATCGGACACCAGTTTTGGCCAATAGGGCCTAGTACTCTATTTTGGATTTCCTCAAAGCTGGGTAGTTGTTAGCGAGGATGATCAATTTCGTTTTGCCTTGTCTGATCATCTTCAGGGTCAGCTTGTAACCCAGCATGTACTTTCCACTTTTCATAAGGAGCTGGAGTCTACAGTTGATTCAGTCTAGCAACTTTCTCCATCCTCTTTATGGCCACCATATTCCTGCCCTTAGGTCTGGGATGGCCTCTAACCAGGATCAGCTGACAAGATTTCTGGGGAGTGAGGAAGGAAGCGTTAAACTACTCTTTGGGTATTAACACTTGACCGGAATAGAAATCTGTACAATCTTGTCTTCATAAGAATGGTTTTCTTCCCCTGCTTGAAGTCCCAGAGACACTGGCTAGGCTTTGGGGAAAACTAAGAAGAAAATGCCCACCATAGAATTTTCATAGATAGAGCTATAGGAGGAAAAAAGGGAAGTGGTGGGTTTGTGTATTGCTCTAATTAGCAAAATCAGGAAGTAACACAAACCACAAATGTGACCTGCATTTAAAAATCATTTTCTCAGTTGGGCACTGTGACTCACATCTGTAATCTTAGCACTTTGGGAGGCCAAGGTGGGAGGATTGCTTGAGACCAGGGGTTTGAGACCAGCCTGGGCAACCTAGTGAGACCCCAGTCTCCACACACAAAAAAAATTAATCAGGTATGGTGATGCATATCTGTAGTCCTAGCTACTTCGGGAGGCTGAGGCAGGAGGATTGCTTGAGCCTAGGAGTTCAAGGCTGCAGTGAGCTATGATCATGCCACAGTACTCCAGCATGGGTGACAGTGAGACTCTGTCTCTAAAAAATAAAAAAATTATTATCTTCTGATGGCTTTTTCTTTTTTTTATTTTTTAGATGAAGTCTCGCTCTGTCACCGAGACTGGAGTGCAGTGGCGTAATCTCAGCTCACTGCAACCTCTGCCTTCTGGGTTCAAGCGATTCTCCTGCCTCAGCCTCCCGAGTAGCTGGGACTACAGGCACCCGCCACCACGCCCAGCTAATTGTTTGTATTTTTAGTAGAGACAGGGTTTCACCGTGTTAGCCAGGATGGTCTCGATCTCCTGACCTCGTGATCCGCCCACCTCGGCCTCCCAAAGTGCTGGGATTACAGGCGTGAGCCACCGCGCCCGGCTCTGATGACTTTCTTATTTATCATTTTGTGATGCCCAAAGTGTCCCCAAGAATAGGGCTTATTTATTGCCATGCAGAGAGAGGAATCCAGATGTCCTAAAATCCTGGCTCAGTTTCCAGAGTCTGCACTGAGCCCACCTCTTGGGAGACAGATAGACAATATTCTTTCAAAACGAATGAGACGGCATGCCAATTCTGCCCCACTTCCCTGGCTCCCTCCATGAATGGGTCAGCCTGGGCTCTCCAAGCAGCTCCCTTTTCACTCTCAGGCCTTAGAAAGGACCTGATTCCAGGCAGGAAGTCAAACTCCACAGCTCTCTGCTGCCCGTGCATACTACAGCACCCATCAGGAGCATTAGGGTCTGGCCCAAGAGCTGCCACCAAAGACTCTGGTTTCTGTTCCACCTGAGATTGGGTCTGGATACCTCAATGACCAAAACTGGAGACCTCTGGAAAACAGATGAGGGAGGGAGAGGGGACAGGAATAAGAACCTGCATGCACCCGTGTAGTGCAGTGACAGAATCACGGCTCACTGCAGCTTTGACCTCCCAGGCTCAAACAAGCCTCCCACCTCAGCCTCCCAGTGTTGGGATTACAGGCTTGAGCCATGGTTCCCGGCCAGTTTTGTTCTTTTAATAGTTCTTAACCTTTTCTGGGCCATAGATCACTCTAGGATCTTAAGAGGATTCCTAGGAAACATGCCCCAGGAAAAGGCACACGTGCACACAATCTGACAGGCAGCATCAGGATGATCCCTGTAATCCCAGCACTTTGGGAGTCTGAGGCAGGAGGATTACTGGAGCCCAGGATTTTGAGACCGGCCTGGACAACGTAGTGAAACCCTGTCCCTACAAAAAAATACAAAAAATAGTCAGGCGTGGTGACACGTGCCTGTAATCTCAGCTACTTGGGAGACTGAGGTGGAAGGTTGCAGTGAGCTGTGATCATGCCACTGCACTATAGCCTGGGTGAAAGAAAGAGAGAGAGAGAGACAGAGACAGAGAGAGAGGGGGGAAGGACGGAAGGAAGGAAGGAAAGGGGGGAAAGAAGGGGAAAGAAAGAAAGGGAAAGAAAGAGGAAGAAAGAGGACAAATTTAAAAATTGACATAGTTTAACTGAGCAAAGAAGGATTTGTGAATTGGGCAGCCCCTCAATGAGAGGGTCCAGCTAGTCATGTGGTATAAGAAGATTTATGGACAGAAAAAGGAAAATGACCTACAGAAGGTGGAATGGAGGTGCAGAAACAGCCCACGTGGTTACGACATGCATTCGCCTGATTTAAACATGATTTGAACAGTTGGCCACCTGTGATTGGCAGAAACTCAATGACTGGCACAAGAGGAGGTTACAGTCTGTTCACACATCCAGTTAGGTTACAGTTCACTAGGTAAGAGAAACCTTTAGGCCGAACTTAAAATATGTAAGGAGGCAGTTTTAGGCTAAACTTAATTTAACAGAACCATCACTAGAACCCATTCAACTGCCTTAAGGGAGACAAAAAAAAAAAAAAAAAAAAAAAGAATGGTACTACCGCTGGGTGTCCTGGAAAGTTCAGCGCTGCAATTACTCGCTTCAGAGCCACACAGTCTTTGCTCCCTGTCCCACTCTGTCTGTGCTACTTCCCTGTCTGGGCCACCTCAGCTGAGGCTGGGGTGGATGGGCACAGACATTACCAAGAAGGTTCTGAGAGTGGGTGTGAGGGGACAGCTCTCAGGGAGGCAGGTGTAGGCTGGGCAGGTACTCAACACAGTGTCTGCCGCACCTAGGAAAAGGAGGAGCACTAGAAGAAGAGTCCAGAAAGCCTGGGATTTGAGGAGGTTTCCTTCCCCAGAGGCCCTCTGAGCTGGGGTTTTCCCAGTAGATTCCTAGTCCTCTTTCTCAGGTCATTCCAGCTCGTTAAAGATTCAAATGAAGGTCTGGAAGCCCAGGGTGACTGTTCCAGAGCTCACAAATGCTCAGGCTGGTTCCCACGTGCTCGTCCCCCAGACCCCCACCTCCAGGAACTCATTGGCGTATGCCTTCCTTCCGCGGCAGCTCCTTTTCCTCTTTGTGCCCCCTCACTGGGGCTGGAGGGCTGGGTTCTGATTCAGGTAGGAGAAGAGGCATGTTGAAACATTTGCATGCAAGACAGACGTACAACATTGTAGGGAGAGCAAACAATTCACTGAGTCTATCTCTGGCCCTCTGCTGGTGAGATATGTGATCTTGGAGAAGCCTCAGTTTTCTCTTCTGTAAATTAGGGGCAGTAATTTTTTCTTAGGGAACCCTCCCTCCTGGCTGGGCATGGTGGCTTACTCCTGTAATCCCAGCACTTTGGGAGGCCGAGGCAAGTGGATCACCTGAGGTCAGGAGTTTGAGACCAGCCTAACCAACATGGTGAAACCCCATCTGTACTAAAAATACAAAAAAATTAGCTGGGTGTGGTGGTGCATGCCTGTAATCCCAGCTACTCAGGAGGCTGAGGCTGGAGAATTGCTTGAACCAGGAAGCGGAGATTGCAGTGAGCCAAGATCATGCCATTGTACTCCAGCCTGGGCAATAAGAACTAAACTCCATCTCAAAAAAAAAAAAAAAAAAAAATAAGTCTTCCTCCCGTCACCCACCTTGCTAGTTTTTGCTCTATTCTAAAGCTCATTCAAGTATCAGCTCCTCTAGGAAAGCATCCTTGTCACTCTTTTCTCACCTTCCAAAGCTAGGTTAGGTGCCATCTGTCCCTTTTTCCCCATAGCATCTCATGCTTATCTCTAATCTGAGCAGCCCCAATCAGGCTGGGTTGTGACAGCAGGATCGCTGGTGTGTTTCTGCCACATGACTGGAAGGAAATAGAACAAATAGAACAGGAGTTGAGAAATAACCTCATTGTTGCGCAGAGATTGTGGAGGTTGTTTCTGCAGCATGTCCTAGCCTATCCTGACTGATTCATCCTTAGCATTTCTTGCATGGAAGTGAAGAGTCTCAGTCTATCTCCTGAGGTTGTTATGAGAATGAAATGATAATGCCTCTAACTCTAGCACTGTTAGTAGTTTTTCATAAATTTTAAAGATGATGTGACCAACATGGGAGGAAGTCAAATGTTCTCATTAATAGCATGGACGCTGGAACCTGGCTACCTAAGTTCGAACCCCTGCTCTGCCATTAATCCGTCAGTGTAGGAATAAAAATAGAATCTAGCTATTGTGTGAAGATTAAATGAGGTAACATATGTGAAGTGCTGGTGCTTGGAATTCCTGGGTGTCTGTGTGGTTGGGGATGGTGGGTGGTGGTGGAAGCTGGGGCTGACAAGGTAAGCAGAGGCAGGTATAGCCTTGGATTACAGAGATGGAGGCAGATCCAGGTTTGGGAGGCCTGATGCTTCTGTAGTTCTTGGTTCTCTAAGAAAAGAATACAAAACTATGAATGCCAAGTTAGACGTGAAAGTGAATGCTTACATACAAATTTTATGAAGTTGTCCAGTACCACGAACATCACAAGATTCAGAAAAACACCTAATATTTTTTATTAATAATTTGAAATATTCTATTATGATCATTTTCCTACTATATTTGGCTGCATAATCTTTAATCACCTTGCTATAGTCTAAATGTTGGTGTCCTCGCAACATTTCTATGTTGGAACCTAATTTCTAATGTAATAGTATTAAGAGATGGGGTTTTTGGGAAGTGATTCAATCACGATACCCCACCCACAGGAATGGGACTCATGCCCTTATAAAAGTGGCTCGAGGGAGCTCATTTGTCCCTGCCGCCACGTAAGAACCCAGCAAGAGGGTGCCATCTTTGACTCAGAGAGCAAGCCCTCACCAGACACTGAGTTGGTTGGCACCTTAATCTTGAACTTCCCAGCCTCCAAAACTGTGTGCAATACATTTCTATTGTTTATAAAATACCCAGCCTAAGGTATTCTGTTATAGTAACCCGAATGGACCAAGACACATCTTTGTATAAACAAGGATTTTGTTACATTTTCCATAGAGAAAATAGAAAGATAATCAGCCTCTCTCTCCTAGTGTGGTTGATCATAATTTGTTTTTATATGGAGGCCGGGTGCAGTGGCTCATGCCTGTAATCCCAGCACTTTGGGAGGCCAAGGCAGGTGGATCACCTGAGGTCAGGAGTTCGAGACGAGCCTTGCCAACATGGCGAAACCCCGTCTCTACTAAAAATACAAAAATTAGCTGGGTGAGGTGGTGTATGCCTGTAATCTCAGCTACTTGGGAGGCTGAGGCAGGAGAATCGCTTGAACCTGGGAGGCAGAGGCTGCAGTGAGCCAAGATGACACCACTGCACTCCAGCCTGAGCAACAGAGACTCTGTCTCAAATAATAATAATAAATAAAAATAAAAACATAATTTGTTTTTATATGGAGAGTTTGGAATTCTTTGTTTCAGCTCCGTAACAAATGTCACATGTAAGGGATATAAGTTTTTTTAAGATTGTTGTCAAATTTGAGGAAGTATCAAATTCCTATCGTGAATGAACTATAAGTTTTCAGGGCAGTTGAAGTTTTCTCGCACAGTGAATGCTTAATGCACAGTGACTCATTAAATTGATAACACCCATAACCAGTAAGTCCTCAGTGTCTTCTCCATAATGTGGGTCAGGTGTTTGATATTATCTTCATAGTTGTTAGTATTCCTTAGCAAATCATTGAGCAAGTTTAAATCTATTCCTAGTGGGTCCCTGTAATTCACTCTTATCATTAGATTATCAAGCAATCCAAAAGCCTGACTATTGTTGTTATTTAAAATGTGTCTCTTATTCTCAATTAATTATGTTTTAGTATTACCTGAAATTGATTTTGTTATGCTCCTCAGTGTCAGAATAATTTTCTTTGGCTTTATTGCTCATCTTTATTTCTTTTTGTTTCATGTACCATTTTTTTACTATATGAATTTTTCTAGAGGATTTCAAAAATATATTTAAAGACGCAAAAAATAAAAGATGCCCTTCATATATATCCACATCAGGAGACTGCAAATTTCTCACCTGTTTTACTGAAAAGTCCCCAAAGCATCTTTCCAAAGTGTGATTAAAATGGAGCATTTCCAACTCAATCTCCCCTTAGCAAGACCCCAAAATGCCCTGAGCCAGGACACTGTCACCTGATGGAAGAGAAATTTGATAAAGGAAAGTTAGAATGAAAAGAAACAGTGATCTTAATAGATGGCCACTAAAATGTCTTAATTTTTCAAACTGTGCAAAAATATATGATCATGTGAACCTTTTGCCAGGGTCTCTCCCAGGGCCTTAAAAGGTCTCACAAGCTTAATCATTGAGTTAGGCACTGAACTGTGGCCTGAGAATTCTTAGAAATTCATTTGTACTCTGTATGAAGCTATTAACTTCTATTGCTGTTATGAAAATTAATCAGACCTGGTTTTTCCCTTCAAGTGCCTTTCAGGGAACACGAGGTATACATAGAAAGTATTAAAAAATAGCTTATTGGCAACTATTTTCTGTTATATATGTATATTTATAAAAAACTACTTGGAGGTAATTTTAGAGTCATATGCAGTTGTAAGAAATAAAGCAAATGAAACACCGTGCAAGGTTATATTACATTATCACCATCAGGAAATTAACATTGATACAACCCGCCAAATTTATGCAGATGTCACAGTTTTACATACACTTGTGAGTGTATTTAGTTTTGTACAATTTTATCACATATCCATGAGTTGCTTTATTAAAGTAACTTTTAATGCTTAATTTTAAAAAAACCCCTTCAGAATAATAAGCGTTTGAAATGTAACTGAATAAAGATGCTTATAATCTTGCATTTAAGATTTGGATTTTATTCTGAAGGCGGGAAAGGGCCACTACAATGGTTAGAATGTACATTTTCTGAAAGCTCAATGTGGACATGGTGGAGGATGGTCTGGCTGGAGCAGGCTACCCATCCGACAGGGGCTGTTCACCCCCGAGGGTCTTAGACTCTCAGGGTTGCTCTCCGCAGAGTGCTACCTGCCGAGACTCCTTGCCCAGCAGCCACTCACTCAGACCCCGCCTACTCCCTGGGCCCCGCCCACCCCCACGCCGGGCCCAGCTGCTCCTCGCTACGGCCCCGCCCTCCCCAGTTCCCTGAACACAAACCTCGCTGAACCTTTCCTGAGTGCGGAGCCCTGAGAATCCAGTGGTGAGCAAAACGCTGACAGCCCAGTCAGGGAGACAGACAGTAAACACATGCCCCCAAATATATAATCATGTAATTACAGGCTGTGGGAAGTGTTGTGAAAGGAAAACACACCGGACGATGTGGGTCTCCAGGGGTCCGGGGCGGAATTCCCTGCGGAAGCTTCCCAGTCAGATCTGGACCTGAATCCTAGCGCTCCACTCGCGAGGCGGGTGTCCTGAGCAGGCTGGGTGGTCCAGCTGGACCATGGGCTCTCGGATCCAAGTGGCTCGACTGTCGAGCCTGGTGTAAACTGGCACTTCCAAAGCGTAGTCCGGAAAGGTTAGAGCTTTAGCAGCTTCTTGGAATGTGCATTTATTTTTATTTATACTGCTCCCTTCTATGCCCACTCCTTGGAGGAACTTTTTTGATCTCTTGCAGAACCTAGGCTGGATAAGAATCCCGTCCGTGTGATCCAAAAGTGCCCTGTGCCTTATTACAAAGCTCAATTTGCACGGTATTGGGATTTCCTGAGGGCCTTTCTCAGCAGCTTCCAGGCCCCTTGGATCCCGGGTTGTGCGTTCGTCCTTTCTCTCTCTGAGACGCACTGGCAGCATCATCACCGTCATCATCGGCATCATAACTAACTCCTATGCAGTGGTTTTAGGGTGCTGGGCATTGAGCTAAGCTCTACGTTATTAATTCATTTTAATCCTCATACTCTGGCTCCTGGCAGGCACTTTATAAAACATGTTCATTAATAAGACACAATGGAAGGAAAAAAATCACTGATTTATTTTTTCTAGGCACTCTTAACTTCACAGAGGAGGGGACTTTGAGATGGATTTTGAAAGCGGAGTTCACCAAGCAGAGACGTTGGGATTCATCAGTGAAGAGGAGCTTGGGCAGGTATAACAGGTGCGTCAGATGTTCTAGGAATGGTGATTAGAAAAGTATGGCTGGATATTAGGTACGGGCGTGAGGATGTGGAGGAAGAAATATTGAAACAACACCGACCTGGATATATATAGCTTAAGCTTTACAGATGGCTATCTTAATTTTGTGAATCCATGCAACATACTTTATGGGGATTTCCAGAAGCACTTTGGGGATTGTTGTAACTAGGGTCCTGCTGTAGCAAGTGGGAGCAAGAGTCAGTCAAAGACGGGTTCTAGGTCTACAGATGAAACAAGGTTACTTATTTTTCTGCTGGAGAGTGGAAGCTTGGGTGATAAAATGTTAGAGGAATAAAAAAAAGAACGTAGCTTCTTCCTCTCTCAGCGCAGGGTGCCCATAACTTGCGCTCTTTCTGCTGCTCCCAGCTCTTGGATACAGCCGATGACGCCATGGGTTTCAGAGATCTGAAAAGCCCGGCTAGCCTCCAGGTGCTCAACGATTACCTGGTGGACAAGAGCTACATCGAGGGTATGTGCCATCACAAGCACGTGTGGCAGTCTATGAAGCAGTGTCCGGCCCACCGCCTGCTGACTTGTGTCATGCCCTATGTTGGTATAATCAGATCAAGTCTTATGAAAAGGAAAAGGCCAGCCTGCCAGGAGTGAAGAAAGCTGTGGGCAGGTATGGTCCTGCTAAGGTGGAAGACACTACAGGAAGTGGAGCTACAAATAGTAAAGATGATGATGAAATTGATCTCCTTGGATCTGATGAGGAGGAAAGTGAAGAAGCAAAGAGGTTAAGGGAAGAACAAACACCTTGCACAATATGAATCAAAGAAAGCCAAAAAACTTGCACTTAAGGCTAGGCGCGGTGGCTCATGCCTGTAATCCCAGCACTTTGGGAGGCCAAGGTGGGTGGGTCATTTGAGGTCAGGAGTTTGAGACCAGCCTGACCAACTTGGTGAAACCCCCCGTCTCTACTAAAAATACAAAAATTAGCTGGGCGTGGTGGTGGGTGCCTGTAATCCCAGCTACTCGGAAGGGTGAGGCAGGAGAATTGCTTGAACCCGGGAGGCAGAGGTTGCAGTGAACCAAGATCGTGCCACTGCACTCCAGCCTGAGTGACAGAGACTCCATAAAAAAAAAAAAAGTAAAATAAGATCAATAGAAGAAAAAATACATGATAAGTGCAAAAATTAGAGAGGATCATCAAACCTAAAAGAAAAAAAACCTGCACTTGTTGCCAAGTCTTCCATCTTAGACATGAAACCTTGGGATGATGAGACAGATATGGCAAAATGAAAGGAGTGAGTCAGAAGCATTCAAGCAGATGGCTTAGTCTGGGGCTCATCTAAACTAGTTCCAGTGGGATACAGATTTAAGAAACTTCAAATACAGTGTGTGGTTGAAGATGATAAATTTGGAACAGATATGCTGGAGGAGCAGATCGCTGCTTTTCAGGATTATGTATAGCCCATGGATGTGGCTGCTTTCAACAAGATCTAAATTCCATTCTGGATCATTGCACTTAAATAAAAGCTTGAAAGATTAAAAAAAATGTAGAGTTAGACAAGCTGGAAATTTGATCTGGTTTTAGTCACTTATGCTGATTGGGTGACTTTGGGCAAATTCATCGAAGTCTCTGTAAAATGGGGATAATGCTAAAATCTACCTCATAAGGCCATGTGTTTAATAAGACGGCAGAGCAATTGAGTGTTTTAAAAACACCCTACCTATTTGTTTGTTGTTTTAATCACAATAGTATAGTCCAGGCTTGTCTAATTCTTGTTAATATGTGGTAACCAGTCATTTTGTAACCTATGTTTCTTAAGTGACACCAACTTTAAATGCAGACCTGATAACAGTTTTGGAACATTACACTCTAGATTTGTTCCCACCACCTGTGGGAGAACCCCTCCCCTCCATTTCTCTCCAATTCCTCTGATTCATGCTTTCCCTGAGACCTAGAGCCTTGCTTCTCAAGGTGTGGTCTGCAGACCAGTATCACTGCTTTCAGCTGTGATTGGTTAGAAATGCAGACTCTTGGCCGGGCGTGGTGGCTCACGCCTGTAATCCGAGCACTTTGGGAGCTTAAGGCAGGCAGATCACCTGAGGCTGGGGGTTTGAGACTAGCCTGACCAACATGGAGAAACCCCCATCTCTACTAAAAATATAAAATTAGCTGGACATGGTGGAACATGCCTGTAATCCCAGCTACTCCGGAAGACCGAGGCAGAAGAATCACTTGAACCTGGGAGGTGGAGGTTGCGGTGAGCCAAGATCACGCCATTGCACTCCAGCCTGGGCAACAAAGAGTGAAACTCCATCTCGGTAATAATAATAACAATAATAATAACAGATAGTATTTATTGATTGCTTACCATGTGCCTGGTGTTATGCTAAGCACTTAATATGCATTGTCTCATTTTGGGGGCACATTTCATCTTTATTTTAGCCATTCCAACAGGTACATAGTCAGAGCCATGTAGTTCTCAAACCTCTTTAGTGGATGCTGTTGGTTCAGTGGTCACTATTGGTTGTATATCCAAAATTTGTTTCTACAACTTTCTTTCCAGCAGAATCCTATTTTCTCACATCTCCACTCCTCACCATGGGCTTCAGGGAGAGCTGACCTGAGCCCTAGTTCCATGTAAAGGCTTTTATTAACTAAGGGTGATCCCATTTCCCTTGATAATTGGTTCAGGAATGGGCAGATGACCCAATTCTGTCCAAAGAGTCTTCAGGAGGTCTGTTGGGAAGGTTTCTTACTCTTAAGAGGGAGTTGCAGGGAAAGGCGATCTTCTTGGCTATTGTCATGTCT
Organism: Homo sapiens; assembly: GCF_000001405.40. Classification (NCBI taxonomy): domain Eukaryota; kingdom Metazoa; phylum Chordata; class Mammalia; order Primates; family Hominidae; genus Homo; species Homo sapiens. Next base: position 106,899,967 of record NC_000012.12, on the reverse strand, counting down.
GGATGTTATGCTTGGAACTTCTGCCATTTGGCTATGGGTTTCGGGATGAAGCTCTCTCTGCAGTGATGGAGCAGAGCGATGCTTCCTTACCAGCGTGGAGCCGCTAGATCAACCCTCTGGGCTTCCAGATGTTGTGAGATTCGCTTCTTATATAAGCCAGACTGAGTGAGGTTTCTGCTCCTTGCTTTTTTTTTTTTTTTTTTCTGGAGACAGAGTCTCGCTCTGTCACCCAGGCTGGAGTGTAGTGGTGTGATCGCCGCTCACTGCAATCTCCACCTACCGGGTTCAAAGGGATTCTCCTGCCTCAGCCTCCTGAGTAGCTGGGACTACAGGTGCCCGCCACCACGCCTGGCTAATTTTTGCGTTTTTAGTAGAGACGGGGTTTCACCATGTTGGCCAGGATGGTCTCAATCTCCTGACCTCGTGATCCACCTGCCTCGGCCTCCCAAAGTGCTGGGATTACAGACATGAGCCACCGCACCTGGCCGCTTCTTGCTTTCTAACAGATATAATTTGGTTTAGAGTTGGTGCCCAGCAACCTCTGTGGGAAGTGCTGGTCCCCAGAAGATGCGGCTACATCCTCCTAGAGGCTTTCCTTATGGGGTTTTCATGAAGGAAAGCTTCTCTCCCCATTCGCCGAGGCCAATGGAATGGAAAAGGAAGGAAGGGATTCTCCTGGAGATGAAGACTGTCTCTTCTATTTGTTATTTGTGTGACCCTCGGCAAGCACTTTCCCTCCTTGAGACTTCGTTTTCTTATGTGCAGATGGCGGGGCCAAGGATCCCAACTTGCTTTCCAGGGTGTTGGTGAGATTCCAGTGAGACGCTGGAAGGGCAAGTTTTCATCACCAATCAAGGGCCTGCAGATCCAGGACTGACACTGCTCGTGGACATGCTTACCTCAGAAAGCTGGTCAGTGCCAGAGGTGGGGCTCGATCTAAGTCTCCTGACCCCCAGAGCAATGTTTTTTCTATCATAACCTGACTCAGCCTCTGCCCTAAGGGGTCATCTATTTTCTGCCTTTTTCTTTCTCAAATGCAAGGCATGAGCACGCCCTGAAACATAACTGTGTCAGGGTTTCCTGGGGCATTTCTTTCAACTCGACCATTTCCACCCCCAACTTGGCCGGGCTCATGAGGGCCCGGCTTGGCCAACCCTGGCGTCGTAATGCATTGGCCGGGAAGGGCCTTTGTTGCCTCTTTGGGCTGCAGCCCCCCTCCCACTCACTGTCGCCTACGGCCACTTTTGCTCATTTCTCTTGGGAGCTGCCTAGCTGCAGAGAAAGGCCTTTGGAACCCTTCTCTTTTCAGCCATCCTTTATTGAATTTCACCTCCATTTTTTTCCTTTCCAAATAGGAACATCATTTATCCAGGACTTTTAAGTGGCAGAGGTCTTCAAGAGCTTTCTCTTTCCCAGCTGCATTTGTTGACACACAGTCAATCTGTTTCTTGCCTCCACTCCCCTTCCCCCACCCCACCCCCCACGCAGGCCATAAAGTGTCTACAGCTGTGCCCTTTATTACCCTTCCCTTTCTATGCCCACGAGGGGGATGAGCTGAAATATAGCACAGCCATTACTGCTAACAAAAAGGGACAATTTTAAAGCATTTCTGCCTTTCATCAGGGAAGCTGATGGCACAAAAAGAAAATGCATCATTTTATTGTAAATGTTTTTAAAATATGGGTCACTTGGCCATAATCAGCCTCCAAAGTCGGACAAGTTTAAAGCGAAAGCAGTCACATAGATATCAGGTTTTTCCCCTTGCCTTTTAAATTATGCTAATTGACACCAAGAAAAACAGGGAGAGGGTAGCTCCTACCAACCCACACACTCCGTCTCCAACTCCCTCCTCTCTCTACAGTGAAGAGCATGGGAAATAAGTTTGCCAGGCCAAGAATGGTGCCCCCAGACTAAGAAGCCCTTTTTACTTTTTACTTCTGTTTCAGTAAGTATTAAGACTAAGAGGCTTGTGGTCTGGTCTTTCAGGATGGGATGCTTTTCCCAACCCTGGTGGAAAGGAAACTTTTATTATGTTTGCTGAAAAACTTCCAAATGCGGAAGGCTGCCTGACAGCTACCTGGTGTGTGTCTGGGATGGCTGGGTCTGGCCAGGAGCAGAGGGTCTGGTTGGAACAGATATGCTGGTAGGGCAGGCAATGGAAGTGGTTGCTCTTCCAAAGGGGACACTCTCTGAGTGATTTTGAAGATAAATGGATATGATGGTTGTTGGGACTATGGTGAGGGATTAGAGGTAGCAGAAAGAAACATACCATATTCAGATTGATGGTCAAAAGGTGTCCCCTTGCCACCCCCTCCTGTGCAGCCCCCACCCCTGGGTTACTGCCTCTTATAGTGTGAACCAGGCTCCACCTCTGGGAAAGGAAGTAGGGCTTGAGAAGAGGATTTGAGCCATAGGAAATAGGACCAAGTTTCTAATGCAACTGGAATGAGGTGGGCTGGATTATCCACTCCTGAGAACCAGCTGTCTACATGATACAAAGAATTGAGACGTGGAATCCAAAGAGCTGGACTCAAGTCGTGGCTTTCCAGTGCACTAGCTCCATTAACACAACCTCTCCGAGCCACAGGACCCCAGTCTGAAATAAGGATGGCAGTGGAGAAACTTGCACCACCCAACTCCACTATGGGCAGTCAATGAGCTCATGTGCGGGATGTGAATCTGGCAGGTGTTCAATGGTCAAGGAAAATATTTGATGAAACTGATTCCGAACCAGGAGGTGGAGCCCCAGGATATGCTATGTGGGCTACATGGACAGCTAGACAGTTTTCCAAGACATTCACATTCGAAACTAGAAATGGTATCAAGGGATGCTTAGAAAGTGTCCCTAGATAGAGATGCATGAAGAAGAGGCATATTGGATGAGGGTGCTGAGTCCTTTGGTGGGTAGAGGGCATGGCTTAGAATCTGCCAATCTGCTTTTGATTCCAAATCTACTGCTAAGTAGTTAAGTGACCTAAGCTCAGCCACCACTTCCCATCAGTACATTAGGAATAAAAGCAGTGGGATGATACAAGGTTGTTGTGAGGACTAAAATGAGATTAATCATACAAAGCCCTTAGTGCATCAACTGTCAGAGTAACTTATTACATTTTGTTATTCTTATTCCTGAGAACTTGCAGGTGAGAAATGGAGACTGGTTGATGATGGCTTCTCTCCCCCTCCCTCCCCTCCCCTCCCCTCCCTCCCCTCCTCCCTCCCCTCCCCTTCCTCCCCTCCCCTCCTCCCTCCCCTCCCCTTCCTCCCCTCCCCTCCCCCCTCCCCTCCCCTTCCTCCCCTTCCCCCTCCCCTCCCCTTCCTCCCCTCCTCTCCCCTCCTCTCCTCCCCTCCCCCTTCCTCTCCTCCCCTCCCCCTTCCTCTCCTCCCCTCCTCTTCCTTCCCTCCCCTTCCCTCCTCTTCCTTCCCTCCCCTTCCCTCCTCTTCCTTCCCTCCCCTTCCCTCCTCTTCCTCCCCTCCCCTCCTCTTCCTCCCCTCCCCTCCTCTTCTTCCCCTTCCCTCCCCTACCTCCCCTCCCCTCTTCTTCCTCCCTTCCCCTCCCCTCCCTCCCCTACCTTCGCTCCCCTCCCTTTCTTCCCTTCTTGCCAGCCTGCCAAATCAAAGAGAGTAATTGTTTAGCACAGGTTTCTTAAGAATTGACTCTAAATCATCTCATAAGACAGTGTGATCTAGTAACTAAAAACATAATTTGAGGGTCATACAGATAACTATGAAATCCTTGTTCTGTGAAACGCTAGCTCACTTCCTTTGAACAAGTGATTTTATCTCTCTGAACCTCAATTTCTCATCAGTTACAAGGTCCTTTCCTATCCTTGGAAGCCTTAAGTGAGATAATGCATGTAATAATTACATACATCTTCTTTCCTGAGAGTCTGTCTATCTCCTGCTTTGCATTGGAGAAAGCAACACTTTTTACAGTTTAAAAAAAGTGTAAGGTTTGTAACAGGCTGCAGATGTAGCAGGGGTAATGAAAAGGAAGGCTGGACTTTACAAATAAAATATAAATGAGGATCTCTAAGATCTAACTCTGAAAGAAGATTCTCCAGAGGATAGAGTTGCTAATATAGTACTGAGACCCTCTGTTCTCCTGAGTTCTACCTTCAGCATGTTCTCACAGTTCAGTTCCTGCTGTTACGGCTTTGTCTGATGATGATGATGATGATGATAACGATGATGGTTATGATGATAGCAAGCCTTTTTGTGCAAGCTTAGAAAAACTCCAGGCCGTTTTGTACCAGTTAGAAAAAAACTCCCTTTCCACACCTCTCCTAAACACAGTCAAGACTGGTGAGAACTTAAAAAAACAAAAACTTACTAAAAAAATAAGGGATTGGGAGGTCGAGGCAGGAGGATTGCTTGAGCCCAGGAGTTCGAGACCAACCTGGCAACATAGGGAGGCCTTGTCTCTACAAACAAAATTAAAACAAATTAAAAACAAAGGAAAGCAAAGTGGAAACACAGGAAGTGTAAGAAGCCTGAAACTCTGGCTTCAGTTTTCTGACCCTCCTGGAGCTGGATTGCTCCCAGGTACTGTCCAATTTCACACAATATTTGTGATATTTATGCTCGGTGTCTAGCTCAGTATGTTATTGGTTTTTCTGAGAGACTCAAGTATACAGTCAGGCAGCCCTTAACAAGAGGGAAGCGTTCTAAGAATCTTGTGATTAGGTGATTTTGTCATTGTGTGAACATCACAGAGTGTACTCACACAAACCTGGATGGTCTTGCCTACTACACACCTAGGCTAGATGGCATAGCCTGTTCCTCCTAGGACACAAACCTGTACAGCATGTGACTGTACTGAATACTGTAAGCAACTGTAACACAATGGGAGGGATTTGTGTATCTAAACATGTCTCAGCATAGAAAAGGTACAGTTAAAGTACAGTATAAAAGATAAAAGATGGTCCACCTGTACAGGGCACTTACTACGAGTTGAGCTTTCAGGACTGGAAGTTGCTGTGGGTGAGTCAGTGAGTGAGTGGCAAGTGAATGGGAAGGTCTTGGACATCACTGCACACTCCTGTAAGCTTTGTAAACACTGTACCCTTAGGCTACACTAAATTCATTAAAAAATGTTTTCTTTCTTCAAGAAAAATTAACCTTAGCTTACTGTAACTTAGTTACTTTATAAACTTAAATTTCTAACTTTGTGACTCTTGTAATAACACTTAGCTTAAAACATAAATGCATTGTACAGCTGTACAAAAATATTTTCCTTTATGTTCTTATTCTATAAGCTTTTTCCCATTTTTAAAATTTTTTCTTTTTTTTTTTTTTTTTTACTTTTAAAAACTTTTTTGTGGCAGGGCGCAGTGGCTCACGCCTGTAATCCTAGCACTTTGAGAGGCCAAGGCAGATGGATCACGAGGTCAGGAGTTCAAGAACAGCCTGGCCAATACGGTGAAACCCCCGTCTCTACTAAAAATACAAAAATTAGCCAGGCATGGTGGTGTGCACCTGTAGTCCCAGCTACTCAGGAGGCTGAGGCAGGAGAATCACTTGAACCCGGGAGGCAGAGGTTGCAGTGAGCTGAGATTGCACCATTGCACTCCAGCCTGGCAACAGAGTGAGACTCCGTCTCAAACAAAACAAAACTTTGTTGTTAAAAACTAAGACACAAACACACCTAGGCCTACGCAGGGTCAAGATCCCCAGTATCACTGTCTTCCGCCTCCACATCCTGTCCCACTGGAAGGTCTTCAGGGGCAATGGCATGCATGGAGCTGTCATCTCCTGTGATAGCAATGCCTTCTGGAATACCCCCTGAAGGACCTGCCTGAGGCTGCATTATCATTAACTTTTAAAAAATAAGTAGAAGGAGTACACTCTAATGATAGAAAGCATAATACAGTAAATAAGCCAGTAATATAGTTATTTATTATGATGAAGTATTATGTACTGTATATAATTTTTTGTGTGTGTGTGTGAGACAAGGTCTCACTGTGTCACTCAGGCTGGAGTGCAGTGGCATGACCATGGCTCAAGGCAGCTTCAACCTCCCAGGCTCAAGCAATCCTCCCACCTCAGCCTCCTGGGTAGCTGGGACCACAGGTGTGTGCCACCATGCCTGGCTAATTTTTAAAAAATATTTTGTGGAGACAGGGTCTCGCTATGTTGCCAGGGTTGGTCTTGAACTCCTGGCCTCAAGCAGTCCTCCTGCCTTGGCCTCTCAAAGTGTTGGGATTACAGGCATGAGACACTGCACCCAGCCTTCTGTACATAATTAAACGTGATAGTTGTATAGGCCTGGCAGCACAGTAGGTTTGTTTACACCAGCAGCATCACAAGCTCATGAGTAATGCGTTGAGCCACGATGATACGATGGCGATAATGTCCCTAGGCTGCAGGAATTTTTCAGCTCCATTATAATCTCATAGGGCCGTGGGCATATGCACTGCCCATTGTTGACTGAAATGTCATTAGGTGGTTCATGACTGCACTTTATAATGAAGTGAACCACTACCCAGCGTACTGCTTATCAGTTAATTCTATTTTATTTAATTCCCTTGTTCAGCTCTAGGTTTATTTATTTTTAGTTCTTGCTTATTGTTCTGCTCTTTTCTTGTAATAGAGCTGAAGTCTATGATAATTAATCGTGGTTTCGTAGACATTTTCTTTGGCTCCCTGTTTTTTTGGTTTGTTTTGGCCTCTGTTTTTCATGCGAGAGGATTTCCTCAAAGGTCTAGACCCTGTGGACTGTCCCTCCATATGGACGAGTGAGACACAGAAAACCTGATTGAGAGCTCGGTGTGAGCCAATGGGTGTCTTCTCCAAGGCCTGCGTGATGTGGTCTCATTCTCTCTGACCATCTCCTGTCTCCCTCCCCCTTTCTTCCTTTGTCCCAGCTGCACTGGCCACCCTGCCATTCCCGTCATATCCGGATTGTTGCTGCCTCAGGGCCTTTGCACTTGCTGGGTCCTCTGCCAGAAGAGAACATCTCTTAAGTGTTCACTCGGCTTTTTTCCTCCCGCTTCTTTCAGGTCTCTGCTCAAAAAACAATTTATCAGAGAGGCTTTCCCTGATGACCCTTTATAAAACTTCCACCTGGGCCTTACTCTGCTTTTGTTTCCAATGGACTTATCGTCACTTGATGTGACAGCACAGTATGCTGTTTAGATTTATTTGTTGTCTTTCTCCAGAAGAATGAAAGCTCCATGAAGTCAGGGTCTTTGTTTTGTTCACGGTTGTGTCTTTTGCACCTTCTGCAGTGCTTGGGATATTAGCACTCAGTGTATATTTGTTGAATGAATGAATGAATGGTGGCTTGAGTGACTGTGAAAAGGCTAGGATCTGGGCATTTCATTGGAGGATTCCTAATATTCATTCTCTATATCTCTTCTTTTGGGTCAGCTTTCTCAGCTAGAAGAGTCCTGGCTGCCAGTGTTCTTAGAGCTGACTAGGGAAGGAGGCTGAAGATCCGGTGATTCAATGTGTGGTCTCTTACCTGACTCTCATTTTCAGTAAGAATCTCCCTTTCTTCTTCTATGCCTGAGTCTGAGGGTCTAGAGCCTTTTGAATTAACTTCCTCAGTGAAACTCCTGGCTTATGCTGGGGAGGTGGATTGGGAGTCACCTGGTTGCATGCACATGCTTGCAAGTGTGTGTGTGTGGGAGGGGCTGGTGGCAGAGTGGAATTTGCCTGTTTTAAAGCCTACCCACACCCTTATTTGCAGATGTTACTGGTATTTCTGATTCCCAAGCCATTCTGGGGTTCTGCAGGGTATACTACAGTGACTGCTGGTAAATGTTTAATTGGCTCTCCAGGGGAATAAAAGCTCTAATTTGTGGTGTTTGCTGATTCACGTGGTGTCAACATTCCCACCACAGTTGACTTCAAGTTACCATCATGACATCACTGAACATGGATTTTATAAATCCCTTTATCTCCTCCTGTAAATAAGACTCAGGTCTCAGCTGTGACCGAGACCCCACTCCATTCTTTCCACAGCTTGGTTGTTCATCTCCTCCTTTCTTTACAAAAGACACATGTTCTTCCATTACCAAGCTAGTTCAATTTGAGTTTCTGATACTTTTTACTAAGAGTTATAAGTTTTTTCAATTATGAGAATTTCTTTTTCTAAAGTCTGAACTTTCCAGGGTCTCCTTTCGCATAATAGTGGCTTATCGTGCTTTAACTGAGAAAATAGATGGGCAAAAGGATACTAAGAATGCAGTAATAACTTATATAAATAAGCTTTTATCATGTCAACATGTATATATATAAGTATTTGTACAATAGGAGTACTTGCATGTCCAAGGCATTGTTTATTTGGTATATAAATAATGTTTGGTGACCATACACATTTGCAGACTCCTTGAATTAACTCTTAACTCTATTCTCCTACTCCCAAACCCAGAGTTGTTTAGTTCACAGGTTAGGAGCCAATGGTTCAGATGATCTTTTCTCCGAACATTCTCATTCTCATGAGTTAAATGAGCTCTTTCTTGCCTTTCTCCAAGATCAAAGTGTGTTTCTTTTATCTTTGAAATATTTCTTGAGTCCATCCCCTTTTCTACGTCTACTGCCAGTGTTCTAATCCAGGCCCTACTTGCCCCTCCCAGGTAGAGGCAACAGCTTTCTGTCTGGTCTCTTCTGTCTGTCCCTGCATCAATCCATTCTCTATACGGCAGCCAGAGTGCTCTTCCTGGTGGGGTCCTTTTCATGCCTGAAAGGCTGCTGCTCATGTGTCCAATCACGAGACATGGGATAGCTGTTTCCATCATACTCAACAACTTGTGTTCTGTAAACCTTTTGCCCATGAGCTTGTGTTTGACCCAGTTCTTTTGGTAGCAACAGCCTTTTTCCAGTGGATGGAAAACGCATATGTTACCTACAAAACTTTGTTATTCACCCCCCGCAATCCTCCTGGCCAGCATTAGCCATACCTCATCCTGGCAGCCTGTAACAGTACAGACTTTGGTTATGGACTTCTTACACTGTGGGTATTCAGGGGATAGGACCTTTCAGTTATGTTTGTATACCCAAGCACATTGACGAGTACCTGGGACATAGTCAATGCTCAATCAATGTTAATTGAACAAATTGATATGGATTGGTGTGCTTGGGACTATAGATTTATCTTTGAGACTAGTTCCTGAATGGGAGCTAGATAAGAAATGTGTGATATGGAAATGAAGTAAGAAAAATGTGTTGTTTTCCCAATTCTGTTTTTCCCATTTGTCTCTTCTGACATTCTTTTCTTCCAAATAAGCAAGATTTTATTGCATTTTTCTGATTGCAGAAGCAATACATTCGAAGCATAGTATTTATATGGACTCTGGCATCAGGCTTGAGTTCAAATTTTGCTATGTGTATCAATTAATAAGCAAATAGAGAGGGCTGTGTGCTTGCACACAGTGCTTAACACCTTTATGTCTTAGTTTTCTCATCTGAAAAGTGGATGGAAGCTATTATAATAGTGCTTACTTCTCAAGATTGTTTTCAAGTTAGACTGTGCATGTCAGTGCACAGTACAGACTTTGGTTATGGACTTCTTACACCATGCATGTTAGTGCACAGTCTAACTTCAAGTGCTTGGCACAGTGATTGCTCAACAAATACTTGCAGCTCTTATTGTGAAGTTCAGTGCCGAAAAGGTAAAGGTCTCTGAGATCTGGATATAGCTGCAGGATAGGGCTTAGGATCTTCATGGTGCTGCACTAAAAGAAAACGCAAATCTGACTCCAGAAGCCTTGGAGAATAATTTTGATCTCTTCTCTTAGAAGAGCCTTTTTCAACCAGGTTTCATCTGGACCACAGAACACAGAAAGTGACTGGAGTGACTATTTTCTCAGTTCTCAGAATGTTACATAACTTACACTGTTCTAGATGCACGGGAGAGTATGTTCATTGTCTACAATTCAGGGCATGTAGGTTTCATGATCTCCAGTCCCCTCCGCTTTAAGAAAGGCTGCTCTGATATTCTTTGATGTTTCTTAGACCTGGAGACCTGGTGCAGGGACTCAACACAGTGCTCAGAGTCAAACCACTTAAAGTCCTCTCTAGATACCTCTCCCTTTCCTTAAACCTTCTCATAGTTGCTACAAATATCTCCCTTCCTCACCCATAATTTGTTCCTTGAACAGTTTGTTCTCCATATCGTGCTTATCACACACCTATTCTGACACGTGTTACCTTGCTTTTCAAAACTGAGAGTCACACATCACTCCCCAACCCTGTGTGTTCTCCACTTCTGGAACTGCAGTGAATATCTCCAAGAAAATTAATGCGAATAACTGGACTAAACACTAAACATGGTTGACGTCTTTTTTTTTTTTAATGCACTTTTCTAAGTCACCTGGCTCCCTCGCTCCCTTCAAATAACTCTTCTTGACAAAAACTATAGTTATCGGGGCACTTACTCTAGCTGTTCTGACTTGTGCTGCCGAGGCTTCTGTGAGACTGTTGCTGTGTGGCAGAGCAAGCCTGCTCCTCCTGGTGCCACCCCTAGTTCCTGCTGCTCTTCAGCACTAACAACTCATGCTGCCTTCTAGAAAGGCAGCAGGCACCACCTTTTTAAATTTTTTTTTTTTTTTATGGGCGTGGTGGTCATGATGTCTTCTGTTAGAAAGAATATTGGGAAGGAAACTAGCAGTGTCTGCCACAATTCACATAATGGAATATCATATAGCCATTACTTTTTGAAGAATATTTATTGACATGGGAAAATGCTCACAATATGTTAAAGAAAGCAGGATACAAATCTGTAAATACAGCATGATCCCAATCTTGTAGTAAAATAAATTATATATGCATAGAAAAAATACAGGAAGGAAATACACTAAAACATTAACAGTGATGATCTCAGGATGGTGGGATTTGGGGTAAATTATTAATTTTATTTTCTGCATTTTCCAAACTTTCCACAATGAACATATATTACTTTTATAATCAGAGGGGAAGAGGTCAATACAGGTGACACCTAGTCCTGGGAGGTGGCGAGACTGATGTGGCACTAAGGGGGTGTTTAGAGTCACTTGTACTGCCTCATTCTGTGTCCTCATTTATAAAGAAGGGATAATAACACCTGCCCTGCCTGCCTCCCAGGACTACTGGGCATCTGAAAGGGTCACAATATCTGGTGATTGTTCCTCTGTAGCAGCAGCTCAAATGCTTTATTTTAGGACACACGCCTCCGTACCCTGCTTCCAAGGTCAGGAGAGTTGTGGGCAGAGAGGCCAGCCTGCAGCCTTGGTCCCTGGCCTATCCTAACGGATTCCAGGTCTTCATTGGAAATCCAGTGCTGACCATGCAAGTTTCCCACTCATACTTCCACTTCAGGTCACTTCCCTGCTTAAAAACCTCTTTAAACTAGTTCTGTTGAAATAGTTATTGCTTAAAATGGCCTGAGAATGACCACCCTCCTCACACCACTCTGTTCCCAGCATTTCAGAGCCCTAAGGAGGCACAGTGTGGGCCCAGGTGTGCTGTGGGGAAAAGGAAGGAGTGGTGCTGGGAGTCAGGCCACCAGAGTTGGACTCTTCCTTGCTGTGACGTGGGGTAACTTTCATAAGCTTTCTGGAGAGGATCTTTCATATGCGATAAGGTGAGGTTACATGAGATAACATACATCAAAAGCCCAGCATGTAGTAAGCACTTAACAGATATTAGTTCTCTTTCTGTGTGCCAGATGAAGACACTCTCATCTTCTTCCCCGCAAACTCTCTTTTCAAAAACAAAGCTTAGTGCCCAGTGCAGAGAAATGCAAAATGAAACAGAACTCACTGAAAGCAGAAGAGCACAGCTACTGAAACAGGACTGTTCAAACACTTACTCTGCATAAAGAAAGCTGGTAAGATGGCATTTCATTAAACACATCTTCATTTAGGTAAGCTGACATGCATGCCAAAGCTATTTGATTATAGAAATTATAAAAATACTTTAAAAATGCATTTGTAGAATAACAAAAATACTTAAATTTTTTCTAAACTTTTCACTTAATCTAAAATTATGAATTGCCCATTTCTTTTGCTGTTGGTTAAAACCTGGGTCACTCACCTCTCCCTCAAACATTTTGGATGAAATTCTAACATCTATTGTCTTCTTCCTACCCTTTTATAAAGCGTTCTGGATTTAATTTCTTCTTTTAAAAAAACTCAGGGTCACCATTATAGGAAGTAGTCTACGGGCCATACTGTTGTACACACATTTTCTGGGTCAACTAGAGTATCCTTTGGTAAGTAGACAGTCCCAGATTTGCTATGTCTTGAAGTTTTATTCTTCTCATCTCACTATCTAGTTTTCAGTTGGCCTTTTTCTTCTTTCAGTATGCCTGCCTTCAATCTAGCAGCCTCTTTCTTTGCCATTCTTTTGTGAGCTTCAAAGCCAGCTAATAAAACATGTTGGAAGCGTATGCAAATTTCAGTTCAGAGTCTAAGAGTGATATTCTTGAAGATCTCTCCCATAAGTAAGTTGCAAGAAACTTTGTGACATCTCCTCTGGCAGCTGAAAGGCCTTTAAGACGTAATTCCTGATTTTTTTGCTTTGCCAGAGAGGTAACTTCTGGATAAATGACCTTTTCAGTAACCCTCCATGTACTCTACCTGTCCTTAAAAAGGCTATTAGAAGTGGGACCATGGATGTAAAAGCACTTTAAAAAAGCATAAACTGTGAAATAGTATTGTTTAGCCCATGTATCTATAAAGAAACACACACAGATGGCCAAATTGAATCAACCCCAATGTTTTATTTAATTTAAAGTTTTAAAAGGCAGTGGTTAAGCACATTATGTATATATGTATATATATGAATGTATGTACGTGTGTATATACATACATATATATACAGGAAACCAACCCCTTTTCAACTTTAGCCACTGATGAGCTAGGCCCACTGTCTAGTGCATGACTCACTTTCTACTTCTTCATAGGACCAATTCTAAAAGTAAAAATAAACACCCTTTATCAGTTTAACAGTAACTAATTGTGTTTCTTTTTTTTAAATAAATAAAGTTACTATTAAACTGATCACATATGGTAGAAACGTAGAACTCACACACACACCAGCACACACAGTCCCCAATTTAAAATGTGATGTATGAATGACCTATATGTACAAATGGGTGCTGCTGACTCCCCCACCCCAAGCAGAGGCCATGAAAGAACTCCCATTACTCAGGGAGTCCCCATTCTCTATGCTGGGATGGAGGATGTGTGTGTTCCTGGCACCCCGGGTTAGACCTCAGAATGCACACTCCCCATGCGCTGATACAGATGGTGGTTCAGTTCTATGGTACTAGTGTTCAGGTACATTAGGGAATAAATAGGCATTTGTAGCTGCCTGAGAACTAAACCATCATTTATAACTCTTTATAGGGAGAAATGTATTCTGAAGTTTTAGCTAACTGACATACAAACTTTTAGAGTATAATCAGTTTGTAAGTCTGAGGCTGTGTGTGTGTTTCTATATATTTATACAAAATTGATATGAAGAATGGGGCTAGGTTTATGGAGCAGCTGCTAGGCTTCCATTTGGTGAGTTCTGATCTAAGAAGTCGCTTGCCCAAGGCTTTATTTACCAGCTCTTTCTGCTTCTCACGTGCCTCTGGCTGCTGGAGAGATTCAGAAGGGGCCACTCACACAAGTGAGGGGAAGGACATGGCTAAATCTTCTGCTAGGGATCTTGGCAAAAAGAATTGCCAGATTCAACCAGGGCCGCTTTATAGAATAAAATCCTTCAGTTCCATCCCGATGAAATGGAATTTTTTTTCTGCTTTTAGCCCCCGTAACCCCGTCTAACTGCAGCTCTGTATGAATGCCTCAATATCACAAAAAACACAGGGTCACCTCTTAAATATGCTGGATTCTCAATGAGTAAACCAGTTAATGTGTTTCTAGCCAAAGCAAGGGCATAAATGTTTTAGAGAAAAGATTCCCCTGGAGCTACAGAGAAAAGATGCTGATAAAGCAATATTGAGAGTTGAGCAGGTGATGCTTTTAGTCTGTGTCAGAGCTGGTCTCTTCGATGACAGAGTACTGGTTGAGTGCTTCCTCCAAAGGCGTTATTGTCCCATCAGGTTTTAGTCCCATTGGTTTAAGCAACTCCTCTCTAGAAAAAGAGATAAAAGAGAGAGAAAAAAAAGTATTCACCAGCATCACACACACACCCCTCCCCCCCACCCAAATCCACAACCTTTTAAAAAGAAAAGTCTTTAAAAACCAAAGTATTTTCCCTTGAGCTTTCTCTGTGTGTTTGTAATAGGAAAGATGAAAGGGGCATGGAAAGAAAAAGAGGGAAGAGGGAGATAAAAGACTTCATTCACACAGGCCAAACCTACTAAGCCAATTAAAAGTATGAAAAGTCAAGGTCTAAATGGGCTCAGGACAAGGAGCAGGTCTCTTCTGTTTTGAATAATTAACCTTTTTTTTTTTTTTTGGTGGATTGGTTTTGTTTTAGACAAGTTGAAGCTGCCAAAATTTCACCTGCCCCAGTGGTTGGAGCATACAATTAAATGGCTGATTTGATATGCATACACTTCATTCAATGGAATAAATCTGTCGGTTTTGATTTTGCCTCAGTCTCTAGTGATATGTAAGTACATGTTGATTCATTTCAAATTAGTTGGCCTTCCCCAACTCTCTCCCCGACTTTTCTTTCCTTCTCTCTCTCTCTTTCACTCTTTCTTTCCTCCTCCTCCTCCTTTCTAAAAAACACCATTGCTTTTGTTTGTGGCAGTTTAATTATGGGATTGACAGCCATTTTAATCTCTTCAAAGCTCCGCAACTGCCGCTTTTCAGCTAATCCAATTATATCTACTCCACAAGTTACAGCCTCATCTAAAGATGATTAATTATTGATTAAGCCAGTCAAAAAGCATTAGGAAAGATTTATTTAATCTTTTCATAGGCTCTTATTTATTACATGGAGATTATGGTGAATGTACCTGTTGAGTTGCTAACTCCAGTCCTCCCATCCCTAGAAAGGTCAGCAGTGTACTTAAGAGTGGCCTTGAAGAGCCCCATGAACTGCTTAAAACTTATTTATCACAGAAATGGGCATCACCCCCCAAAAACATGTCCATAAGCAAAAACCCACATGGCAGCAGCTATAATGTTGGTGGGATTTGGATGGAGGGGAAATGACTCCCTCCTCACAGTTGTCCCTTAGGCCAACAGAAAGAAGGGCTCCCTCCTGGGAAGGGGCAGCCACACAGTAGTGTAATGGTGTTACAGACACAGTGAAATCTCCTGGGGAGGAGTGAGAACAGCTCAGTGGTCAATGGATAAGCCAACAGGAGCCTAATGAAGAGCTCTGGCTAGCTCAGTAGACAACTTCGAAGTGTTTGAAAGCTTTGCTTGGGAAATGTGAACGTCTGACAGGCTAAATTGAGGCTCCTGAATACTATGAGGGAGGAAATGTGTTTCCCAATCCAAGAAATGGGGTCAGAATCATAGAACTTAAAGTTGGAAGGGGTCTGAGAGATCATTTAGTCCAACCCCCTTCTTTAATAAAGGAGACTGAATGACTCATCCAAGGTCACTTATCTAGTGGCAGAGCTGGACCTGGGACATGGGTCTCCTGAATCCTAGTCCAGTGATCTTTGCAGCCCACCACATCTGGATTAATTGCCCTAACTGCATTGGAGGAGCACACTGAGTTCATGTCTTCAACATCTGTTCAATGACTATGTGACAGGAACTATGTCATATACTGGGAGGTAAGGAAGACTGGGTACAGCTGCTGCCTTTGAGGAGCACGGAAAACAAATATATGCAAAAGTCATTTTGAGCAGAATGAGGTAAATGCTGTAAGAGAATTATGAACAAAGAAGTGAGGCAGCTCCTGAGATGAAGCACT
The DNA here is from genome assembly GCF_000001405.40 of Homo sapiens. Classification (NCBI taxonomy): domain Eukaryota; kingdom Metazoa; phylum Chordata; class Mammalia; order Primates; family Hominidae; genus Homo; species Homo sapiens. The sequence goes on along the minus strand of NC_000012.12, from coordinate 106,884,154 downwards.
GACCAGGCTGCCTGGGGAGGGCACTGTCAAGTGAGGTGTCAGTGAGTGGCCCTGCACTAGGCAGATGGGCACAGAGCATTTCAGATAAAAGAGACTGTAAAGAGCTCTGAATGGTCCCACTGACGTGTGTGATTCTCTATCTTTTTAAACCTTTTTGGATTGTGTCAGCTCATCTTTTCTATCTCTGTGCTCTCATGAAGCCGGGAAAGGGCCCAGTGTTTGGGGAATGGTGAGGTTCAATGAAGGAGGGGCAGGAGGTAAGGCTGCAAGGGTAGTTTGGGATGCAATAGTCAAAAATGTCTTAAATGCCAAAATAAGGAGTTTAGATTTTACCCTATAAAGAGTGTTTGATTACGTTTGTTTTATAAGAAAGTACCTCTGGCAGCAGCATGATAGACACATTGGAATTGGTGGCAGATAGACAAGTCATTAGGGGGGTCATCATAATAGTGTGTGGGGGAGGAGACAGACAGCTGGATTAAGTCTGAGGTTGTGGGAAGAAAAGGCAACATTTCTGAGGTAGATCTCATGACTCACTGGGAGGAAAAGGGGTTGGAGAATGAGAGTAGTAAGTAGAGAGTTCCTGTTGTTTCAGCTCAGATGACCAAGTGGATGGTGACTCTATTCAATGGGGCCAGGACATAGGAGATGGAGATTTGGTGGGGAGATTCTGATATATTTTAGGACTTGAAGGGCTTGAGGTGCCTACATGACAACCATGTAGAAATGTTCAGTGGAGAGCTAGAAACAACGTTTCCATTAAAACTTCTCTCTAGCACTGACGTAAATTACATACCTATATTTTAAATAAATTCCTAGTTCTGATTGTGCTAAAGGACTTTGTGATGTTGGACACTACATATTAACAACTGAAGCAAAAGGAGAAGAGGGAGAACCTGCTGGGAATGAAACACTGAGGGTCTGAAGGGGTTGGTAAACTCAGGTGTGGGGTGGGGACTGAAGGGTAGGGATAGGTAAAAGTAGGATTGGCAGATGGGACTGAGTGATAAACTGCTGGGTGGATATACCATCACTCCTGAGACTAAAACTACTGCATCTCTTTGATAAAAAGATGATTCTGGGGCTAGCTACTAACTTGTGTGAAGTATCTAGCACTTTCTCATCTAAACCCAGAAGTAATATTTTCAAATAAGTCTATCAGCTTTACCCTTGCTCCCTAATCCAATTATGCAAATAATTAAAAATATTAGTTTTATGGCCAAATTATAGGATTTCATTATGGAACAACGGGCCTATATTTTAATTCTTACTTGTGAACTATTCTCAAGCATTTACTTTCTGGGTGCTTTGTATCAACCCCCACTAAAATGGAAGCTCCTCTGAAGGTATGAATTATTTTCTTCTCCACATGGCTCTACGTAATGCCTGGGCTCATTGATACTTCTGTAGGAAAGGTGTCAGTGAACACTGGCCATACAATCATGCATTGTGCAAATGAATTAAGGCAGCAATGTGATGTCATGGAAAGAAAAAAAAGATCTGGAGTCAGGAAGTCTGTCTGAAGTCCTGGTTCTCCTCCACTTACCAGCTGTGTGATCTTGGGCAAGCTTCCGAGTCTCAGTTTCCCTACCAGTGAAATGGGGGTCGTGATAATCTTGGCTGTACCTACTGACTAGTGAAGATGTAAGTAGTGGTAGTAATAATAATAATAATAATAAGGTAGACCAAAGAGTTGTGAATTGTACAGAACAAATATTCGTTGTTATTGTGGTATAGTGAAAAGCACATATAGGTTTTGGAGTCAGACGGACCTGTGCTCTAATTCTGGATCGACCAGTCACTAGCTGTAAGAACATGAACTCACTGAATTCCAATTTCCTTCTCTGTAGAATTAGGACAGGAACACATACCTCACACTAAGTTGTGATGAGGGCAAAAGGCTACTATACATACAAAGTGTATAGTATAACATTAGGCTGGAATGTAGTTAGAACCCACAAATTGTCGTTCCTGTCCCTTAAGTGCTTACAGAAGGTTTTCCCATGCTAGTTAGGGATTAAGTGGGGGAAGAATATGCAGAGGCAAATAAAAGACATGGTCCCTGTCCTCAAGAAGCTTTTAGTCAGTTCAGAAAACACACACACATTAAACAATATTGAAAGAGTTACAGAACAGCAGATCAACAAGCTTGAGATGATTAACAGGCAGAGAGCCCTGCTTTCTTTAAGCTTTAAAATTTGTCAATACACCCTTACTGTATTTGAAGTTGGTTTAAAGGAGATTTCTTGTCCTGTCTGGGAGTAGAAGGAGAGGATCATTTACAGATGTGTGACTGTTTGTTCTAATTGACCCCAGGCTTATTTCTCATACCCCCATCCTAACTTTTCTCATCTTCTTCCTCTATCCTTCAACTAGTGGCCCACAAATATCAAAATGAAATATTTGGTACAGAGACTCACTCCTAAAAGGCTTGGTAAATGACCTGGTTATATTGGACTGTCTCATTTATAATCTGGGACTATTTCATTTGCAATCTGTTGTATCTAGATCAGCAAGATGTGGACAGAGAATGGGAAGCTTTAATGAACACCACAGAAATATTCCTTCACCAGTCGTATGGCTATGCACATGTGAGAGGGACACAGGAGGAGACAGGGATGCTGACCACAGGCTCCTTGCAGTAGGTGGACTCAGGGGCCAGACTGTAATGGCAGTGATGGACATGGATTCACAGGGAGAAAGGCATCCCAGAAGCAGAAGAATTAGTCAAGCAGAGGCACAGAAGCAAGAGTTAGTTGTGTGCAGGGACTGGCAAGCAGGCTGGCTCGGCTGAGATAAAGGAAAAAAAAAAAAACAACTCAAAAGAGATGCGGTATAAAAGAGGATTTGAATGGAGACCTTGAATCCTAGGCTGACAAGTCTGGACTTGAGTACAAAGGTATTCTTGTTTTCTATTTCAGGAGCATACCCCCCACCCCCAACTTCTAAGGATATTAAAAATAACTGTCATTACAAAGTTTGAGAGCTATGAAATACTACTGCTCTGATATTTTAAAAAGAGAATGTCTATGCTTTACTCAATTTTCATATCCCTATGTGTCTAGCACAGTGCCTTGCAGATAGCAGATCCTCAATAAGTGTTTGTGAATTAAATTTAGTTGTACTTGATATTATCTTTCATTTTCCTGAAGAGAAAAGGTATGGTGTCTAATGGGACTCCTAATGACTAAACCATGAAGAGAAAAGCTAAATCTCTGGGTACACATTCACTTTCATCACGAAGATTTACAGGGTTAGAAACAGGATTAACATTCCACAGGAAATTCTGTATAATGCTTTCCAGAGATTTCTTGTTCTGTACTAGACTGTGAGCAACTTGAGGGCAGAGTCCATGTCTTCTCAGGCTGTGATTTGCCAGTATCTAGTATAGAACACAGCACACAGCAGGTGCTCAGTAAACGTGGCATAAATGGGAGACCATTTGTCAGGAATCATTCTCATGTTATTTTAACTGTAATTATTTTCCTGATGAATTAATATCATCAGACATTCTGACAGTTCAGCAGAAGTCAAGCCCCCTTTTCACCAGACAGCCTGGAATTCCCAACCATTAACTAACTGGTATAGACTGAGCTTCTTCCATATGGGGCATCAGAAGACCTAGATTCTAGTCTCAGATGTTCCACTAACTTGCTAGGTGTCCTTGGGCAGGTCACTTGCCTCTCTGGGCTTGAGTCTCCCCATCTATAAAGTGAGTGGTTGGACAAGATGATCCCCAATATTCTATACTAATTTCAAGAGGCTAAGTGTTGGGCTATGAAATAATTTTGATCTATTTAAAAAGCTGCTAGGTTTTTAAAGATACTCAAACTCATTATTACTAAGCCTTTGTTTCTAATGCAGATATTCTAAACCTAAGAGTCAAACACAGCATCCTACCAAATTGTCACAGACATACACCAAGACCACAAGCCCTTTCTGCAAGACTACCAGCATATGATTAAAATGATTACAAAGGAAAACCAAAGCAATGGCAAGTGCTACAAAAAAGGATCCAAATTCAATCATGGCCCTCAATAAACAGGCCATTTCATAAAGAGTTACTGATCCTAAATTATGAAGGTCCTATCTAAAAAGGATGGCTATGTGTCAGATACATGTATATCATGGTAAAACGGAGATACTGTATATTGAAATGTGTATCAGGATTAAGATATTCACATAGCAACAACTCCTTCATACTTACCTTCAATGCTACACACAGGCCTTAACACAAGTTAAGACTGCCCTCGTATCAAAAAGTACAGTGGTGTCTACTGGATAAAGAGCCCATTCTAGGCACTGTGACAGTATCATGGCGGGCTTCTCATCTGATCAGGCATCTGGCCAGGGAAGAGATAAGCCTCCAAGAATGTTCAACTGGAACGAAACATCATTTAGAAATTTGATCTTACTAAACGATAAGGAACCATAATCTACAAGGGCTTGGCCAGGCAAGAGGACACAGATAAAGCACGTCCAAGAAAGGAAACCCTATTTTGCCCCAGCCTAACCCTTGGGACTGCTAATGGAAACCAAAAAAATAATTTCTTAAAGAGCTAGGGATGGGAGATACGGAATTTACACCATATTTAAAATATTCTGGTCTGTTTTTTTTTTCCAGATATATTTTAACATTTTCCTGAGCCACCGTTTGCCTGTAAGTATGGTATACTCTAGGATGCCTGGGCTTATATGACTTCTCAGCACCTTAGAGAAGGTTCTGCTTTTTAGGGCTTCTGGTTCCTATATGACTCTTTCCCCCAAAAATGACAGTGCAAAATTGGGGTTCAGATACTAACATACCCAATCGCACAATATAGAATAGGTCAGACGTGTATGTGTATAAAACACTTTACTTGACCTGAAAGCAAGAGAATACTCTTGCCCACAGCACATGTTTTTGTGCAATACAAACAAAACATTCAATTCAAGTGTACTTGTTGAAAAACAGGACATAATTAAGCAGTTGGTAAAATGCATTCTTGTTTCCCACTTGCAGATCTCCCAAGAGTCCCTTCGAATTTACCTATACGAGTTTCAGCTTCCCGCTTGCCACTTAGCTTGATAACGACTCAAAAATCATTCCCTTGTTTTCAAGGGCTCTTCTTTCTTGTCTGCTCTGTGTACTACAGGGCAGTATTGACACATGGAATTAATGACAGGGTCTGTAATGAAACAACAGTCATGCAAACACCAGTCTGCTCTTTTGATAAAACAGCATGTTAGAGACCTATTCACCTCCCTCTAATTGAGTACTGCATAATAGTTCCGATCCTTTTATGTAACATATTTTGTTCTATGATTAGAAAAGAAGAAAAGGGGGGGGGAACATGAGGCATTGCTTCCTTCAATCACCCCCTGATTAATTCTCTGTTTTTAATGAGGGCGGCTGCTATTTAGGCAGGTTCTGTTACATACTTGTTTTGTTGACTTCTGTACAATGTATAACAAAACCCAAGACAGGATAATTGGGAACCATTTCTTAAGCACAGGATTCCTGCTCTTAATGTAAGGTTGACTTGGAAAAAAGAATCCTGACAGTTTAAATTAGCCATTTCATATTTAATTCCTTTTCACATTTGAAAGATGGGATGAGAAATTAGTATATAAATAAAGCATTTTAATTAACATAGAGCTTTTCAAAAAATGCCTGTTAAAATGGATGGAGCCTGTGATAGCCCTGAGAAGGAAGCTCTGTAGTTCTTTTAAAGTCTGGGCGTGCATCTTATATCAAGATTTCAGTATCATGGATAGTTCATAATCCACTGAAGTATAACGGGTTTCCCAATAACTTGTGATATTCTTATAAATGTTTTCACCTCTTTTTTTCTCACAGCAATAATATTATAACCTTTGGACTGGTAAACATGTTCAGTTAGATACTGTGAAAGTGTCCTTTAGGCTTGAACCCTGATCCTTCATCTTTCATCTAATGACTTCCTAGAGCTGACTGGTTACACCGATCTTTCATTAAGCCACTAACTTGGTAGGAATGAGTGGTATGGTAGCTTTTCCATAGCAAATTTGAGGTCTAGGCTACATCTTTGAAAGGATTCTGAGATCCTTCCCTCAGCCCTCATCATTGTGCTTTGGGATTGGGTACAATTGGGAAAGTAAAATATGCAACATAAAAATATTGTTACCCAAGACAAATTGATATGGTGTACAGTCCCCACATCACCATGTCTTTCCACTTTATAAAGGTAATTGGGAATTGTCTAAACCAGGGATGTCCAATTGTTTGGCTTTCCTGGGCCACACTGGAAGAAGAATTGTCTTGCGTCACATAAAATACACTTAACACTAATGATGGCTGGTGAGCTTAAAAAAAATTGCAAAAACATCTCATAATGTTTCAAGAAAGTTTATTAACTTGTGTTGGGCCGCATTCAAAAGCGTCCTGGGCTGCGGGTTGAGCAACTTTGGTAAATAGTCCCATAGGGAAGCCTTTTTTAAGTTAGGTTTTATTAATGTGATCACATGTATGAAAATTTGTCAGAAGAGCCATAATCATTCTCTTTTTAAAACAATTTAAAAACCTTGTATTAACATAGAATCATAGAAATTTTACTTGTTCCCTTCAAAAAGCTTTGCTTTGTTTTGTGTTTTAAAATATAAGCTATTTATTTAGTATTTGACCTGATACCTACGAAGAGCTCAACTGTGGAATGAAAAAGCAGTAATGCATGTCCTCTAAATCTTAGTTCTCTTCTAAAGTAAATATGCTTATTATCTGTCTTTCGTGCTTTTCATTTATTTAAAATTTAGAATGTCTTATTTAAAAATAATCAGACAACTTTTGAGAGCTGTTGGTAATTTCTCACAATAGCACACAATCTGGAGTCTCAAGACTGAAAACTGGACTTGGGTTAGTTACTTAATCTTTGGTGCATTTAATCCTTAAAAAAATACCTGACGCTATTTAATTCACAGGGCTGTTTTAATAATCAATGGAGATAACGTATATGGAAGCATTTTTTATACCTTAAAGCACTATATAAATATTAGTTTTTTTTAAATCACTGTTCACATTTCTGTTAGATCACATGCAAAGCTTCTAAAAATCTGCTACCCACCTAATTTACCCACAGTAAACAGCATGGTTAAGAAAATATAGAGAAAAAGAGATCAGGTATAGTACTAGAAGAATAAAGTGCAGTTTTATCTTTAAGTGGTTTTAAAAATTATTTCTTGGTAATTTATTTACAGAATTTTTCTTATCTGTTGTCCAAATTAACAAAATAAATATTAATAGGTCAGCATGCCAACTGACACTGTAGAATAAAGTAGTAGAAACAGAAGTTCTTAACGCTCTTCCCAATAAGGAAGGATTAAAAGTTAAAGAATGAGGAGAACTAAGAGAACAAACAGCCAGTGGAGATGATTCTTATTTGATGTTCCTCTACTAGTCAAAAACCATTTCAGAGAGTACTTTAACCAAGAGCTCAAAGTAGTTAGTCCCACTACAGATCTAAAGAACAATGACTACAGATAGGCAATACAAAGGTAGCATGACGTCCTACTTAAAGGTGTCTAGCTACTGGAAAGGTCCTATATAACCTAAGGATAGATAATATCAAGCTTCTCAAGTTAATCCTCCCCTGACACCTTAAGGTGTTTAATTTAGCTGGATCCAAGTCCTCTTAATTCAATTTCCAAGCAACCTTACAGTATATTTTAATGAGGTAGAACAGCACTGTCTAATAAAAATATAATGTAAGCCACAATGTAAGCCAAGTGTATGTACTCTTAAATGTTCTAGTAGCCACATTGAAAAAGAATAGGTAAAATTAATTTTAATATTTTAACCCAGTGTATCAAAAATATTATCATTTCCATATGTAACCTATATTAAACAAATAATGAGATATTTTACTTTTTTTGTGCCAAGTCTCTGAAATCTAGTGAGTATTTTACACTGATAGGACATCCCAATTTGGACTAACCACATTTCAAGTGCTCAACAGTCATATATAGCTGTGGTTACCATACTCTGGACAGGGTAGTCTAAAGAATATTCTGATGAAAACAAGATCTTTATATTTTCATATCTATAATAGATCTTACAATGCTCTAAAAATTAGATCATGTTTATGAAATGTACCTGAAAAGCATTTCCTTAACTAACTTATCACAAAGGTAGGTATAATCACAGTCGTTGATATTTTTGTAAGGAGAGTAAAATAACTTATTTTTAAGAAAAAACTATGTATTTGTTATTTTTCAGTTATAAACTACCTATCTCAGCCTTAGTCAGTTTAAAATTAATCTTTTGATTAAAGGGAACTAATCCTATATCTGGTGCCTGCATTTATTATAAAAGTCATGTTCCAAATAGTACACAATGACTGGCAACAACAAAAAAAACAAAACACTTATTGGCTAAGGAGTAAGAAAAGGAAGAAATGGTAGAACAATTATCTTTAATTTATATAAATATAAATTTTAAAACATAGATTTTGATGGCAGAATATATAAGTAAAAAGGCAATGTATCTTGTTAGACAGTGATGGGGTAAGGGTGAGTAGAGGATTAATTAGCTCTGGTTCCAATGTAGAAACTAAAGGGGATTAGAGAAGTCAAAACAAAACTGTAACTTGAAATATTATTTCCCTTGGTTAGTTTAAGCTTAAGCCAGTCAATGCTCTCTCCCCTTTTCTAGAGGAGGCACCACTATTATATACAAGTTGTGTGCAATAGCTAAGGCAAATGAAATTGTATTAGGCACAGTGGGCTTGCTTTTACTACACAATTCCCATTCAGATCTCCTGCTTGAGTTGCAGGGGCTTATTTTTTCCGAAGTCAGGGAAGGAAAGAGGAGGTGAAGAGGCAGGCAAATTTCATCCGCTTTTCCATCTCTGCCCTCACATTAAAAAATGTCAAATGAGGCTTTCTATAATTTCATGCCTCAGGCCTTAAATGTTTATATTTGATAAATATTACAGTTATCATTCTATATTAAAGGAATTATGGACCCCAATATTTAAATAAGCCAGTCATGGCTCAAAGTACTTTATGGAATTCCTTTCTGGCCCTGAATTTTATGACATCTGGCCAAAAAATGGAACTGACAGAGTGTACTTTAAAGTCTTAAGCCATGTAGGTATTTTAAAGCAAAAAACTGCCCTTCAAATTTGGGGATCAGCTATTTTCATTATTTCATCATCACATACTGTGGAAACCACAGGGTACAAGGCACTGTACTAGCTAGACATGATGGGATTTATAGGGTTCAGATTCTTTTCCAACTCTTTAGACCTCCAGGTGCACTGCCAATCACCTTATCTACATCTATCACAAATATAATCCTTATACTAAAAAAAAAAAATCACTTGGAATACTCTTAAGTCAGCTGGTATTCAATGGGAAGAAAATATCTGAGCACTAATCTCTCCAATATCTTTGGAAATCTAGTTGAGAGAAAGCTGCTAAGGTGATGAGCTCCTTGAGGCAGCGGCTATGTCCAGCATGGAGGCAAAATAGAAATGTAATTTTAACTTTTACATTGGTGGTTTTACAATTTTGGTAGTGAATAACATCTATACCCTACACCAGGCTCAGTAACAGTACTTGGCATGACCAACCTTAGTCATCATCACTTTGGTAAGTGCTTTGGCACGGGCCACTGTTGCTAACCACCATCCTGGTGCAGGTCCTTCACATCTGCTCTCCTATGGATGGAAAAAAGGAAGTGTCTAGTGTCCATTCATTGGCCACATCACCTCCAACCCTATCCTTTACTCACATGCCTTTCAATTCAGGTGCAGGAGAAAACCATTTCATTTTTGAGAAGGAAAGTTAATCAGACAAAGCTATGGTACACTCTTAGCACAATAACGACTTGGTTGAATGCAGAACGTCCTAGAGTGAAAGGGAGGGAACTAACCAATAGTACAATGCTGACAGGGTGATGAGGAAGTGTTCTGGCAAACACTTACTATAACAGACAGACACCGTAGTACAGTGGACAGAGCAAACGTCTTGAGTTCTGGAAAATGAAGGTCTAGTCTCACTTTTTAAAATGAAACTAGAAAGAGGATGTATGTGAAAGTGTTTTATAAACTGTTAAAAGGAAATGAATTATCATCAGTCATTAGCTTGGAAATGCTTTGGGCAATTCTTTGGTACTTGCTTCCCCCAATGATAAATCTGATAACGTACTAATCAAATAATGATAAAACAACCTGAGCTCTTTAGAAGAAATAAGTAGTATGTGACTATCCAAGACTTATTAACAAGATTAAATTTCTCTCCACCTGGAATGAATGGTCATTTTTCCATTTTTCTATTAAATACATCAAAATTCTAGGATCAGCACAAATGCTAGCTTTCCTGTGAAACAGTCCCTGAATCATCCAGACAGAATGAACTACTCCTTTTCCTGCATGCTTACATTTCAACATAGAACTCATTTTGTCATTATTTCCTTCTACCTTGTATTCTAGACTAGATTACAGTCATTTCTTCCACTAGAATGTGAGTTTTCCAAAGGCAGAGACTGTCACATTCTCCTCTGAATCTTCCTCAGGTTCCTAGCACGATGCCTTGCACAGAGTAGCTGCTTAGTAAATGTTCCCTGAATTGTACTGAGTTTAGTCTATTTTGGCTTTATGGCATCTTTTTTTACCTCAAAAAAAAGTGGAAAGAGAGAAGAAACTTAAGACTAATGAGGAACACAGCACAAAAGACATGTAAGACGCATAAAGAATGACTTCATTCTTTGCATTACTGCTTTGGAATGCCCACTGCTGATCTTTATACAGTTTTGTCATTGATTGTATTTAGTGAGAGCAAATGTTAGAAAGCACACAAAGGCAGACAATGTAAAACGCCCAACACACGTCATGCAAAAATTCTGTATGATTTGAACTATTCTCAAGGTTGCCTTTTGCTTCAACTTTAATGGCAAAATTGATACCATCAAAGCCAACATAAGACATATTTGCTCTGCTTTAAACATGCAAAAATCAGTGTCACCTTCAGTTGGGCATCTGCTGGGTACTTCCGGATAAGTAGGCATCTTCTTTGAGGCATAGTTTAAATCAGGTGGAAGCTGGGGTATTTCAGACTTGACGTTTGTATATTTATTTGTTGGCAGCTTCTAGAATATGTGGATTCCCCTGAGATTAAAAGGAGAAGGACCTAGCACCTTTGTTTTCTGTGCCTGTGATAGAGATGCCTTATGAAATGGTAGTTCCTCTATTAGTAAGCCAAGTATCTGGATTATACTGTGTAGTCTTAGGCAGTTATTTCCCCTGTCTTCCATTTCCCTACCTGGAGTTTACTCATCCAGGGTAGATGGCCCAGTTAAATGGCATTTGTGTTAAACTTTAAAAACTCATGTTGTTGGTCAGAATATGAAATTTATGCAACTGGTTTACTGTCCTAACACACTAATGTGTTCTACTCAGGTCCTTGCTAACCTTTCCTCTCCAGTTTCTACCAGATGGACTCTGTCGGGTTTGTTTTTTTTTTTTTTTTTGAGACAGAGTTTTGCTCTTGTTTGACCAGGCTGGAGTGCAATGGTGCGACCTTGGTTCACCGCAACCTCCGCCTCCCAGGTTCAAGCGATTCTCCTGCCTCAGCCTCCTGAGTAGCTGGGATTACAGGCATGTGCCACCACACCCGGCTAAATTTGTATTTTCAGTAGAGACAGGGTTTCTCCATGTTGGTCAGGCTGGTCTCAAACTCCCGACCTCAGGTGATCCACCTGCCTCAGCCTCCCAATGTGCTGGGATTACAGGCATAAGCCACTGTGCCCGGCCTGACTCTGTTGGTTCTTATCCTGTTGTTTTTATACCCCTGTGTTTCATTAGCTACATCAGCTCCTCCTGGAAGTGGCCAAGCACACATCTTATCTTTATATATTCATTTTGATCTTATTCTGCCTCCTATAGGTTTGCCCTATCGGTATCTTCTCTGTGACTATTAATCCCTTCTGGGAGGGAACATTTCTGTTCTATACAAAGGTATGGAGAATGTAATTTGCAAAGAGGCAACAATGTCTTTTGAAGATTGTGAATATAGTCAGTTAGCTGTAAATTCTAACCTTGAGAAAGGATGAAAATTTAAAAGGGCTAGCTGGAAGTTACTGAGTTCTAGTCTTATTAGCTTTGTAGATAATTAAGCTATTTACTCCTAAACAACTTCTACCACACTACCAGCATCATACTCTGCAGCGTGGATAAATATCCATACTTGTCACACTCCCCATGTCAGTCTCTTGTTCTTGTCCATTTCTACCCCTAAGCCTCTGCTGTGCCCTTAATCTCTGCTCGTTTCTGTGTTCCACCTTTCCCTTTCATGGTTGGCTCTCTGGCTTTTCCATTCCAATGGCTCCTTCTTTTGACTGAGGGATACTAGCCTTTACACAGTTACTGTGAAAAAGGGGATGGCCAGAAGAAATGCATCTTTAAGTGGCAGCTGCCACCAACACACAGAAGCATTCATTCAAGATGGCTTAAAGAAGATAGTGACTCAATGTATGACTAGAAAATAGAGTGACTCAGCCAAGTATGAAAGGAATTATTTTCTAATAACTCCTCCAAGATGACTAGTTGCTGATTAGTATATACTTGATTTAATTATTTCAAAACTGGTTATTTTTGAAGGGGAAGGAGGTGAGAAGCAAGAGGGGAAGGGGAGTTTTTTGGTTTTTTTTTTTTTTTTTTTTTTTTTTTAGAACTCCTAATTAATACAAGTCCCTGTTTTCAGAAAATCCTTCATGTGAGCTATTTCTTTTCACTTTTTCTTATTGGGTGCATGACATTTTAGAATTCTTGGTTTCAGCAGCAACCCAAAAAGGCGTAATTGCAAACTTACACATCAAAAATGAAAAAATAAAAGCATCATGATTTGAAACAAAAACTAAAACAGGCTAAAACAAAAATACAAGCAGCAGCAAAATCACTGAATCTAACTCACAGCATCTTTTTGAAGACAGGGAGGTTAGTTGGTTAATTATTACAGTGCTCTGGTAGTTACTATCTTAGCTTTGAGAGTTTAAATGTTTAGGAATGCACATCCAGAAGCGGCACATGTAGAAAAACCATGGTAGCCAAGAGCTATCTGAACTACTGCTGCCTGGGCCACCCTATTCCAATCAACATGGATTTCCAGAGTTGCTGTTCTATGGTAACTCTCAGTGAGAGAGACAAAGAAATAGACCATTTTTAGAAACCAAGCAAAAAATGGATGGGAATACAATACCTGGAAAGTTTATCAAGCATGTTGACAAGTTTCATGGCTTCATATTCTTTTTGTTCTTCTGTCATTTCATCTATGGGGTTTGGCATTGGTTCCTCTAAATGACCAGTGATAAGATTAATGCTACAAAAAGAAAAAAAAGTTATGCTGTATGTTTTAAAATTATGCTCTTTCTATACTTTTCTGGTCCAACTTTTAAGTGATAATAAGAAAGAGTATAATAGCCAAAAAATTGGCAATAATTTCAATTTTATGGTATAGAACTGATATAGGAATTTTTAAAACTGGACTTTTCCACTAATTTGCTTTGGGAAATGGGCTATACTTTTTTTAAAAAACGAAAACTGTCTTGCCAACTTTTTTTTTTTTTAGAGGCATGGTTGCTTTTTAAAAATACAAAATTTGATTAGTGCCGTTAGGATATCCGTGGATGCACAGCTTATCCATTAATTCTAAGGGGACACATGATTTCAGGGAAGAAGAAATGAGGAAATCCATTTTGTGATACAGCATAAAACAAACATCAAAAAAAATTGGAAAAATGATGACAGAGAGGCTACAATCTGGAAATGAAAGCATGCCAATTTATAATCTCAGGAAATTAGTCCATTAGTGAGACCACAGAGGGCAATGAGTGTTTAAATAATAAAAGATAAAGCAGAAGAACAATTTTAATTAGGTTTGATCTGGCCTAGACAAAAAAAGGGATGAAATCTAGCCTACCAAGAGACAGGTATATCATCCTGGCTATCTGGAAATAGATTTAATACAGTACTTAAAATGAATACTTTGCATAAACTTTGTATGAGGTTATAATACCAAACAAACTATTCTCTTAGAGAAAAGCCATACTTTTTTTTTTTTTTTTGAGGACAGGAAATAAAAGATAACTCTTTCAATGGCTCCTAAATATCCACAACAAACATTTTTCTGGAGAAGCAGACAAGAGATCACAGTATCTTGTACCAGCCAAGTACATACTGTTTTTTTGTTTTTGTTTGTTTGTTTTGACGGAGTCTCGCTCTGTCACCCACGTTGGAGTGCAGTCGCACAATCTCGGCTCACTGCAACCTCTGCTTCCTGGGTTCAAGTGATTCTCCTGCCTCAACCTCCAGGGTGGCTGGGATTACAGGCACGTGTCACCACGCCTGGCTAATTTTTGTATTTTTAGTAGAGACGGGGTTTCACCATGTTGGCCTGGCTGGTCTCAAACTCCTGAGCTCAAGTGTTCCTCCTGCCTCAGCTCCTGAAGTGCTGGGATTAGAGCCATAAGCCATGGCGCCTAGCAGATAGTTTGTTTTTAATGATCAAATTAAATATCCCTGCAAATAGCAATTGCTAATAAATTGCTTTCTAGGGTCTATGAACATAAACGCTTTCAGAAGCCACGCCTTTAAGATAAGCAAGTGAGTGAGAGGGTCAAATATACACAATGTGGAGTGTTGGGAGATTGAGATCAACTGGAAAACGGTGCCCAGTTTAAATTAAAAAAAAAAAAAGATACTGGCCAAGACAAAGACACAGTGATTAATTAAATCTTCTGGTAGCCAGCTTGCAACCCGTCTTTGAGACTTTCGGTTGGGCAAGTTCTTTACTGACTAGGGCTTTTCTCATCTGGGGTAAAGGCTTGCTTACTACGTACTGTTATCTATTACTATTAGATTTACTTTTCTTTTCTACCTTCCTCAGAGGCTGCATGACATACCAATTCTTATGGAAGGACTCAGTGCTCACCATCCTCGAAAACCTGATTCAAAACCTATCTTGCCATTCTTGCGTAAGACCTACATCTAGAGTCATGTTTAAAACTTTTCCCCCATTAGAAACCCAATATATAAAATAGACAAAAGTGAACTGCTCAGGCAAGAAGGGGATGGGAATAGCCAAGTAGATAGGGGCGTAGAGTCCCTTTATTTGTCCCCTACCCACTTGTTTTCTCTTAAGGTACTTTCAAAGGTTCTGGGGCAACCTGAAAACCCATAGCCTTGTCATTTATTTCTAGCCTTGGCTGTACATTAGAATCACTTGAGAAACTTTGAAAAAAGCTTGGGTGACAGAGCGAGACTCCGTCTCAAAAAAAAAAAAAAAAAAAAAAAAGCTTGGGCCTCACCTTAGACCAACTAATAAATCTGTGTGTGTGTGTGTGTGTGTGTGTGTGTGTGTGTGTGTGTGTGTGTGTCTAGAGTGCCTGCTTTAGACACTCATTGTGTGCTATTTCCTCTTTTATCAGGTGCTCCTAAAAGAAGAGAAAAAGGCCTCCAGTTAGAGGCCATCAACAAAAATGCTGAATGGGTCATCGTATTTCCTAAAAGTCAAGAACAAAGAAGACCCAGACAAGGCTTCTGAGAACTATGGAGACGTATCCAGATGCCACACTGAAAATACAATTCCACCACCCATCCATTATTTGCTCAGGCATATAACAAGACATCTCTTTTCACTGGTTTCTCTTCTGCCACCTGTTAAATTAGAAAAACAACTAGTCTTATAAATGAATAAAGGTGCTTATTATAGATACATACCACTTCCCAAGCAAAGAAAATCAGGCCTTAGAAGAAAGTATAAGGGAAGGTAGATGTATTAACTATGTAGATCATGCTTATTTGCCTCTTGAGAGATGGCTTCTCTCCTCAAATTCAATGGAGCTGTAATTTGAAAAATCAGGCCTGTAGGCACTTTTAGGATATAATGACATTTGCACACATGATCACATGCTTCAGGGAAAAAAATGAAATCAGGAGGACACACTGGTAAGCTGTGGGCTTATTGTGGGCACCACAGCATACAAAGTCACTATATGAATTCCCAGATTAGGACACAGTTTGATGGTTTTCTTGGTTCTCTTAAGAGCTTGGTGGAAATTAAGTCTGTTTTACATAAGGTAACCTCAAGTCCCCTGGCTGCTAAAATGATATAATGGTTTGCTCTGAAATTAGCTACTAAAGTAACACAATTCTTGCTATCTGAGTATAAAAGCAGAAGGCAGAAATTCATTCTTACAGAGTAAGAACTCATTTTTTGCCATAGAGTAAAACATTCCAACCCTCCAAAGTCAGTCTAGGGATTTGGGTTTCATTTTTTCCTTTAAAAAGACATTTTTCCCCTGGATATTCGGAAGAATGTAAACAAAAGCCACAGAAAACACAAGTTAGGGCACTGAAGTATAGCGTAGCACTCTCTTATGGGAAAAATGCCAGTGTGCTGTGGCAGAAGGCAGATGAACACTGTCTCTTCTCCCGCTCCCCACTTCAAACCAGAGTCTCATGTAGTTTCCCTACCCAGAAAGGAAGAGAAAACAAATAATAGCCATTGTGACAACAAAGACGTGAGATTTCATAAAATAGATTACTTTTGGTGGAACAAATACCTGACACCTTTCAACCTCAAATAGTACAGTCTGAGACGCCACAGTCCAGGTTTCAATCTTAACGCTATGAAATTCTGGAGTTAGTTTTATTTCATTCCAAAACTTGGAGTCTTAAGATGCTTTAAGAACACTAATTGTGGTGGACATTTTATTGGGTAATTATATTTATCATGATCTCCTCCACCTTGTCTCTGCTCCTCTGTCCCATTTTGTAGCACTCCAATCTTGTGACTTCCAATTAGGTGACAAGAAGTGTCTAAATTCTTATCTGTGGTATTTCATCATAAATTTTGTATAAGACTATTATATGAACTGACAACAGCTATGGGCCTGGAGACAAAAGGATTAAGACACACTAAAAAGGTATGGACAAATGAACACAGGTATAAAACCTGAACTGTATTTCAAGTCTTTTGCTCTTTCTTCAAATTTTTGCTACCTTTGGCCAACATCAACAGTACTAGGTCATTTAACAAAAAAGATCCATTAAAACTTAATTCGGCTATATGAAAATTAACTTCAATCTACAATGTGTGGCTTAAATTCATTCAAAGCATTGTGGTTAAAAAAGGAACTCTAAAGTCAACCTACAGGAGTTGGACAGGTAACATAAGTGAATAGGATAATCTGTCAAACCAAAGGAGCTTATACCTCGTAGGAAGGAAACCACAGCTACTCAATTCCATCAACTGGTTGTCACGTAGAATGCAGGCCCTATGTAACCAGAACTTCCAGTTTTTCAAAAGAAGTTAGAAATCAAGATTTTCATCTAAATATCTATGGGATATGTTAACAGAACTTCCATTTTTTCAAAAGAAGTTAGAAATCAAGATTTTCATCTAAAATATCTGAATTCTAAATGTTGCTAAGTAATTAAATTATTTTAAGAACACTGTGTAAAACAAGCAAAACCACAAACCAAATAACCAATAGGACATGGAGCAAGCCAAACAAAACATACTTGTGGGCTAAATCTAGACAATTTGCAACCCCTACGAAAGGGATCAGGGTTTTTAGGAAAGGGCATTTTGTAAGCCAAGACCAGGAAAGAAGGGGACAGGCGGGTGGGAAAGGAGATGTTATATGTGAATGAAACTAAAACAACTTTCCAGGGGGAAAAACCCAGAATACACTGCTCCCCCAAAAAACAATATAAAGAACAAAATGGAAATTTACCATATCTGAATTTTCTTGAATTCTATTCCCTGGCTCCCATTCCTCAACTAGATGTAGAAGCTTGACGAGGAAAGGGAACTCAATTTTCTTGGTATCCTAATGCTGAGGAGGGGCTGACTAACTCAAAAAATTCATTCATTCAACAAAAATTTACTGACTGCCTACTGTGTGCTGGGCACTATTCTGGGGACATCTACATGAACAAAAACAGACCAAAAAACAAAAAAACAAAAACTCCTCTTCCCTCTTGGAGCTTACTTTTTGGAGGAGAAAACAGACTTAATAAGTAAGTTATATGGAATGTCAGAAGGTGAATAGCACTGTGAGAAAAAAAGAGCAATGTAAGAAGTATGATATGGAGTGGTAAAGGCAGGAGTGCAGCAACTGTTAACAAGGGCACAGAACAGGTGATACCTGAGTAAAGACTTGAAGGTGGTGAGGGAATGAGAGCGATATGACAGCTATCTGGAGGACAGGCATTCCAGGCAGAAGGAACAGCAGTCAACAGAAAGGCCTCAGGCAGGAGTGTGTCTGCAGTGCCTGACACATAGTAAAGAGGTCAGTGTGGCAATAGTATAGCAAGAAAGGGTGCAAGTATACCACTGCGAGGACGTCTGAACAGTTGACTAGTCTGATTTACATATTAAAAGGATCCCACTAACAGCTGTTTTGAGAACAAAATGAAGAGGAACAAAGGTAGAAGCAACAAGACCAGTGAGAAGGCTTTGAGAATGATCCTGGAGAGAGAGATTTTAGCTTGGACCAGAGTGGTAGCAGCGATGACAAATAAAAAGGGTAATTAGATTCAGAATGTATTATGAAGATAGGACCAGAACTACCTGACAGATGTATGTGAATATTTACCAATTTAGAATGAATCAAATGGATTTTTCTGTTTTCAGGAATATCGGGGTATACACAGATACATTTTCTTTCTTTTGTTTTCTGTTTTGGTTATATCAAAGAAAAATAATAGATGCTCTGAGAACAGGGAAGCTATCTGAAGGGCAAACTTATTTCTCTCTTTGATTGGCTTTGAAACAGAATATAGTAGAAGTTAAAATAAGCTCTGACTTCACACCCATTAGGATGGCTATTACTAAAAATCCCAAAGACAAGCAACCCCAGAAAATAATAAGTGTTGTGAGGATGTGGAGAAAAGGGAACCCTTGTACACTGCTGGTGGGAATATAAAATGGTGCAGCTGCTATGTAAAATATGGCAGGCTGGCAACAAAATTAAACACAAGAACTACCTACCATGTGATACAACACTTCTGGGTATATACGCAAGAGAGCAGAAAGCAGGGACTTGACAGATATCGGTAGACACATGTTCACCAGCATTATTCACAACAACCAAAAGGTGTATATGTAATGTATATACACACATGGAATATTATTCAGCTGAAACTTTGACATGTGCCACAACATGAACGAATCTTAAAGACATTATTCTAAGTGACACTAGCCAATAACAAAAGGAGAAATATTGTATATGATTCCATTTATAGAGATTCTTAGATTCCATAGAGACAGAAAGTAAAATGGTGCTTACCAGGAGCTAGAAGGAGGGGAATGTGTACAGAGTTTCATTGGGGACAAGGAAAAAGTTCTGAAGAGAGATAGTGGTGATGGTTGCATAACAGTGTAAATGTACTTAATGCTACAAATTTGTTCACTTAAAGCTGATTAAAATGGCAAATTTGATGTTACATATTTTATCCCCAAAGTAAAAAGGCAGAATGAAGAGCACAATAAAACTTGCTTTGCCTACCTCAAAAAACAACAATAAAATTCCCAAAAACCGCAAGCTCTAGAGTCAGGCTGCCTGACCACTTAACGAACTGTTTGCCCTGGACAAATTACTCGATTCATTGCCTTTAGTTTTCTCATCTATAAAATGAGATTAATTATACCTCAAAGGATTGTTGTGAAGATTATATAATATTTGTCTAGTTCTTAGAAAAGTGCCTGGCACATATTAAGCACTCAATAAATACCAGCTATTATTACTAGCGTTAGGGAGCCACTTGTGGAGAAATAGGCAACACAGAAGGCCTCAGATGATCCAGGAGGTAAGTTACTCTATTCAGTCAAATCCTTACTATGGAGATGCATGTGTAATCTTCATTAACTAAAAAAACCATGCAACAAATAGGTGGTTTTGTGGCGTGTGCTTTAAATTCAGATATATTTTGAAGAGATACCAGTTTCTGAAAATGTCTCAAGTAATTTAAGAATTACCATATAAATGATACACTGATTCTCCATAAAAGAAATAGGGTAAATTATGAAAGCACAACCTAATTCAGGTTTTCACATTACATTTGCAATAGAAAGAACCAGTGTAATATGGTGTCATTCTTTCATTTACTTATCTGATATTTACTATGTATCTACCATGTATTAGCCACATAAATTTATACATACTGAATATATATACATACAGGAATACCAAATTGCATCTAGGCAATAAAACAAAAAAGACCTCAAAATGCCTTTTTAAATTATAGTGCTTTTTAAATGTTTCCCATGTCAGGCCGTTTGATTAAGAGTAATAACCTTGACATAAAGGATATAGAAAACTGACGATTGTGAATCCATAGCAAATAAACACTGGAGCAAAACTCAGTACTGTAGTTAAGCTAATATACTGGCCTCTTTTACCTCTGGTCTTTTAGAACTCTGAATTTAGATACGTTTTATGACTGCTTACAGTAACAGGTTCTAGTTCCCAGAAATGCTATTTTACATAAATACATCATCACAGCCCAAATTGGGCAAAGAGAAAAATCTTCATGTCCTGGTTTCTGGGTCACTTACTTCAATAAATATTTA
This sequence comes from Homo sapiens, assembly GCF_000001405.40. NCBI lineage: Eukaryota > Metazoa > Chordata > Mammalia > Primates > Hominidae > Homo > Homo sapiens. The sequence goes on along the minus strand of NC_000012.12, from coordinate 106,863,562 downwards.
ATATTAAAAATAAATAAATTTATAAAGCCCAATATAATGAGACAACTATAAAAAGACTTGACTGAAGCAGCATAGCAAAATCTTGACAAATAAAAGAAAAAGTATCTTGCCTTGTGCTGAAGAAACTGTTTATACAGCTGGTGGCATAGCTACAGCTGAGAAAAATATGGTCAAGAAGGAAACACCCCTGAGTTTATTAGTACAATGGTTTTAAGCTTTTCGATCTGATTATGAACTGGTGTGGTGTGTTAAGTGTGCAAGGAGGCTCCCTAGGGTTCTGCTCACTTTTGACCATCTGTTCCTCCTATCCCTCCACAAAGCAGCCTTTTAAAGATACCTCTTTGGGCCTCTAGATGCCTATGCACCCTGTGAAAGCCACTCATCTAAAAGGAGCCAAATGTCATTAGACACACATCTTTCAGTTGATGTCTAGAATAATGTATAAACCATACCAGCCAGTTATATCACCTTTACAGTCAAGGGACCTCCATTCTCAGAGGCATTAAAGAAACAGGTATAAAGGTTAGAATTTAGAAATTTGGTTTCCCTTTGACACAGGACTAAAGTTTATCTGAAAACTTTCAACAAACCTGGCTAGACATACACCAAAAATTTATGTGGCATGTAACTCAATTCTATGAGTATATTTTCTCTAAGTGTGCTAATTGCAGAAAGCCATTTCCAGTCCATTAAATACATTTATTTTGACACAAAAAGCTTTGTTGTGATATTAACTGTCTCCCATAGCCTGAATGTAAGCTCCATACAATTCTTGGTTTCAGATTCCAGTAAAGGATTACAGGTTACCTTGGTGCATTAATCAGAATCCACTTAAAGTTTTGACAATGGGACTAGAGCCAACTGGATGAAGAGTAAGTTCTCTGCTTCTGCCAATAGTAGCAACTGTTGTGAATAAATGCATCACAAGAAAAGCAGACTGAGATCTTGGGAACTCTGACTGGTGAATGGTATTCAGGTGTAGGGGAGTAAGCAATCCTTTCAGATGCTGACTTTATAAGCTTGATTGGTAAAAAATTTTTTACAACTGTTTTTAGGAAACAAGTTCTTTGAGCTCTATGGATCGCTCCACAGAGTACAAAGGGTACTCCTGCTTGCAGAGTACTTTATTTACCACCACTTCCATAGAGATCATTTGCACAAATATTTTAAAGTAACATTAAATATCTCACCACACTTTTTCACTTTAAAAAAGGAAAATTTAAGAGAAAAACAGATGCAAATCTATCCGAAGGGGGAAGATGTGATGCTACTTGAAAAACACACATTTATACTTATAATGAGCAGTGTTTAAGAAATACAACAAAATTTCACAATGATGACTATTCTGACTACAAAAACATACCATTCCTATGAATATTATAAGCAAAGTCCAAAGGCTGAATATTATAATTAGGGATGTAAGGCTTAAGTACAGAAACTTTCCATGACAGAGAGCCAAGACAGTAACAATACTAATCATGGCTGTTGATTTCAACAGAAGGTACTTCCTGAAATCTAACATCACTTCCACAATGTAACATAATTCTATTTTCCTATTGTTATAGTAGCATTCTGGCGCTTGCTACATATATGACCATTACCATTATAGAAGTTATCTACTAAACAAAACTAACAATACATATTGAGATACAAAGATATCAACCATGTATGAGTACTCATGAGTTTTCTATCATAGTTGAATGTGTCCACACACCCTGGGATGTAAGAAATGCCTAATGTAATTGCTACTTTAATTTAGAAATATGAAATTTCTCAAGTGGTGTATTTTAATGACTCAAATCAAGAGATATCAATATTAAACTGATAAGGAAATATAGTTTATAGAATGAAAAAAGCTAGTAAGACTAATTTAGAATGATGACTTCTATAATTCGGGAAAGAAAGAAGCAGGATTCCTCTATCTTAGCTTCAAATACTTGTCAGAGATAGCCAATTGATAATATCTAAATGGTGGCAGTCTTAAGAAAATAGTGCTTAGAGTCATTGCCAGCTTTCCCCCAAAAAGTCTTTATTTCTAGGACACACTCTATAAGATCCTACTAAGGCTGATGGCATTGGGGATGCTAAAAGTAACACTACCTACTCAGACCTGATTTGCCAAGAAACAGGCCATATATGTCCTGTCTAATTGGGAACTGATCATTTCTTTCACCTTCTGACAACCCATTACTTGCATGTCAACAAGGCACAATGTATGTTTTTTAAAAGTATCTAATTTTGCAGATAAAGATAGTCTATCCTCGAACACCTATTGCATGATCCACATCACACTCCAGAAGATGCCAAGCAGAAAACACAGCATGTCAATGTCACCATGTCACAAGGAAAGGGCATGCTTTTCCAATTTTCAGATGGAAATCTTCAAATGGAACCCAGAAAAAACATAGCTCAAATAACTCCTAATAAGCGGAAACTAAGAATTTACATGGGTTGAGGGTTACGAGTGGGATGGAAAGGATAGAGAGGGAATAGGAGAAAGGAGAGGTGGTTTATCTTGGGATAAAAGAGAATAATTATAGTGTCTTTAATTTGTTAAGCACTGACTCAGAGAAGACTTCACAGAGTCTCTGGTTTGCCTACTCATTGCACTAATGTATCTGTTAAAAGATGAGTCTTATATGTTTGTTTGATTAAAATTCACTGTGAAGCCAGACTTCTTCTCTTTTGATATTAATGTGTCTTGTTGCCTATTTTACTGACTTATAAGGGCTTTTATGCAAGGGGGAGGATCAGAACCTACATTTAGATTTCTGAGAAAGACTAAAGCATCAAATAATCAACTTAAATATGTGGTCTTGGTTATACCTTATAAAATCTTAACCTATGGAAAGGAAAGCAAATAGTAAGCAATAACACTTTCTCAGTACAACCTAAACACACCAGCTCTCTTAGTACTTGGGAGAAGATAATAAGTACGTTGAAAATATCATTTCTTGCATTATTAGCCTTCCTCCATCACTTGAAGTCACTCTCTAAAGCACTAGCTATGAAACTGCCTCTAAAAACACCATTAAATGGAAAGTTTCCAAATCCACAAGAGAAAAGAAACACTTGGAAAATGAAAGACAAAGGAAATAACCAACTCAAAGGCACAGCCATAGTTAGGTGAAAAGAAATTTGATACTATACTTTGGTTTTGCATTTTTGTATTCTTCAGTGTCTGTGTCCTCATCCTCTGAGTACCAATTATCTCCTCTTCCTCCAGCCAAGAGGCCCCTGGCCGCCAACAGTCCTGCAGCATTCCCATAGCCAGTGTATTTCAGCAGACTATCCACTGCAAAAACAGAATAGGGTTTTAGATAGGAATCCTTGGGTCTTCACCATCATCATCAACCACTCACCAACACAAGAAGATTGAAGACACACACTATGGCAGTAAACCTTTAAACTGAGAGAATTTCAAAATGTGGTAGTGGTTATACTGAACTACTTACAAATTTTCCCATAGGTTCTGGGGACTAAGAGCCTTTTTTGAGGTACCAGAAACTAAAGCAGAGCTGTTCTGAACACACTTTATGGCAAAAGTGGGGCCTCTGTGACTGCCAGGCCTTTGGTAAGGGTCACGCTTTAAGTTTCTGATCTCAGATCTTACTATTTAAAAATCCAGTTTTGGAGAAATGATAAGAAACTAGAGAGAGTGAAAGTCAGATTGGGACTTTAGCAATATGGCACATAATGTAAAATCTCTCTCTCATTCTTTGTTGGAATTGGAGGAAAAGGAAGTAAGAAATAAAGAAAACTTAAGGAAGAATATTAGCAAATAGCATAGGTGATAACTTACTGCTTTTTTAAAATAAAAAGTCGGCAACCATATATAAGCACATGAAGCCCATTACGAAGGTAGACCCAGGAGTTAGACTGGCTGGATTTCAATACTGGCTCTACCAATTACTAATTGGTTGACCTTGGGTAAGATATTTTGCAGCTTTATCCTAGTTTTCTAATCTGTAGAAACAGAATAGTAACTATCTACCTCACAAGTTAATATATGCAAAGTATGAAAAGTATCTACCAAGAAGTAAACAATCATTCTTTTTCTCTGAGAAGAGTGGGTAAAATGATCATTTTAGAATTATCTTAGTTTAAAAAAAAAAGGAAGCCTAATGAAAAGTTTGGTTCAGGCTCTCTGAAAGTATTATCCTGCCAACAGGGTCAGGTGATGTCTCTCTTAAGATGAGCAGACACACACAACTTTTGCAAGGGACACTTGCACTGCAGTAATGTTTTTAGTGATTTCTAAACACCTTTAAGGAAGATACTAAGCAATAACTGGCAGCTTTGTTTAGCAGTATTTCATTTTCTTCAGGTACAATTTCAAGGTAAACAGAATATTTAATCAAAAGATAAGAATTGAGAAAATTTACTTAAGGTCTTTAACAGAATGTTGTTAAAATGTCATCTGAAAGGCAACTGTAGGAAACACAACATAACATACAATCTTATCCACGTATAAAGCCATAGTAAAATCTACATCTGTAATTCAGATCACTTACCTCAAAAAAGACAAAATAGAGCTGGAGAAGATTCAGAAAAAGGTAATTAAAATGACTGGGGAACTGAAAGGGATGGTGGAAAGGAAAATAGGTAAGAAAAGTGGGTATATATGATCAGAGTATAAAATCATGGAGGATACGGACAGGATAAATATATTCTAGGATAGAGTTTACTGTTACATTTTCAAATACCTGAACTAGAGGGTCCTTCTCACGACACCGAAAATAAGTGGTATGGGGATAAATGAAAGGAAGCCCTACTTTCAAATAATATAGCAAACTGGTGAAATTTGTGCAAAAGGAAACATGGGCTAATGAGTATATTAAATGATGTTGAAACTAGTCATTTTCAATCTTAAAACCTATTGGTAACTGTGGTCTCTCTGTAATAATTCTCAGTGGGTGCTGGATAGAATCCTATTAGAATTATTGAATGAGGGTGGGGTAAGCCCTCTGAATAAGTCTGATATGCTCTCTCTTGGCATCAGTGCCTCCCCAAGATGTAGTGCTTTAGATAAATGAAGGAATCCTTAAAAAGTACGAGCAGAAGAAATGAGTGTTCAGTGTATATAGGTATTCTTAATATTCATGAAGGTCAAACATTTTCTTAATGACATGGTCAGACACAAAGCGACTGAAGGCAAAGGATCACAGATCTAAACCCACACAAAGTAACTTACAGATAGTAGGTGATGCTATCATTGTAAGCATTACTGATAAAGCTTATTTTTAACAAACAAGGAGGTTTAGTGGATCCAGAAAAGAAATACTCATTACAATTAGGAAACTCTAAATTGAGATATGAATAAATGTTTAAATGAATATACTTAAAGACAAAATAACAATAATTTAAAAAGACACAAAATGGCGAAAAATTAAAAGAGTTTAAAAATGCAAAGGTTATGAAAAGCCAAAATAGGTTAAACAGAAGTAAACAGAATACTAAATAACTGTTCTCTTATGTAGAAAATCTCTCTGGAAGCCAGTTAACAGTAAAAGCCCCCGGCAATTTTATGAAAATCGTGTCAACTCCTCTTTCACTGGAACAAACCTTATGTGCTAACTCTATGACAGGCAGTGTGGGTTACAAAGGTGACTTAAGACATAGTTTGCTTTCAAAGTAGATAAAGGGTATAGCCAAGAGTTTTAAAATCACATGAACTTCTGTTAACAGGATAAAATACCCAAAAATTAGGGGTAGAGAAGGTGAGACAAATGAAATACGAAATCCTCACAGTGAGAAGCATTGAAGCAGTGTTTCTAGCTACTTTTAAGTCTGTTTTCAAATACACCATAAAATATCCTATTTGATACTGGGAAAGTAGTAAACGGAAAACTGACTGCACTTGGATGTTAAGGTGAGCTGCTAGTGCAAACAAAAGATTTTCTGGGTGGTTCTAAAATAAAAAGGAAACACACAAATATATTTGTTCCTTGCATAGTAATTATCCATGCAGTTATATGAAAATGCTGCCTAAATGAAACAATTCAGCATTCAGTCAAAAAGTTGCGAGAAATATTTCACCACTATTTTATCAGGATGCTAGAGGGCACTATGAACAGAGGAAACCAACCACAGCAGCACTGTGCAAAGTCAGAACTGCACTGGTAATAACATAGACAGTTACACAAATGTGGGTTCTACCACACTCTAAAATAAAAGCAATACGTTTTTGCTCTTTTACCAAGAACAAAGAATGTCAAGAACCAGATTCTACCCAGAGACCATTCCCCCTTCTCTGTGAAAATCCTTTTCCTTCTAGTCAAATGCTGTAACTTTTAGAAGACTCAACTAGTGGCTTCGTCTTGGTGTCCATACAGTCTCACACTCCTCCATTTCTTATTCCACACAACTGCCCAAAATATCTTTGTAAAGCAAAAATAGGATTTTACAACCTTCCTGGATAAAATCTCTAACGTCTTCCCCTAAAAACTAAGCTCAAATTCCAAAACAGGGGCCTAAAGGGCTCGTTTTCTGGCCTCTGCTGTCTTTTCCAAACTTGTCTCCTAAAGATTCCTCACACATTAAACCAGTCTCTTTTCTATACATTCAAGGCTACTTCCTATTTCTCTGTCCTCTTCTGTGAAGACTTTCTCTGATCTCCTCCACACCGCCCAAGCATTCCCTCTTCCAGGTTGCCATAGCACCGGCACATTTCTTCTTAGGGCACTTATCATAGTGTACTGAAATTACTCCTTTAAATGGGACCCTGTATTCACCAGCCTGAATTTATAGAGAGCACAAGCATTTGCTCTTTTATTAAACATTTATGGGGCACCTGCTATCTGTTAAGCACTGGGGATCCAAAGATGAGTAGGACATGATCTCCGACCTAAAGGAAACTCAGTGTCTAGAATGTAAGTTCAACAAATAAAGAGTTACAACATAGCAAATGTCAAAAGTATTAACAACAGAGAAGGAAAAATGGCACAAAGGAGAAAATGACGAACTCTGCCTGGAAGGTCTTCACAGAGATGATGCTTAAGCTGGTCTTCAAGGATAAGTAAAGCTCGCCATGGTAACAAAGATGAGGAAGAGCATTCCTCACAAAAGGAACAGCATCTGCCAAGCCATGGAGATATGCCAAGAAATGGTGCAGTATAATCAGGCAAGAATAAAGAATTTAGTATGATTAAGCATGCAGTGTAACAGGGGAACAGATTTAAAATACACTACACAGAGACTCTGTGGAGGTAAAATTTGGTTTTTACCATGCAGGCAACAGAGAATCACTGAAAGTTTTATATGAGGGGAATGACAAGATTATATTTGTGTTTTACACCAATCCCTCTGTTAACCACGTGGAAGAGAAACTGAAGAAAATCTGACTAGAAACAGAGAGATGAGATATTTTAATAGCTTATTAATAGTTAAAATAATTTTAAGGGTCTGCACTAAGATGGTGGTGTGGGAACAGAATGGGGGAAATAAATAAAAGATATTTAACAGGAGGTAAAATCTACAGATGTGGTGATTATGACTTCTACAGGTAAAGAAGGAATCTAGGGTAACTCCTAAGTTTCTGGCTTTAGGAACTAAACAGACAGTGGTACTGTTTGCAGAGAAAGTGATAGAAGGATAATGAAAAGGTCGAAGGGCATGGGAATGAAGATCATAAATTCAACTTTAGCTATGAGTTTGAGATACCAGTGAGAAACTCAGGCAGAGAGGTCCAGTAAGCAAGTAGATAAATATGACCGGGTTCAGAAGAAAGGTTGGGGCTAAAGATACATAGATTTGGGAATCTACGCAAACAGAAGCCAAGGGAGAGGATAAGATTACTCAGGGAGCAATGTGAAGTGAGGATTGGGACCAAAAGATTACTTTAGGGAACACCAGCAATTAAATGTGGACAAGGACAGGAGCTAGCAAATCAGACTGCAAAGAAAGAAGAGAGGTCAAAGGACATCTAGGAGTGTGTGGTAGTACACAAACAAAGGAAGTGGACAACAGCATTAACTGTTATGAGAGACGTAATAAGACAAAGACTAAAAAATACCCATTGCTTTTGAAAATCAGGTAATTTGTGACCTTATTGAGAGCATTTTCAGTGGTATTTGGTGGGTAGTGAATGGTTATGGAAAGCCTGACTTGCAGCAAGTTGAGGACTAGTTTTTCAAGATGTTAAGCAGTGAAGGACAGTGATATAAGTATGCATAGAGATTGGGGAAAGCACATAGGGCGAGTTCAAAGAACAAAAGAATAAAGGGTAATGAGTGATGGAGCAACACTTCTGCAAACACAGGAAGAGAAATGATCAACAGGAAAGGGAGACTAGTGAACCTCAAGCTAAAGAGACAACCTATTCCTCTGAGACTGAAGTGGGTATTACAGTAAATTTATTGGTGTGGGGCTATGTGCTAAGGGAGTTCAAGCCTAATTTTTCTTTGCAATTCAGCCCCTACATCATAATGCCTACCACATACTGAGATTTAATGAATACGATAAAAGGTGGGGGGGGAACCCCTACCAAGGCAGATTATTTTACAAATCATCTTCTTTTAATTAAACAATGTAAGGCCTATTTTTAGGCCCCTAGTAGAAGGTACACAATTTGCAGGGAGATAAAAATAGTCATGTTCAGGCTCAATTGAACAAGTTAATGGCATGAGTACAAGTTAACCTGTGGGCCATTATGTGCTGGAGATACCGTTGGGCCTGGCACAGATGGGTATTTAAGACCTTTGGATGGTTCTTTCTGTGCCTAGTCTTCCATAAAATTTTGTCCTTTCTCTCTTACCTCTTTCTTTTTTCTTTTTTGAGACGGAGTCTTGCTCTGTCACCAGGCTGGAGTGCAGTGGCGTGATCTCAGCTCACTGCAACCTCCACCTCCCGGGTTCAAGTGATTCTCCCCTCAGCCTCCTGAGCAGCTGGGATTACAGGCATGCACCACCACGTCCAGCTAATTTTTATATTTTTAGTAGAGACGGGGTTTCACCATGTTGGCCAGGATGGTCTCGATCTCCTGACCTCATGATCTGCCCGCCTCGGCCTCCCAAAGTGCTGGGATTACAGGCATGAGCCACCGCGCCTGGCCCCTCTTTCTTAATGCAGTCTCTGTGTTCCTAACCCATTATAACTGCTGCTTACTGTCTGTCTCTACTTAGTGGTCTGACCTTTGAGCCTTGATCAAGGTGCCTTCACTTTCAAATTTACTTGGCATATCCTTAAGAGACAGTTCAGACATTCTGAAAAATTATTTGAAATTTATTTTATTTTATTTTATTTTATTTTAATAGTCTACCTCCAAACCCAAATTCCAAAATCTGATTACTGTTAAGTTGAAGGTAAACTGCAGACATTTTCTTTTTTTCTGGCCAGAAGGTTTTAAATTTGAACTAGCTGACAACATTTAAAAACAGAGAGCTTCTCTTGAAAACATGGAACATCTGCTAACCCTGGCCACATGTTCCTTGATGGTAACCATCAGTCGCTGCTAAATAGTAGCAACATACTCTTTATAATCTCCCATAGTCCCTT